>NC_000022.11:49657789-49973865 GCF_000001405.40 Homo sapiens | reverse complement strand
CACCACACACCACAAACAACCACACACACACAGCACACACCACACAAACACAACACACAACACCACACATGATATATACACACCACACACAAACACCACACACCACAAAACACCACACACGCACAACACACACCATACACACACAGCACACACCAGTAAATGCATGACACACATCACACACAACACACATGATATATACATACCACACACAAACACAAAACACCACACACACACAACACACACCATACACACACAGCATACACCACAAAACACCATACACACCCCATACACACACAGCACACACACACCAGTAAATGCTTGACACACACACCACACACACCACACATGATATATTCACACCACACACACACCACACACCACAAAACACCACACACAACACACACCATACAAACACCACATGCCACAAACACACCATACTCACTATACCACATACACTATACACAACACCACACACGATACATACACACCACACACAAACACCACACACAACACAGACACAACACACGACACAAATACCACATACCACAAACACATCATACCCACCATACCACATACACACACTATATACACCACACAATGCAAAACACATGACACACCATACACACCACCACATGATACATACACACCACACACAAACACCACACTCCACAAAACACCACACAACACACACCATACACACACAGCACACACCACAAAACACATGACACACACACCACACACCACACATGATATATACACACCACCCACAAACAGCAGACACCAGAAAAGACAACACACAAAACACGACACACATAACACGATACACACACCACACACCAATGACATACTCTATACATAACACCACACGATACATACACAACACACACACCATACACAATACACACGATACACACACACTACACACCATACACAAACACCATACATAAACACCACACACAACCACACATCTTACACAAACACTACACACCACACAATACACATAGCACGCACACACACACACTATACACATCACACACACATCACACACACACACACACACACACACACACCCCATCTGCTGGAACCTCCTGGAGGGTGGCCAGTGGCCTGTGGGGTTGCCAGGGGGCCGTGGGTGGGACCGGGCCAGGAAGGGATTTCCTCAGGTGTGGAGACTCGGCCCCGGCCCTGCCTGCCCCTCCAGTGGGACCAGGGAGGAGGAGGCGGGGGTGGGAAGGGACCCAGCACCTCGCGGGGACACAGAGCCAGACTGGAGGAGGTGGGGGCGCAGCGCCAGAGGGACCTACGGGACACAGGAGGCTGGGGGCGGTGGGGCCGGGGTCTGGGGAAGTGCAAAGCTAGGAAGAGGTCCAGGCGGGGCTGCGAGACGAGGGTGCCCGCGGGTGGTCGCGCAGCCCGAGGTAGGGGCGGCGGGCCCAGGTGGGAGGGTCCAGGAGAGGAGGTCAGGGCTTTGTAGGGGGTCCCGCGGACCAGGCAGGGTGCGGCTGCCTGAGGGGCAGGAACCTGGAGGACTCCGCCAGGCTGGGGCGCAGGGGAGGCGCATGGGGCGTGGGCGCCCACCCAGGGGCCCACGTGGGAAGCCCCCGCAAAACCCGACGTGGGCGCCGAGGTGGTGGGGACGCCCCGACGGTGCCCCCAGCCTGGCTAACCATTCCCGCCGCAGACCCCTCCCCGCAGGCCAGGGCTCCTCCACGCGGTGCCCCGAGGTCCCCAGAGACGGGGGCCTGAGCTGTGGATGGGATGAAGGGGGTACCCACTCCCCACCCACCCGCCAGAGAGCAACCTGCTCGCCTTCTGCTACCTGCGCCGACCCTACTGACTGACCTCAGGGCAGGCGGTCTCCAGCTCCTTTTCCCCAGGAGGGAGGAGACCCGGGGGGCAGAACCCCACTGGGCGCCCCACAGCCAGACGCTGGACGGCCCCGCACCTGCCCCCGCAGCCCGCCTGGGACCGGGCTCTCCGTGGAGGGCTGGCCTGGGGCCCCGCCAGTGCTTGCACCTGTGGTCCTGGAGACAGTGCGCCCGCAGGTGCCCTGGTGGGTGGAATCTTGGCCCCTCTCCCCTCCCTCCTCCTGCCCCAGGGACCCTGCCGGCCCAGGCAGCCCACAGCTCATCTGGCTGTCGGGGCGCAGCGGCCGCAGCAGGGCCTGGTGTCAGGTGCCGGGCCCTGGAGACCGCGTGTGGTGGGGACGGGGACAGAACGTACCGAGGCTGGGCCAGGGTGTGGGGGCGGGGAGGTCCGCGGGCCACAGTCCTCGGTCTCTCCCCGGACTCCGCGCCACGCCCGCTTCGGACAAGCGCGTCCTCGGCGCTGGGGAGGGAGGGGCCTCGCGTGGGCCGCGTCCGTGGGCGGGGTCCTTTTGGCCAGCCCGGCCTCCTCGGCTCCCGGGTCAGGCCGACCTTTTACCTCCCGATCCGCACCATCCTCCCCCGCCTTAAAGATCTGGCCGGCTCCGCCTGCGCCGCTCCCCAAAGCGCATTCCCGCTCCCCACGCGCCCTGCTCTCTGCGCCGCCCCCCGGCCCCCAGATCCGCCTCCTCCTGCGTCGTCGGCGCCCAGGAACCCACCCCGGCCTCGCGTTCCCCTGTGCTCGCTCGCAGCGGCTCCCCCAACTATGGGGGACACAGGGCCCGGAAATGTTCTTAAACCCCATCCGGGGCCCCAGACGGTCCAGCCCGCATCGCACACGGGAACACGTGTGTGCCCCCAAAGCTAGGACGCGCCTGTGACCGGCTGGTCGGGGCCCCAGCATCCTTGGACAGGACAGGCGGGTGGGCAGGGCCCGTGTGCTCCACTGTGCTCTCCGTTCGCCTCTCAGCTCCAGACTCCTCCCCTGTCACCAGCGTCCCCCTTCACCGCCTCCGGGAGGTGCTGAGTCACAGGAGGCGCCCCCACGTGCTGCTGTGCCCTTTGAGTGAAGGGAGGGTGAGTCACGCGGTGGCAGCGGCCACGTCATTTGGGGGCGGGGGAGGGGAGAACTGCTAGTCTTGGCTCCAGGCTCTTCCTAGGCCAGGTCCTGCCCAGGTGCAGACGCGTGCATGCACACACACGTGTGCACACACAGGATCACACACATTGGAGCACACACATACATGGCAGACACGTGCCCACATGCATATACACATAGACGTGCACACAGGAAATCACACCTGCACACACAGAGATTCACATGCACACACACACATGCACATGCACAAAAACCCAGACACACACACTTGGAACATGTATAGATTTACACACCCACCGACACTTTTCTACGTGTACAGATGTGGACACACAGGTGCCTACACATCATAAGAGTTGCCTGCATTCCTGGGTGGCCCGGTAGACCCTGCTGGTCCTTTCTAGAGGGAGGACTGAGGTGGCTGCTTCAGGGTAGAGCTGGGACTCCAGGACCCTCCAGGGCCAGGTCCTGTGCTGGCAAATGGGCAGTCCTGTGGGCATCAGAGCAGCCCCTGGCCTGCTCCACGGCTGGCATGGGCCACCCAGACACATGCCTGCCAGCCCCTGCCCAGTCCTGTCTCACAGCAGGAGACAGTCCCCAGGGCTCTGCTCAGGGCCCTTGTGCTTCTGAGACCCCTGCTTCCTCCCCTCAGCTCATCCCACACGGAACAGACTGTTGAGGGGGACCCTGGGCATGGAGTAGACCAGGAGGCAGGGCCCAGGGCGAGTGCTGGATGGGACTGTGGTCCTGGCCCCTCCGCCTGCCTCAGGGCCTTTGCACCTGCTGCCCCACTGCCAAGCCCCTCTCCCCAGATCTCTGCAGAGCTGCCTGTGCTGTCTCCCAGGCCCCACTGGGGAGCCCACCTGTGCAAAGGCTGATGGTGATAGTGGCCCCAAAGAGCCCTCACCATGTTTCTGCTACATCTGGAATGATCCCGCCCACATAGGTCTTGGTCATGCCTCTCAGGCAGGGGTGAGCCCCCAGGCTCAGGAACGTCTGGTTCCCTCCTGAGTGAAAAGTGGGAGGATTTGGTAAGCAGAAAACCAGACAGGGGCAAGTGGAGGGTTGGGAGTCTTGGGGTGGCCCCTCTGGGATGCTCCGTGGGATAGGGCTGCCTCTGTGGGGACCTGGCCAGCAGGTTGTACATGTGGCCTGAGACTCAATCCTGGCATTTCCAGGTCCCTGGTCCTCTCTACACTGACCCGCTCCCCCATGGGATATGAGGGCCCATATCTCATGTCCTTTCTAGACATAGAGGCCCAGAAAAGGTCCTCATGCTTTCCTGGCACACTGTAGCCTTGGCAGCGTCCAGTGGCCCAGGACCCCTGGTCCCTGGTTGCAGGCAAACAGCTCTGCCTGGCCTGGCCCAAGGGGTGGAGCCAGTCACTGGGCCCCAGGACCCAGGGCACCTGCAAACCAGAGCAGGCCCAGCCGCCTGATGGGAACGTCTTCCCAGGTGCAGTCCAGGGCGGTCGCACAGCCCGGACCCTGGCAGGACACTCAGCGGCCTCAGGGAATGCTCAGACCACCTTTGGGCTGGGTCTGGCCTGAGGACTGGGGCACCAGTGCTTCCCTTCTCCATGCCCCCCGCCACCTGCTGGAGTGGCCAGTGGGGTGGGGGTCACTGATCACAGCAGTTCTGGTGAGGGGCCCAACGGACGCTGCCCAGGAGCTCCTCCGGGACATCCGAGCACCTGCCCTGCACAGGCCAAGCCCCAGAGTCCGGAGGAAGCCCACAGAGCCAGCCTCAGCACAGTGGCCACAGGGCTTCAGGCCAGGAGAGTGGCATGGGGCTGCATCATGTGCTGGGCCTGGAGGGCCATCGGCTCCTCAGCTGGCCCCCACCTGTGTCAGTGGAGCAGCAGAGTGCAGCCCAGGGCCCTGCAGGAGGGCAGGTGGCAGGATTAGGGGAGAGCTCACAGCCAGCCACGCCCTGGCCTTCCAGGGGAAGATGGGGCTCCCAGAAGCACACCCACCCCAGGCTAGCCTCCTCTTGGCTTACAGACCTGAGCCTGCTTGGCCCCTTATGACTTTGGGTGGGCGCCTGGCCTCTGGGCTTCAGTTTCCCCCACCTGGATCATTCAGAGCTGGGTCCAGGTGACCCATCCCCAAGAGAGACCCCTTGCTTGTTCATGGGGGAGCGAACACCCACTCCACCCATGCTGGCTGGCATCTGGGGCACGGCACCCCTGGGAGATTCTGCAGGGACCTGGCCAGGAGGATGGGTCTGGACCTGGTGCCTGCAGGTGCCTCCAGCTGCCCCCGGCTGTCCCACTGCTCAGGGCCTGGAGGCTCTGTGGAGGGCGGGCGAGGCGGGGAGGTCTGTGCTGCCCTGTGCCAGGCTTTGCAGGTCCCTGGCATCTGCAGGACACCCCGCTCTGCAGGAGCAGGATCTATCTGCTCATCAGAACCAGCCCTGTGTGCGGAGTCTCGGGTCTGGGAGGGGCTCCCTCAGACCCAGGTTGTCTCAGGTCCAGGATGGGGCTGGAGGAGAGGGAGACAGGCTGCCTTAGGAAGGACTGTCTGGGAGACCAGACCCTTGAAACTCCAACCTGCCTTCCTCCAGGCCGGAAGCTTCCTGGGTCTCGTCCTCCACCCTCTGCTCCTTGCCCCCAACTTCCAGAAGACTGTGCCCAGGCTCCGTACCCCCCACCCCGCCCACGTCCACACGCTGACCTCTCTTCCCACACCTGGTCCAATTATTCTCTGCACGGGTGGTCCTTTGCTGATTTGCTATCTAAAGGTGTCCTTTAGAAACATTCTGCCAAGTTCTGGACAGCGTCCACCCCAGGGGGAGTCCTGAACAGGCTGTGGTCCTCAGTGTCATGTGACCGCTGCGTACTGTGGTGAGTGCGTCGTTCCAGCTGTCAGTGCAGGCTGGGCCACACAGATGCCGTCCTGGCTCACTCGGCAGCCTTGGAACTGATTGGTTTGTCCACAGCTATGCCCCTGAGGGTGGCCTGGTCAGTAAACAGGTCGGGGGAGGGGCCAAGGCTGGTCGTGCCCCACAGCCTGCCCGGCACCCACACAGGGGGCAAGGTTCCGCTCCGAGGTCCGTTCTTCTTGCCAGGCTGCTCGACCGCCTCTGGGCCCAAGGCCAGCCCAGCTTCCCAGAAGGAGAGACTGGGACACAGACCTTCTGTAGCCATCAGGGCGCTGTTCAGTTTCTTTCTTCCAAAGCAGCTCCAGAAACGAAACCTTAGCATGGCTGTGGTGCCAAAGCTGCGCGGCAAAGGGAAGTGATCCCTGGCAGCCCCTGCGAACACCACCCCGTGCCGGGCACCCAACTGGCCCGGGAGCCCCTGAGCTGTCGCGGAAACAGCACGAAAGGAAACTGTAGGAAGCCACCTGTGCAGCTGCGGGGCTGTTCTGTGGGCAGAGGCCGAGCAGCTCCCTGGATGGGCGGTGGCAGCCTGGACAGGCAGCGGCTGAGGGCTGACCACACACCCACACACCCATTGGACCCTCAGGCTGAGCTCGCGGTGTGATATGACACCAGCATCACACCGGGCCCCGGGGAGTCGGGGAGAGCAAGGGAGACAGAAGGGGGAGCTAAGCCCACACCGGGTCTGAGGCACCCAGGCTCCTCCAAAGGAAGCAGTCAGGACACCAAGGCTGGACGGGGGCCGCTGGGGGATCTGCGTGGGCAGCGTCCAGGTGCGGCTGGGCCTAGGGCCCCAGGCAGGCGTTAGGGAAGGGTGTCAGCCAGTCTGCCCACAGAGCACAGGGGAGATAAGAGCTTGCTGGGTCTCTGTCCATCCCTGACCCCTGCCCCTGACCCCTGCCGGGGCTGAGAGAGTACAGGGCCCAAGATAGATTCCCAGCCCGGAATTTCTCAATGAGTCCTTCCCCTTTCTGCAGACAGAGGCCTCTCATGGCGGTGCTAGATCCTCTGGCACATGGCTTCCAGGCCCACCGCTTCCCGGGCAGCCCTGGCGAAACCCTGAGCTTTCGTTTCACAACTGAACAGCCTCTGGCCCCCGGGTTCCCGGCAGTAAGGCCTGACAAGGCAGGGTGGGGGCAGGGCCTGCCCCTCCAGCCTGGCCACTGCCCTCCTCCTGGCCAGGGCCCTGCAGGAAAGCCTCTCCCAGGGTGCCGTGCCCCAGATGTCGACCAGGATGGGTGGGGTGAGGGTTTGCTCCCCCATGAACAAGCAAGGGGCCTCCCTTGGGGATGGGTCACCTGGACCCAGCTCTGAATGACCCAGGTGGGGGAAACAGCCTCAGAGGCCAGGCGCCCACCCGAAGTCATAAGCGGCCAAGCAGGCCCAGGTCTGCAAGCTAGGAGGAGGGTGCCCTGGGGTGGATGTGCTTGGGTACCCCATCTTCCCCTGAGAGAGGCTCAGGGCGGTGGGCTGGTTCTGACCTGGACTCTGGCCCCAGATCCTGCAGGCAGCAGGTCCAGACCAGTCACCTGGTGTACACCCTGCAGGGGTGAGCATGGCTGGGGATACACATCATCCCTCAACCCGAGTGGCCAAGGGGTACTGCAGCCCTGGAGGCTCCTAGGCAGGGTGGGAGGGGCCCAGTCCATAGGGAAGGACCCACCTAGGAGCCCACAGAGGCCCTGCAGGAACACAGTGGATTCTGCTGGGCTTCGACCCCCAGGGAGAGGCCAGACCGCAGGTCTAGGGTGGGGACTGGCGGGGAGGAACCAGGCCTACGGTCACTTGGATCCTGCCAGAGCCCCAGGGAGTGTCTAGGGGAAGGGTGTGCAGGAGCCCAGACAGCTGGGGGGCTGGAGGGGGCCAGGGAAGGGTTGGGGAGGCCCTGAATCCTTCCCCTTCGTCCAGCACCCAAAGTCAAGTGGCCCAGCAGAGCCAAAGCAGCAGAGGTGGGGTGGGGCCGGCAGGGGAGCAGATTCCTGGCGCTTGGGCTCTGGAGCTCTGCTTGTCTCTGGACCAGGATGGTGCCCTCAGAGATGTCTCTGAAAGCTCACTATGGGCCGCCCCAGGAGCCAGAAAAGGCCCACAGGAATCCTCCACCAGCTCCTGCCGCCCCTGGGCCGTGGTGCTCAGTCAGGCAGATGACCTGTGGCCGAGAGCCTGAGGAAGGACCCGAGGCTGGCTGGGCCCTGTCTCCTCCTGAGTCAGGGGGTGGAGGGCTATGTCCAGAGGCGCCCCCAAGCGCGCCATCCCCTGTGCTAGAAGGCCAGAGCTATCTCGCTGGGAGCCTCAGCCCAGCGCCCTGCACCCATTCCCAGGGCCCTGGCAGATGTCCCCACCCTGTAGGCCACCTTAGAGGGGTCCCCAGCCAGCCCTCAGCAGCAGTGTGTGGGGCACAGCAGTGGGAAGGACCAGAGTCCTATTCTGACATCTGCCCAAGGTTCCTGCCTCTCTGGCCTTCAGTTTCCCAAAAGCAATCTGCGTGGAGGGCCTTTGCCTGGCTGAAGCCGGGGCTGGGGATGCCCATGGCTGGGGGCTGGGGAATGCCCATGGCAGTTGGCCCAGGAGCAGGTGGGCCGCAATGGCTGCTGCCCGAGGGTCCCATTTTGGCAGTGGGGGGTGGGGTAATGGGAAAAGCCTCACTGGACCAGACTGGACTCAGGGCACGCTGGTTGGGCCAGGTCTATGGGAACCGGTGGCTTGTCCTTCCCGGCACCTCCTCATCTCCCCTGCTGGCCTGAGGCTGTAGGGTGAGATGAGGGCCCCGAGAGACCTGCCTAACTGAGCAGCTGCCCTCCAGGTGCTCCTGGATCTCCACAGCAGAGGCCACAAACACCCACTGATGTCCTGAACAGTCACAACCTGAGGCGGGAGCCCCCCACCCGAGCCCTCTCTGCCTGCTCTCCAGGGGAAGGGTGACTTTCGTCTCCTCCTGTTTCTCTTTCCCAAACTTCCCGCCTCTGCCACAGCCTCTGGCCTCGGGCCTGGGACAGTCTTCTGTCCAGTATGGTGCTGCCTGCCCCGGGCTGTTTATCAGGGACTCTTATTCGGAGGGGCAGATGGGAGGCAGGGGGCAGACAGGGCTCCAGGAGCCAGAGAGCCGAGTAGGTGCGCTTGGCAGACTGGGTGATGCCCCAGGTGCAGGTCCACTGCCAACATGGGGCACCCCACAGCCCAGCACAGGGTGGGCAGTTGAGCAGAAGGCCCCTGGGGTGGGGGTGGGGGAGCAGTCTCACTGGGACCCTCCACCCAGGCCTCCTCTACCCACCAGGAACATTGTGGCCAGGCCCATTGACACACCCGAACCTGGTTCATACCCCACTCTCTCACCACACACCCGCCAGGCCAGGGTCTAACTATAACTGACTGAACACCCCGATACCCTCCACCAAACCCCACCCTCATGTCCTCTGCACGTCCTTGGCACTGCCCGGAACACACTCCCACCCCATGTGCCTGGCAAACTCCTCCCTGTCCTTCAAAACCCCCAGCCACCCTCTGAGGCAGCATGGACTCCCTCCCCCACCCCCCCGCACGTCTCTGTTTCCACCAAGCCAGGATGCAAGTATGGCCATTTCCACTGGCAAGGCCTCCCTGGGTGGGGGCTGCAGAGATCCTCCTGGGACCACCGAGGAATGACCTCCTGACTAGTGTGGGTTGCTGCATCCTCAGGGCCTGGCTCCCTGCCTCCACCTCCCAGAGGCACCCCAGGAGGCAGCTGCTCTTCTCCCTGGGTGCAGCACGGGGTAGTGCGGTGGGCCACAAGCCACATGAAGTAGCCTGTGGCACTGGGGAGGCTGGCACCCAGCTGGGCCTCCCCCGTTTCCCCCGTGGGCAAAACTACCAGCCCCACGGGAAACTTGTCAGGTCACCCAGCAGCCAAAGCCCTTCCTCAGAGCCCCTCTCTTCCCCCAGGATGCCCAGCCCCATAAATACAGGATTATCCACTATGTACAAAAACATTTTAATTGAAATACCTGTATAAAAAAATATGATCTCCAGACATCTCACTTTTGAACTGAAAGAACCCCCATCTGCGATGCCTGCACACACCGCATTCACACAAACACAGGTACTGAATAAATTA
This sequence comes from Homo sapiens, assembly GCF_000001405.40. Lineage (NCBI taxonomy): Eukaryota > Metazoa > Chordata > Mammalia > Primates > Hominidae > Homo > Homo sapiens. Next base: position 49,963,933 of record NC_000022.11, on the reverse strand, counting down.
AACGCTCAGGCTCTGGCCCCACCCCAGCTTTCAGAGCCCACAAGCAGACTGTACAAAGTCAATAATTTAAAACCCAAACCCTGGGCACAGTGCCTGGAAGTGTCAGGGTCACCCACTCCCCTTAAGTTAGCCACTATACATGTTCATCTTCTGACAGGCGGGGCCGGGACAGACGCCAGGCACAGGAATCAGGGCCTGGGGTCCCTGGACCACAGCCACCCCCTCCCCTGCCTCCCCACTGTCCCCTGGGGCTTGGGAGAGGCAGACTGCTCAGAGGAAATAACCTCAACAAATAAATTAAACAATAAATAGCCCCGGTGGGCCGAGGGCACCTCCAGGGGGTCACACCATAAATAACAGAGTTGGCGGCGGGTACGGCTCGCGTGGGCGGGCGGGCGCGGAGGCCAGGACTTGCATTGTGTGTGCAGGACGTGCCCAGACGCACACCGCAGGACTGAGGGCGGGAGGTGGGCTTGGGACCCTGCGCCGGCGGAAAGAGCTCCGGGTGGGCAGGCAGATGGGAAGGCCGCCTCCGGACACAGCAGCACAGAGGGGCGTCTGGGGTTCAAGTATCCACCCAGGGCAGGCGGGACCTCGACCGGAGCGTCTTTGGACAGACAGAGCTTGAGAAAACCAAGTCCCGCGGGACCAGCGTTCAAAAGGCACTCAAAGCGAAGGTCACCAGGGGTCAGAGGTCACTGCTTCCGCAGGAGGAGACGGCCCACGCAGGAGAAAGTCAGGGTCTGGGGGCGTCCCAGGTCTGGCCAAGGCAGGTGGTCCCCTAGCTCCCAGTCAGGTGCAGCTCCTCACAAGCTCTCGCTGCTGGACGTGGTGCTGGCCACGTCATCAGGGTCGAGGGTGCACAGCCGCAGGTCACAGCTCTCCGGGACGCCCCCGTCAGCCCCCAGCATCCAGGGATGGGCCGCAATCTGATCCAGCGACGGCCGCTCTGAGGGCCGCAGGGACAGGCACCACCGGATCAGCTGCTGGCACTCTGTGCGGAGCGGAGAGGTCAGGGAGGGCCCAAGCAGGGCGAGGCCCCCACCCCCGCCTCGAGCCACCACGCACCTGGAGAGACCCTCCTCCGGAAGAGCAGGCGGCCTCGGAGGATCTCCTCGTCCTGCTCGAAGGGGATGTCCCCACACACCATATCGTAGAGAAGCACGCCCAGCGACCACACGGTGGCCGAGCGCCCGTGGTAGCGGTGGTAGCGGATCCACTCCGGGGGGCTGTACACTCGGGTGCCTAAGGGGACACAGGGCTTAGCACGCCCACCACAGAGGCAGAGCCGCTCAACAGACGGCGAGGTCCCTGCTGGTTAACTCCCTGGCCTCAGTAACAGGAAGCAGAGCCAGGCCTCAAAATCCTGCTCGTCATCACCCTGGAAAAACCCCGGCAGGCGATGGGGGGGCTGGGGGAGGGGCCGGCCGTCCCCCTCCGCCGGCCGCGGGGGAGGAGCAGGTCACATGAGTAAGAGCTCGGCTTTCACAACAAACAGATGCGCTGTGAGGCTACCTGGGTGGGGGGGGGACAGCGCGGGTCCCTTACCGCCCGGCGCGCCTGCCTGCGGGAACGGGGGGAGGGGAGAGAGGGAGGGAGGAGGGAGGGGCGGGCGGGGAGCCCCGGCTTCCCCAAGCTCCGCAATGCGGGGATTTCTGCCGCCGCGCCCCCGCGCTCCGCACGCACGCAGCTCCCGCCCCCACGCAGGGGAGGCCCCGCCACTCCAACCGCGCCGCGGGGGCCTCCAGGCTCCCGGCGCAGACCCAGCCCGGCTGCGCCCTGCGTCACGCACGGAGACTCCTCCGCTACCGCCCCCAGCCGGGGGTCTCTCGGGCCGGAAGGATGTCACGCGCCTCCCACACCGGGGCAAGAGGCCCCGTACCCCCCAACGCGATGGAGGAAGCAATATTGAGCGCGCCCCTAGCCCCCACCCAGCACGATCCCGCTCTTGATCCCTCGCTCAGCCCTCCCCAGGGTAGCGCGTGGGCCTCTGCTCCCCACGAGAGCAGACCCAGGGCGCGCGGCCGCCCAACAGTCATCAGCCCCTCCATGTGCCGCCCCTGCAGGCGTTAACCCGCCGGCAAGGCCCCCGGAACGTTCCCTGCCCCGCGCCCGCGCTCACCGTCGAAGTCGGTGTAGACCGTGTCCTTGAGCAGCGCACCCGAACCGAAGTCGATGAGCTTGAGCTCTCCGGAGCGCAGGTCCACAAGCAGATTTTCGTCCTTAATGTCGCGGTGCACGACCCCGCAGCTGTGGCAGTGGCGCACGGCGGCCAGCACCTGCGCGAAGAAGCGGCGCGCCAGCGGCTCGTCCAGGGCGCCGCGCTCCGTGATAAAGTCGAAGAGGTCCTGCGCCGGCTCGGGCCGCTCCAGCACCAGCAGGAAGCCGTCGGGCCGCTCGAACCAGTCCAGCAGGCGGATGACGCCGCGCGCGCCGCCCGCCGCGCCCACCTTGCGCAGCAGCACCACCTCCAGGGGCACGGTCGCGCCGCCCTGGGGGACACGGCGGTCAGCAAAAGCCCCGCGCCCGCCCCCCGCCGCCGCCGCCGCCCGTGCCCCAACTTACCAGGCTGCCCCACTCGGTCACCCGCTCCTTCACCACGTGCTTCACAGCCACCTGCGGAGACGCGGGGGTCAGGCCGGGCCAAGCGAGGCGCAAGGCGCGCGAGAAACCCGGGCCCGCCCGGCGGTCCGACTCACCGGGAGCCCGTCGGCGATGCGGCTACCCGCGTAGACCGTGCCGAAGCCGCCGCTACCCAGCACGGCGCCCACCTGGTACGCCTTCTCGAAGCTCTCCTTGTCCGCCTTGGCTGCAGGGAGGCGCGGGCGGGGTTGGTGCGGCCCGGGGCGCCCCCGGTCCCCGCCCTGGCCCCGGCCCCGGCCCCGCCGGCCCCGCGCGTACCTGGCTGCAGGATCTTCACCGGGAGGTGGTCCACGCCGCCGGGCCCGCAGAGGTGCGCCAGGGAGCCGAACTTGGAGAGCAGCATCGCGGGCGACGGCCTCCCCGGAGCCCCGAGCCCCAGGCGCCGAAGCCGCGGCCGATCCGGGCGAGCGGCGCGCCGGGGACACCGGCCGTCCGAGCCCGAGGCGGTCCGCGCGGCGCAGTGGGCCCGGAAGGCCCGCGGGGACCGCGTAGACGCGCAGCAGGCGGAGCGCCTCACCCGCCCCGGCCGCCTCGCCCGGGGGTTTTGGGCCGCGGCGCCGCGTATCCCTCCGCGGGGGCGGGGCGAATCGGGACCCCGCCCCCTTCCGCCCGGGGCCCGCGAGGCGGCGGCGGCCGGGCGCTAGCTGGGGAGACGGCGGGGCAGCTTGGCGCCTGTCTTCGGGCGGGCGAGGGCCGGGTGCGGCGGGCGCGGGGCCGCTCCGGGACTCGTTTTCGTAGCGCAGCCGCGGAGGCGCACGGCGTGTCGCGTCGGTCCGCTCTCCGCGCTCACGCTCTCACTCCGCGCAGGCGCAGTGCCCGCGCGGGTGGCGGCCGTGGCGCCTCGGGCAGAACGAGGAGGGACTGCACGAGCCAATGGAAGCCGGAGTTTTTAAAGAAATCCGGCGCCCCAGCCAATGGCGGGGCGAGCCGTTTCCTGGCTCCGCCCCCAGCAGTGCCTAGGAAGGTCACCCGCCGGCCCCGAGCAGGGTTCCTGGGGGTGTGGGAGTGCGGGAGGCGACCTGCGCTTGTCCCGCGGCCTCGAGGTGACACACGCCGCCAGTCTGCGTCCCCGGCTGTCTGCGCATCCCGTCGCGCACGTGGCCGGGCGCGCGGGGAGGTAGCGCCGGCTCCTCTGGAAGCCCTCGCAGCGGCAGCGCCCCCAGCCTCGCAGCCCCGGCGGGGGCCGAGAGCGCACCTGGCTGGAGATGCTTCCTCCTCACCCTGGGCTCTGACCTCACGCCCGCAGCCCGAGGGCCCTCCCTGGTACCTCTGCCCTGCTGGCCGGTGCCTGGAGTGGCCCCGCCCGACTCCTGCCGTCTGACACGGTCCTGGCTGCCCTCCGGGCTCTCCAGCAGCTGCTGTCCACCTCCACCAGGGAGCCCACCTTGATTGCTGCGACAGCCGCACTCAAAGGCTGAACAGCCGGGGTACACATTGCCCTGGTCTGGACTTCACCCTGTCGTGCCCCTTCCCTGCTCTCTGTACAGAAGTCTGACTCACCTGTGTGGTTTGGTGCAAACCCACAGATTGCCAACATTGGTCCAAAGTCACCGGCCTGAGAGCAGCTCAGGGTTCCAGGACGTGAGTGGCCACCCGCCAGCCCCAGGGCTAGTGGGTTGAGAGTTGGGGGCCAGAGGGCCCAGGGGCTGGTCCTCTTGGCACTGCCAGGCGTTCTCAGTGGCCCTCAGGGGTCTAAATATTGTGGCAGACATCCCCGGGCGGTCTGGTGTGACCGTCAGCGCGCACACACACTTGCCTCGGAGCTTCCAGCCTCCCCTAAGTCTGACCTCTCATCTCTATACAGTCACCATCGCTGTCCCTGCGCTGACCACTCACACACCACTCCCCTGTTCAGCTCTTCTGAGGCTGTGGCTCTCGGGACTGGCCCAGGCCCACCTGCCATCTGGGCGCCCTCTGGGGCTCGCTTCGTCGCCCGCTGCCTGGGCCCATGCCTGTGCTCCTGGGGGCTCCTCTCTTGCCTAGCTCATCTCTTCCTGTCCCTTGGGTCCTGAGGATCAAAGCCAACGCGACATTGTTTGTCCCCAGGCCCCTCCCCCTCCAGCCGCTGCTTCCCAGAGCTCTGTCCAGTTCTCTCCCGCAGTACGAGGGCAGGGTTGGGGCTGGTGGGTTAGCCTTCCCCCACCCACCACGCACCCAGCACAGGGCTCCCCCGAGATCAGATCCCTGGTAGGATGACACCCCAAGCCTTCCCCTCCAGCAGTATCCACACAGCACCTGCGAAGGAGGAGGGGCTGCTGCCCATGTGGGTCCTCCCGGGGACCTACCTGAGGGTCCAGTGGGGCTGCCCTCTTCTGTGCTGGACACGCAGCAGAGGTGGGCAGAGATGCTGGAGAGCACGGTAGGTCTAGGGGGTGACCACTACAGTTGAGTTCATGTCAGTCTGGAGGGGCGAGGGTCCTCAGCCTGACATGTCAGGCTAGTCTTCCTTGAGTCTGACATGTCAGGCTCCAGGCCAGTCTTCCCTGAGTCATCCTGGCCGTAGAAGACCAGGCTCTGGCGGGCAGGCACCCCACCCTGGCTCTCCCTAGGCCCCGGGTCTTGCTCTGAAACCCTCAAGTGTCCCTTAACTAAGATCCAGGAGGACTTGCTCCTTCAGAAAGCACGGTGTGCCTGTCCTCCACGGCCCTCCTCCCGCTCACTCCAGGTGTGCTGGAGATTCCTCCAGGCCTCCAGATGGGATTCCTGCCACACAGGCCTCGGTGAAAGCCTCCGGAGGGCTCCTGCGTGGGGGTCCAGCAGCCTGGCCCTGGAGTGGAGGGCAGGGCAGGGCCAGAGGCAGCCCTTTCCCTAAAGTGTGACATCTTTGTAACCACGTCTGTCCAGACACTGGTGTATGTTGTCGATTTACTGTTGTACGTGCTTGTGTGTGCAGCGAGGACCCTTGCACTGACGGTGAGCTCCGTGCGGGGTCAGCATGGTCCCCAGCCCTTCCCTCTCCCCCGGGACTGTTTGACATTGAGGCCTCTTTTAGACTGTGTCTGGCCCAGGCCACCACATCTGATCTAGTTGGAGTGCTGGGGTCCCCAGTAACGCCAGATAACCCTGCTCACCTTGTCGTGCCCCTCCCCTGCCATTGGGCACAGCCCAGCCTGTTCCTCAGCTTGGCAAACAGATATGGGTCATCCCAGTTGTGGAGCATCTGCGCTCTGCATACAGGGCAAGAAAAATCTGAGAGGCCTCAGGGCCTCTCACCCTCTGCCCTGGGCCACCCCTTTCCCACAGGTCCCATCAACACCCCACCCCCCGGCCAAGTCCCCAGCAGTGCAGGACACCAGCCCTGCCTGTTTTTTCCTGGTTCGTGGATGGCCCATCCAGTGGGCCCCATGGGCAGGCCCAGCCCATGGGCCAGAGCTGGGGCCGCTCCTGCAGATAGGAGGTGAGCCAGGAGGTGGGCGTGGCGGGGTCTTGGTGCGGGAGCCGCTCCACCTGGGTACTGACTGCAGAGGGCCCAGCCCAGCCCCTTCCTGTGTCCTCCCACCCCCCACCCCACCTGAAGCTCAGGCCGGCATGGCATGGGTGCCTCCTTCCCTTGGGCTATCCTGCTGAGAGGGGCAGCCTTGCTCCAGGGCCAGGGCCTCTGCCTGTCCTTGGAGCAGGTGTTTCCCAGGGCAGGGACAGGGGAGTGGAGCAGAGCTTGTCAGAGGGTCTGCACACCCCAGTCCCCAGCCCAGCCCCTGAGCCATCCCATCCCGACTGCTTGACCTGGAAACAGCCGCCCCTGCTCCGCAGTGGACACGGCGAGTCCCCCCAGGTACCCTGGCCTGCTGGAAGGAGGGTCACGCTCTTGCCATGGTGACCCAAGCCAGGCTGGCCTGCCTGGATTCGGGAGGATGAGGAGGTGGAATGGAAGGTGGCTGGGGCCACTTACAGTCTCCCACACACACATGCATGCTAACACTGCTCACACGCACCAATTCACAAACACTCACACATAGAATCACACTTACAGACACCTCCTCAAAGCTGGGGCATTGCAGAGGGGAGTGTTAACAGGGTTCATGCTCCACGGGCACCCCCATTCCTGCTCCCCAGGCTGTGTCCCCACTGTCCTGCCTCCCGCCGGCCCATCCCGCCCCTCTTCCCTCCTTCCCTGGGGATCCTGTCCACCCCCAGTCTCCAAGCCAATGACCAAGGCCTCCTTAATCAGCCTGTTTCCAGTTGCCCCGTGCCTATCCCACAGGGTCGCCCGGCCTTGTCCTGCCTGTATGTGATGCCCTTCCAACCCAGGCCATGCCTGAGGAGGGGGCGTCCCCTCACCTGCCCCCAAGCCCTTACCGAGGCCTATCCCATTCCCAAACCTCCCTCCTGCCGATCCACCTGCCCGCTCCCACCCTCATCCCAGGCCCCAGTGTGAGCCCCCTTGGCCACCATGGTCTTTTTCCCACTGTGAGCCCCTCACAGTCCTGCCTTGGACCCTTTGTGGCTCCCCTGGGCCACCAGGGTACAGGCCCTCCTCCCCAGCCCATGGGCCTGGCCCCCACCAGCACCTGCTGCCACCCAGAATCAATGTCCCAGTACGGCCGCCCCAGGCCCTGGGCTGGAGCTCTGCGTCATCTCCCCGCAGACCGGACTCCCCCAGCTGTTCCCAGCTTGGGAGGGGCACCTGCTGCACCTCGTCTTCCAGCCCACACAGGCTGCAGCGGCCAAGACTGGGTGCTCCCAGGGCAGTGGCGGGGGCAGGCGATGCCTGTTGTGGGGAGAGGCCCTTTCCCCTCTGGCCTCCACTCTCGGTCGTCGCAGCCTCTCACCCGCTGCAGATAGGAGCCAGCAGAGCTGTGCCAGGATTTTGCAACGTTTCACCAAAGGCATCCCAGGGTTGGGCCTGGGGTGGAGTGGGGCGCCTAGTCAGTGGGAGCTGGGGGTGTGGGCGACCTGCATGAACTCAGGCCCAGCCGCTTTGGCTGCCTCTTCCAGCCTCTGTCCCTGCCTGGAGGACACCAGTTTTACCCCTCAGCTGAGGCCTGGCCTGTGTTAGAGAGGCAGCTGTTCCCACCAGGTTACCCCCACCTGCTACCAGCACAGACCATTTATATTCCATAAGCCACCCGGGGCCTGGGCCCCAGTGAGCATGGCCGCCTGGCATCCGTCACTTGGACTCTGCAGAAAGAGTCCTGCACAAACATAGAAGATGCTGTGGGAGTGTCCCGTCCTGAACCCTGTCCTCAGTGGAGCAGACGCTGAGACCCAGCTGGAGGGGGGCTGCCTCTGTTGGTCGCCCGGGGGCTGCAGTGATGGTGGGAACTGTGGCTTCAGCGCAGCAGCCTCACTGGATCTGCCAACCTGGAGAGCTGTGGCCTTGCCACCACCCAGACCACGACTCAGCCTGAGCCGGAGCTGCGTGGCCTGTGTGTCCCAGGCCTGGGCCGGGGGCCAGGGCAGGCGTGCAGGGCCCCCTCACCTGGGACCTCTGACCTGTTGACCAGGGACAGGCCACCCTGGCCTTGGGCCTGGACCACAGCCCTGCCCACTTCATAGCTCTTGGCCTTTGGCCCTGCAGTGCCTTCCCTGGTGGCCCTTTGGGGCCGTCCTGGCACCTCGGCCTGGGTCCCTGCTCTTCCGCTGACCCAGCCCAGAGTCACAGACACATCCCCAGACTCTATCAGGCTCAGTCTCTGGAGAGGCACTGCGATTTCTGTGGAGGCTGTGCGGAGAATCTGACGACATTGTACCAAGCAGCACGTCCCACAGCACCCAGTGGGCGCCCGGTAGAAGAGCCTGTGGTTTTGGGCACAGACCCCGGGAGGAGGGCTCCTGGGATGAGGCGGCTGGGCAGTGCTCAGCGTGCCACATGGCAGTTCTGCCTTCTCCCTGCTGAAATCCTGCAGGCCAAGAGCCGCAGCTGGTCATGGGGGCCCCACCTCATTCTTCCTGTCCTGGCCTGGTCCACGCGGGGCTGGGGAGGCAGAGTTGCCCTCAACAGCTCACATCTGACCCCACTGCGAGGGCTTAGCTTCTGGGCCCAGGCTGGAGACCTTGGAGGACTCAGGGAGTTGGGTGGCCTCTGCCTGGTGCCCAGACAGGATAGGCCCCAGCCATTTGGCTCTGGTCCCCAGCATTCTGATGAGGAGGAGACTCAGGAGAGGTGGTGGTGGGGGTTCCCCAGGAGCCAGAAGCCAGATCTGGCCCTCCTCCAGGGTGTCTGTGTGGCTGCTGCAGGCTCACACACGCGCCGAGCCCAGCTCCCCCGTGGGTCTCACCCAGGGGCTCCCCGGAGGAGGTCAGGAGGGCGTTGGGGGATCACAGAATGTGCAGAGGTGAGAGTGGGGTGCTCTCTCCCACCCAGAGCCAGGCCGGGGGTCCCCAGTCAGGCTTGTACAGTTTGGAGCCACCCAGGGGGGCTTTGAGAAGCCGGAAGCCCAGGGCCTGCAGCAGGAGTAACGCTTTCCTGGAAGAGTTTCTGAAGCTTCCAAGGATGGTCCAAGGACTGCTCCAGCCAGTGTCCAGCCATGAGGAGCCGGACCTGCAGATGGAGTCCCAGGGGCTCAGACCCCCCAGGGGGCCTGATCACAGCAAACATTCCTGCAGAGCATGGGCTCAGAACGCCGTCACCACCCCAGAGATGCACGCACCTCCGGGGCTCCTGGATCCCCACTCCTGTCAGAGGGGGCAGCCGCCTTCCCAGCCATGGGGACTTGGGGGAAGGTCAGGCCTGTGAATGGCAGCTGGCCCAGCTGGGCACTCAGACTGGAGTGTTGCTGCCAGAGCTTGAGCTCTGCCCACAGACAGCTCAGGGCAGGACAGGTGACAGCGTCAGGCCGGGCTCTGTCTGGCCCCTCCTTGCCAGACCCGAGCAGAATCCACACAGCTTGGAGCTGGCAAGTGGGCACTCCAGGCCCTTGGGATGTCCTCTTCAGATGGCCCAGAAATGGGCCTGGGGGAGGGGAGAGAGTCCCCCACACCTGGGTTTGGTGGGGGCAGTCATTGGTTCCGAGAAAGGACCTATGTGGCCCAAAGTTCTGCTCACGGAGAAAGAGCAAGGACGGCACCAGTCCAAGCCTGTCTCTTCCTTTCCAGGCGGCTGGAAGTGGCCCCCAGGCTGTGTTTAGGGGCTGGATCCTGGCAGCCACCGCCTGGACATGACACTGGACCAGGGCTGGGGACGAGTCAGCTGGATGAGCCCCAGGAAGTGATGTCCTCCAGGCTGTGCCTGTGTGGCTCTGCGGGGACCTTCCACACTCTCCTCCTGCGGCCTTTTCCGGAAGGACCTGGGTCTGTTCCTAGGAGTGTCCCCAGGGCCAGCCTGGGTGGCTACCAAGAGGCCCCGGGGGCATTTTGACCCCAGGATGCAGCAGGAGCAGAGGACGGGGCTCTCGAACCCAGGAAGGGGCACCTGTGGGTGTGTCTGTGTCAACATCCAGGGCCTGCGGTGGGTAGGGGGGTCTGGCCACCCTGAGTGGCGACCCGGCCTGCCAGCCCTTCCCGGCCCCGCTGCTGCTTCCTGGAACCCCCATGAGCTGTGCCCTCCCAGGCCCTTCCTGCTTGACCATGTTGGGGGAACAGGAGTGCCAGAGTGGCTGAAGGAGGCGGATCCCAGGGCTGCCCCTGGGTCTAGGCTGGGAGAGTCCAGAGGGACCTGCTGAGGCCTGGCAGGCAGGGGCCCTGCCCTGTCCCCACCTCTGTCCAGGGTCCCCCCCAGCCCCCGAGACGTGGGGCCGTGAAGTAGCCTGGGTGGAGTGTGATGTTCGGAAGAAGTGGCCAAGTTGTTTTCCGGCCTCAGGTCCACTTCCCTATTCCTGGGAAGTGACATTTGGGGGTGGGGGAGAGGAAGGGGAAGAGGAGGGCAGGTACCCAGAAGCCAAGCGGCCTCTGACATGGGGAGGCCCCAGCGCCTGCCCAGCTCATCCCTGAACACCCTGTCCGCTCTTGGCTGCACCCCAAGCCGATGGCAGTGCTGTAGGTGACCCAGGGCCGAGGAGCTGAGAAGGACTCAGTCTGGCCTGGAGGGCATCCGGGCAGTCCCGGCAGAGGGTCAGTCTAGGTCGGGGCTCAGGGAGCAAGTGCTTGTGTGCACACCTGTCCCAGGTGAGCGTGGGGGTGTGTGCATGCAGCCAGCCATACGTGCCAGGCAGGTGCCTCCAAAGGCACCTTCACACCACCCCTCGCCAGGGGGTGTAGCTCCCGCGGCTCCTTCCCTCTGCTCTGGAGCCAGCCCCACTGTGCCCAGCCCCCTCCTCCCACTGGGCGCTGTGGCCTCCCAGCCCTCAGGAGGAGGGCACTTCGGCCCTGCCTGGGGAAGCTGAGGGACAGGGCCTCAGGGTCTTGCTTACGCGTGTCCATCCATCGTCCAGATGGGGAGCCTGAGAGCCGGGCCGTCACCTGCCTGTCCCCATATCCCACAGCTGGGCACCTGAATCTCGTTGGGGCTGGGGCAAGGCCTCACAAACCCCTTGTGTGGAGCTTTCTCCCCTGCAGGCATCTGGGCCTGGGCCCTATCCAGGTCCTCCTCACCTCTCCCGGGCTCCCTGAGGGACCATGAGGGTTCACCAGTGCAGACCTGTGGGGGCCGAACTGCCAGCACAGCGGGGCCGCTCCCAGGGGGAAGGGGGGGATGAGGCACCAGGGGCAGGCTGCGTGCACACACACACACAACCACACACAAGTACACACCACACACGTGCACACACACCACACACATGTTCACACATGCACACGCACCACACGCGTGCACACACACACACACACACAGACACCACGGGTCTTCCAGGCAACACACTCTGCAGAATCATCTCAGAGAAATGCAAAGAATGGAAAGAATTCTGCACTTTTACCCTTGCTGGGCTCCTCCACCTCCAGGAAATTCCCCATCCAGCGCCCTGGCCCCTTCGGTGGCCCAGAGCTCCCTCCCGTCCCTGCTGCCCTGCCCCGACTAGGTGTCGGGGTGGTTGGGGTCCCACTCTTCAGGGTCGTGGGTGCCAGGCCTGGTTTGGGCCCCGGAGGACCAGCTCAGCCTGCAACCCACTCTTCTGTGTCAGCTCTGCTGAGGCCGGGCTGCCGGTGGCAGGAGTGAGGGCTACAGTTGCTGGGGCCCAGGCACTCCTTACACCTCAGTCGGGCGGCCTCTCTTTCCTGGTCACTGACTTAGCCCCAAGATCAGAGGCACCTCGATGGAGTCTGTGGCCCGGTGGGGCCTCCACCCTGAGCCCACCTTCCTAGCTGTGAAATGGGCCTTGTGGTCACACCTCAGCATTACCACTGGCCAGGCCTAGGGCACTGGGAGGAGCTGAGTCTTGGAAGGATGTGGGTGGGAGGGAGGTGGGCTGGGCTGAGTGGGGGCACACGGGCCTCAGTGGAGGGCCTGCGGTCCTGAAATCCCACCTGGGTCCTGAGCTCCCAGCAGAGGCGACTCAGCAGCCTGCCTGGGCGTGGATCCCTCCAGTGAGATCTGGGCAGAAACCAGCCACAGGTGTGCGGGAGTTGGTGGCCCTTCCAACTGGCCCTGCCCCAGGGTTTCAGGGCTCTGGAGGGCACTGGTCAGCTACCCTTGGGCTGAGGTGGGTGGGCACAGCCAGGGGTGGGAGGTATGGAGTTGAGTCTTAGCCCACTCAGGGCCAGGCCCCAGGCCAAATTTGGCCTCCTGATGGGGCCTGGTGACCTCCCTGCCTCTCTCGGTCTCCACTCGATGCCCAGATACCCGTCTCTGCATCCTGGCCTGTGAAGACAGGTGGAGGGGCTCTGCCTGGGCCTTGGCCCTGCCCTCCCCTGGGGCCCAGCCCTGAAATCTTGGCTGCTGGTACCTGCTCCCCGCCCTGGCTGGGCAGGTGGGCCTCGCGCAGGTGGCCCCCGCCCAACCTCCTGCCACAGGGCACTGCTGTGACGCACGCAGCTCCTCCTGGCCGCGGTCCACAGCACACATGACAAGTAGGCAGACAGACGCAGGCTCACACGCAGCACCCGGTCAGGCTGGTTTTACCTGGCCGGCCCTGGGCCTGAGGAGGGGCCCACGCAGCCAGGCCTGCCGGGAAGCTGTCCTCAGCCCCCCAGCCTCCCCGCCCCCGTCCTCAGTCAGCCAGCCTCCCAGCTCCCTTCCCCCATCCTCAGCCCTCCAGATCTCCGCCCCTGGCCTCAGCCTCCCAGACTCCACGCCCCCATCCTCAGTCCCCCACTAGCCTTTCCACCCCCTTCCTCTGCACCACCTTAGCCTCCCAACACCCTTCCTCAGCCCCCACCAGCCTCCCCGCCCCTGTCCCGGTAACCTCCAGCCTCGGTTCCTCATTTGCGAGCCAAACGCTGCCGTCCAGTCTAAGGCCCCTGTGAGGCTGGCACGAGAAGATGTCATAGCTGGGGTGGGGAGTGGGAGGAGGGTGGAGCCCGGTGGGCAGAGACCCCCAAATGTGGCTGAGTGGGCGAATGGACTGTGGAAAGGCAGCCGCCCTCTGCCTGGCCTCACCAGGGGCCCTTCTGGCTATGAGGGGCCCCCAGCTGTGCCCGTCCTGCGCTGCCCTGGACTCCTGAGCCCTCGGCCCACAGGGCCTGGGAGAAGCTGCTGCAAACGCTCCGTGTTGCCGTAGAGTAGGCCTGGCAGGGCGGCTGCCCCTGGACCCCCGGCAGCTCCAGCAGGCGGCTGGGCCCGGTCCTTCTAGTTACTTGCTTAGCTGGGTAGAGAATTCCCTCATCAGCCAGTGTACCCTTGACAACACAGCCCAGCCCAGGCCCCACACCCCCCTGCGCCAACAAACACAGCCCCACTCAGGCCCCCCACCCCCCCACCCCCCTATAACACAGCCCTGCCCAGGCACCACAGCCCCAAACACAGCCCGGCCCAGGCCCCACCCCTACTACCCCCAACAACACAGCCTGGCCCAGGCCCCACCCCCTGCACCGGCTCCCCCATAACACAGCCTGGCCCAGGCCCCATGCCCGCCTCCCCCCGCTATACCCCCCTGTCCCCCACATCCCCCCACCCCTCTGTGCTTCCCCGTGGTTGATGGTGACCCCAATCCCCCTGTGCTACTGCAGGGCGGGAGGGGTGTGCCTGACATGAGGCCCTGCAGTGGCTGTGCCGGGCTTGTCTGGCGGACCTGAGGGCCTGGGTCCCCAGGACGGTGCAGGAGGTCCAGCTCCCTTGGTGTCAGAGCCTCCCCTGAGCCCCTCTAGAGTGGAAAGTCCAACAGCCAGGGCCCTCGGGCAGGTGCGGCTCTCATGGCCTGTGCCCGCCACACCTGAGGCCTCACCTCTGGCCAGCGGGGGGACACTGCGAGACCCACACTGCAGAGGGTCCCAGCCCTGGGCCTGTGCTGCCCCCCAGCATGCTGGACCCGCCTGGGGAGTTTCTGACGGCCCACCCCCCTCTCCAGCCAAGGACTTCTCCCCAGGGCCCCTCCAGTGGGAAGCCTGTGTCCCTGCCGGTTGAGGGGCTCTGCTCCAGGGGCAGGGGCCACTGATCGGCCTTCTGTATAGTGGAGACCCGTGTATAGAGAGACCCGTGAGCGAGGCCCGGATGCGTGGAGCCCGGGCAGCAATGCCGGAAATCTGATCCTCTGCTCGGAGAACCTGGGTCCTGGTGGGTGGAGGGGTGTCAGGGTGGGAAGTGAGGAAACATGGAGGACTGGCTGCGGGGACGCAGGCAGGGGCGATGGTGGAGGAGCAGGGTGGGGGCACAGGCCAAGAGGGCTGGGTAGCAGGGTTGGCGGAGGGTGTCATGTGTGGGGGGCCGTGTGGACGGGGTTCGAGGGGCGTGGAGAGGCCCGGGGGTGGGGCAGCTGGGCACACAATGGGCCCTTGTCCTACAGGCCGCAGCTCCTGGGCGCCCTAAGCAAATACACGCCCTGTTCCCAGCTGCACACCGTGTCCTGGGACGCGGCCGTGGTGTGGGGGCCAGCCGGGAGGGTGGCTGCGAGGCCAGGGCACGCGCCCAGGGGTTCCAGTGCCCATGGGCCTCCATGTGGAGCTGTCCCTGCTGCAGCCTGGGTGTGGCACTCGTGCCCTGGCCACCCCCTTGGCAACCCCACCAAGTCCACCCAAGGAGCCCCGTCAGGGAGAGCGGCTTACTCTGCCCGGCCCTGCTGGCGACTCCTCTCCTGCCCAGCCACGCCCCAGGCCCAGGACAGCCTGCAGGACTCCAGGCCTCCACTCCCACCACCTGAGTGCCTGTCCTGCATCTGCCCCGCCCTTGTCCACAGGCGGGTGCAGCCCTAGACGGGCCTCAGCCCTGGGCTTTCTCAGTACATCTGGGTTGGGGCAGAGGCCAAGCGGGCAGGGCTTGGCTCTGGTCCCTGCCGAGGCCCTTCCTAGGTGCGGAGTCTCTCTGGGGCGCCAGTGGGAGTTGCAGGTGGGCCCTGCTAGGGCTCCTCACCCAGCCCTCTGGCCTGCCCCAGGCCTGAGGCCCTGAGAGGGTGGCGGGGGCCTGCCTTCCCCACCCTGAGGACAGCCCTGGCCAGGGCTGGGG
The DNA here is from genome assembly GCF_000001405.40 of Homo sapiens. Lineage (NCBI taxonomy): Eukaryota > Metazoa > Chordata > Mammalia > Primates > Hominidae > Homo > Homo sapiens. The sequence continues at coordinate 49,948,884 of NC_000022.11, read as the reverse complement.
GACAGCGGGGACAGGGACGGCCCCTCCCCCAGGGGACCTGGGCAGGTGAGGAGAGGAGCCCTCTTGCTGGGCTGGTGGGATGCTCCGCCAGGCCATCGGGGGTGTGTCAGGGGCAGGGCTGGAGGGCGGGGGGTTTGCTGTGGGTTCCGGCACCACCAGCTGCTCCCCGCTCTCTGCACCTCTGCCCTGGCAGCAGCAGGAGCTGACTGCTCACCCTGAAGGAGTGCCTGAGACACCTTGCCACCTGGTAACAGCATACCCTCAGCATACAGGCTTGACAGGGTCCAGAGAACCCAGGGGAGACAGACACCAAGAAAGACGATGGCAAGAAAGTTCCTGGCCAGCAACACCCCCCACCACGCCAGGCAAACTCTTGCACATACCGTCAAGAGCCATGAGGGCCGGTCAGCCTCTCTGGCAGCTGATGCCGCTGAGCCCACCCTCTAGGGGACCACGGGAACCCCCAGAGGGCAGCTCTGCCCGCCCCAACCCAGACACCCTGAGAAAGCCGACGGCTGAGGCCCGCCCAGGGCTGCGGCTGCCAGTAGGCAGGGGCGGGGCAGATGCAGAACAGACACTCAGGTGGCGGGAGTGGAGGCCTGGGGTCCTGCAGGCTGCCCTGGGTCTGGGACCTGGCTGGGCAGGAGACAGTCACTGGGGGGCTCCGGGCACAGCGCAGCCTATCAGGGAAGCTCTGGGTGGCCAGGCCCCTGGGTGGCTCAGCTGCAGTGGGCCCAGGGCTGGCTTCCATCAGCAGGGCTGCTGTGGCCGAGCAGACAGCCTCATGAAGTGCCCGGTGCCCGGTCCTATAAGGTGGCCACTGAGGGCCCCTGCACCCCTCACCAGGGCGGGTTCCAGAGGGATGGGACAGTGTTCCCAGCTTTGCCTTGAGAGCCGTCTGGACCACCTGCCCCCGTGGCCCCCATGTGTGCCTGGAGCCTGCTTCACAGGCTGTGTGGGGACAGGACAGCAGGCATGGGGGCTGCCCCAGGGTCCACTGGCCCCGGAGGACAGGAGGGAGCCTGTGTCCCTCAGCCAGCATCCCAGAGCCCAGCCACCCTGTCTCCCGGCAGCACTTAGGCCCAGAGCCTGGCCACCCCCAGCATAGGGGGCTGCCCAACCTGGGCACAGGCTCACCCTGCCGGCCTGGATGCCTGGGTCTGCCCCAGCTGGGCTCTGGGTGGGCGGGGAGCAGGCTCACAGCTCTGCCTCCCGAGCCCACCCTGTAGGGGACGGCTCTCACAAGCTCAGCTCCAAGGGCTGGGGGGCCATAGAGGGGCTTTAGGAGGAATGGAGACTGGGCCTGTCGGTGGGCACAGGGCTGAGAGTCCCTCCCTCTTGCTTTGAGGCAGCCAAGGAGGGAAAGAGGCCTGGCCCCCCACCCCACTGGTGCACCAGAAGCCACGAGGGAATGAACCCACACTTGGCTCCCAGTGGACTTGGCGGTGGCCAGACTGGGCCTTGAGGCTGCAGCCCCCGCACTGGGCAGGGATCGGGTCCCAGGCAAGCCTGGACGTGGATCTGGGTCCTCTTTGGAGAGACATCCCTCAGTTGCCAATAGCTGTGGCCAGGAAACTGCAGGACTCCACGGACCTGGGCCCCACCCTGGACAGACACAGCTCTGGGGAGGCAAGGGGCCCCAGGAGGGGCATTTGCATGACAAATGGATTCCCGGGAAGCTGGTGCCTGTGTAATCTGTGGCTGTATGCGAGTGCGCATGTGTGTGTGCCTGCGGGTGTGCCGGACTGGCTCCGAAGGGCCACACAGCCAGCGGCAAATCCCAAGCTCAGGGCCACCCAATACCAAGGGTTCCTGCCTGCGGGGCTTGGGTGGACAGTGGCCTGTGGGTAAAGAAGCCTGCTGGTTATGGGGAGAACCTGGCTCTGGGCCACAAAGTCAGGGTCTGGGCCCCCTTTGGGCCTCAGAATATATTTTCATCTGTGAGACAGGCCGGTCACCTAGCCAGCGGCAAGTCTGATGGGAAGACCTCGTCCTGGCCCAGCTCAGGGCTCCGGGAAGGTCAGCATCCCAGGCCCAGAGACCTCAGTGCCAGCACCCCCAGGTCCCTATGCGCTGGTCCCTTCTAGTTCTGCCCTCCCCTGCGGGCCTGCGGGGGTGTGGAGCAGGTCAGGGCAGATTCTGAGCAGACGGGGAGGCTGGAACGCTGTCCTGGTCAGTGGTAGGGACAGGCAGCCTGGGTCTCAGCTCATCCTGCCTCCTCCCCTGAGTCCCACTCTCCTTCCTGACTATGGGGAGCAGCCACATGATTTGCAGAGCCCAGCGCACATGAGAATTCAGGGTTCATTGTTCAAAATGCAGGATGAAATGATATTATAGGTGCTAACGTACGAAGCTCGTTCTTTTTTCTGTAATCCATTTCTCAACTTGTTGTGGTGTTTTCTGTTATCCAAAGTTGTTGGACAACACATATTTATCCAAAGTCTTTTTTTTTTTGTGATGGAGTCTCACTCTTTTGCCCAGGCTGGAGTGCAGTGGTGTGATCTCAGCTCACTGCAACCTCCACCTCCCGGGTTCAAGTGATTCTCCTGCCTCAGCCTCCTGAGTAGCTGGGATTACAGGAATGCACCACAATGCCTGGCTAATTTTTGTATTTTTAGTAGAGACGGGGTTTCACCATGTTGGGCAGGCTGAACTCAAACCTGACCTCAGGTGATCCATCAGGCTCAGCCTCCCACAGTGCTGGGATTGCAGGTGTGAGCCGCCGCCTGGCCCCAGCGCAGAGTTCTTGACTTGCAGCCTTCGTTGTCCTTGTCCCAATGCTGCCAGCCACACCTGCCAGGGGCTCAGGTCAATGCTCTGGCGTCCTCCAATGCCCTGGAGTCAGCCAGCAAGCCCAGCTGGCTCTACCTTCAACACCATGATGGTAATCTGTTGCTCTGCTGTGTCACAAACGACTCCAAATTATAGTGGCTTAAAACAACACACATTTATGACTTCCAGGTGGGTCTGGAATCCAAGTCTGGTTTAGCAGTTTCCCTCTGCCCCAGGGTCTCCTACAAGGCTAAAATCAGGGAGCTGTTTGGGGCTGTGGTTTAATCTCAGGGGTCACATGTACATCTTAAATTCTGCATAAAACAGTTTTATATAATAAAAGGCCACTTCTCACAGCATCTCTGGCCCCAAAAGGGGCGGAGTTTCCTGGGGGGCTGGTGAGCAGTGACACTGTAAAGGGGCGGAGTTTCCTGGGGGGCTGGTGAGCAGCGACACTGTAAAGGGGCGGAGTTTCCTGGGGGGGACTGGTGAGCAGCAACACTGTAAAGGGGCGGAGTTTCCTGGGGGGGCTGGTGAGCAGCGACACTGTAAAGGGGCGGAGTTTCCTGGGGGGCTGGTGAGCAGCAATACTGTAAAGGGGCGGAGTTTCCTGGGGGGGGCTGGTGAGCAGCGACACTGTAAAGGGGCGGAGTTTCCTGGGGGACCTGGTGAGCAGTGACACTGTAAAGGGGCAGAGTTTCCTGGGGGGACTGGTGAGCAGTGACACTGTAAAGGGGCAGAGTTTCCTGGGGGGCTGGTGAGCAGTGACACTGTAAAGGGGCGGAGTTTCCTGGGGGGCTGGTGAGCAGTGACACTGTAAAGGGGCGGAGTTTCCTGGGGGGCTGGTGAGCAGTGACACTGTAAAGGGGCGGAGTTTCCTGGGGGACCTGGTGATCAGTGACACTGTAAAGGGTCGTAGAGTTTCCTGGGGGACCTGGTGAGCAGTGACACTGTAAAGGGGCGTAGAGTTTCCTGGGGGACCTGGTGAGCAGTGACACTGTAAAGGGGCGTAGAGTTTCCTGGGGGACCTGGTGAGCAGTTGACACTGTAAAGGGGCGTAGAGTTTCCTGGGGGACCTGGTGAGCAGTGACACTGTAAAGGGGCGTAGAGTTTCCTGGGGGACCTGGTGAGCAGTGACACTGTAAAGGGGCGTAGAGTTTCCTGGGGGTACTGGTGAGCAGCGACACTGTAAAGGGGCGGAGTTTCCTGGGGGGCTGGTGAGCAGTGAGACTTTTTTCCGGGTCCCAACCCCCCAGGACATCATGCGGTCAGGAGCTCTGGGCTGGCGCAAGCGCACCCCAAGATGCACGGCCCGGCTGTCACTGTGACTGCGGTGGGCTCCTGGCGCTCTGGGTGCCTGGCACTGCAGCCTGAGGTCTGGGGTGGAGGCTGCCACCTGGTGTGCTGGTGATCCTGGGCCACCCAACACCTCCTCCACCAGCGGGGATTTCAGAGGCCCAGGTACCCGCATGGAGAGAACAGGTGCTCAGACCAAGGCCAGGTCCAGGAGGAGGCAGGACCCGGGAGGCCTGGACAACCCCAGGCCTGTCCTGAGCGTTGGAGGGCCGCTTCTGCCCACAGGCTTGGTCCCCAGGCCCAGCAGTGTGAGAGCCAGTCTTCCCAGGCCAGGACAGGGTTCAGGGAGGCAGCTCTGTGGGGCTGAGGCCTGGCCATCCTGTGTCACAACCTCCTCCATGGCCAGAGTGAGGTGACCCTGCTGGGGGTGACCAGGCCTGGGCCTGTGCTTGGCAAGTCTTTGGCTGATGGGACGTTAGACGCCAGGGGCTTCCCAGAGGGGCAGTGGGGGCGGGAGTGCAGCTGAGGATGAGCAGGAGCCTCCCCATCCCTTTCGGGCCCACACTGAGAACATGCAGTTCCGGCAGGGCGGCTTGTGGCCAGCCATGGCCTGGGTGACCCGCAGGTGGGGGATTCTGGCGGGTCTTGAAGTGGAAATGTCCATCCCTACCAGCCGGGCCTTGTTCCTCAGACTGCCAGGAGCCTGCCCGCCGGGTTGCTGCCCCTCTTGGGGGCCCAGGGCTAAAGGTGTCTAGCTTGGCAAGACTGTGAGTCTGGGCCTCCCTCCCTGGCGCTAAATGCATGCCAGCACTCACACGCCTATGCACACATGCCACCCCCGTGCGTCTGGCTGGCTGGGTGCTGCTCCCCGGGGTCCCCTCCTCCAGGAAGCCCTACGGCCTGCGTTCACCTTCTTCCTTCTGGGTAGCGTGACCTCCGATGACCCCGAAGGTGGGGATCCTTATCCGTGGAGAAAACCCGACCTTCCTGACATGCCTGGTGGGTGGGTTCTTCCCTAAAGGCCTGGGCGGCGGGGTGGGGGGGGCCTCGAGGGCCCCGAGTTCCGCTCTCAGCTCACGATGGGCTGCATGGCACCCAGAGCTGGCCTGGCTGGAAATGAGACAATAGCCAGGCCCACCCTGGAGGGCTGGTGTGGGGCGCTGGGGGGACCTGCAGGGGCCTGGAGGGCTGGGCACTCCTCAGCGACCAGGGGCCAGGCCTACCCAGGGCCTCCTGCGGGGGCTGTTCAGATGAGACGATCTTTACCACACGGCCCCACCCACTCACCCGCCTGTCAAGCAGCTTCGGGGGCTCTGCTCTGGGTTTGGAGGCTTGGGGAGCAAGTTCCTTAGAGTGATTTTTAGGAAAGAGTGATTTTCAGGCAAAGCGCTCAGAGCCACCAAGGCCATTCCATGAGGAGCTGGCATTCCAGTCTCCCTGGGACCCTCTCGGCCTGTGGCTCGGTGGGCTGCAGAAACGCCGCCACCCAGGGGCCACCCCACCCCACCTGAGACAGCTGGGGGTCCACACCAGCCGCTGGGCATGGGCGAGGCCGACCCCGGGTCTGGAGGCTCCGGCGCCCACCACAGCGTGTCCTGTCTGCAAGGCCAGCCCTCCTTCCCCCGGGCCCCAGCCTACCTGGCCCCGGCTCACCTCCAGGCAGGCCCAGCCCCTGCGCAGGGAACAGCCTGGCTTTGTGTCCTCCCCAGACACTCCGGCGCTGCCTGTGGCTTCAGAAGTCACAGTACAACATTCGGACCCCTCCTCCCTCCCACATGCAGCCACCACTGACCTGGGAGGGCAGGACGGGAGCTGGGCACCTCCAGATCTTGGGTCAGCAGAGAGCAGCTGGGGGACTGGGAGGCCAGTTCACTCTCTCCCCCACTCACTCACCCCCTCCCTCCCTCACTCCCTCCCTCACTCACTCATTCACTCATCTGTTCACTCAATCACTCACTCATTCACTCAATCACTCATTCTCTCACTCACTCATTCATTTATTCATTCACTCACTCATTCACTCACTCGTTCACTCAATCACTCATTCACTCACTCATTCACTCATTCACTCAATCACTCATTCACTCACTCATTCTTTCACTCACTTGTTCACTCATTCACTCACTCGTTCACTCAATTACTCATTCACTCACTCACTCGTTCACTCAATCACTCATTCAATCACTTGTTCACTCAATCACTCATTCACTCACTCATTCACTCACTCACTCATTCACTCAGTCATTCACTCACTCAATCATTCACTCACTCACTCATTCACTCAATCACTCGTTCACTCAATCACTCGTTCACTCAATCACTCACTCACTCAATCACTCACTCACTCTGTCTCTCACACATTCATTCATTCATCATTTGATAAGTAGTTTTTCCTGAGAGCCCACTTGTGCCATGGCCCACAGTGGCGCCTGGATAAACAGTGGGCTCATTCATTCATTCACCATTAAATGAACCTGGGGAGCCCATGGATGTCAGCACTGCAGAAGGCTGGATGGGTGGACCCCTGGGTGAATGGACAGGTGGATGTGTGGACACAAGGGTTCCCTGACCTGAGACTCCAGCTGAGGTGTCCCCAAAGCAGCTGCTGCCCTGAGAGCAGCCCCGCAGCTGGGCGCCATGCCCTCTTCTTTCCTGGGACACAGGCACTCTGCCTTCCTCTCTGGTCCTGGCCACCGCGAGTGCTGACTCTTCAGAGCTGCTTCCACCCTGGCCAGCATGCAGGCTCCTTGGGGTCAGGAAGCATCTGGAGAGGTGTGGGGCCTGCTGGGATCATGGCCCACACTGCACTGAGCACCTGCCATAGGCCTGATGCAGTGTGGCTAATGGGTCCCCTTGGTGAGAGGCTGGGGTCACTGCCTTGTGTTAGGGGCCAGGCTGGCAGAGAACGGGCTGCAGGCCCTCAGCACGCCCATGGAGGAAGGCCATGGGCTGGACCCAGGGACCAGAATGTCGGGCCTGGAACTGGACGTGGGACCTAGCCATGGATGCAAGGCCTGCACGTGGATGTGGGACCCACACACCTTCGTGGTTCTGGGGCACATGGCAGCAGCAGATGCCAGGGAAGGGTCACCCTCTGCTCACAGGGCCGGGCCCTCCCCTTCCTCCAACTCCCAGTCCACCTGCCCCCTCACACCTGACCTTTGTGTCTGCCACAGAAAGGGTGTGATTTCCTGGGAGCCGCTCTGCGCAAAGGCAGGTCAGGGTGTGAACTGAGGCCCTGGCCCCCCCAGCCGTGTCCGCTCTTGGAATTGTCTACATCTCACCATTCACCCCGGCCTCCGAAAGTTCCATCAGCTCCACATTAAAACAGACCTGGAATCCAGCCAGGCCACTGCCTGTCCTCCCAACGGGCTGGGACTTTCACAGCCTGCTGCTCCCAGTCCCCACCTGTGCTCAGCAGCAGAGACCCTCTGAGCATCAGCCACAGCCTCTTGGTGCAGCCCCACCTGATGGGAGTGAACCCCAAGCCCTCACCGGGCCCAGAGGCCCTGGATTGGCCCCTGCCACGGCTCCTCCCAGCACCCTCTCCTTCTTCTGCTTGCACTGTCTGGGCCTTTGAACTGAGGCACGCCCGACCAGGGGTCTTGCTCCAGCTGTCCCCTCACACCTGTCCTCCTCCCCACCTGGCATCGTAGATCCACGTGGGCCTCCCTCACCTACACCAGGGCAGGGGTCTTCCGGGTCAGAAGATGGACTGCTGAAGCAGCCTTTTTTCTGGGGTGACACCCAAGGTTCTTGGTCTCACAGCCACGGAGATCAAGGATGAGGACACAAGAAGGGTGAGGTTAAAGCAGACATTTAATCAGCAAAAGAAAGAGAATAGGCTGGGCATGGTGGCTCAAGCCTATAATCCCAGCACTTTGGGAGGCTGAGGCGGGCAGATCACCTAAGGTTGGGAGTTCGAGACCAGCCTGACCAACACGAAGAAACCCCGTCTCTACTAAAAATACAAAATTAACTGGGTGTGGTGGCGCATGCCTGTAATCCCAGCTGCTCGTGAAGCTGAGGCAGGAGAATCACTTGAACCCGGGAGGTGGAGGTTGCGGTGAGCCAAGATTGTGCCATTGCACTCCAGCCTGGGCAACAAGAGCAAAACTCTGTTTCAAAAAAAAAAAAAGAAAGAAAGAAAGAAAGGAAAGAAAGAGAATAGGCTGGGTGTGGTGGCTCAAGCCATGTACATTTGACATACTTCCTAAGAAAGTGCTTTTTAAATGCAGGTTGTCCAGGCCAGGCGCGATGGCTCATGCCTGTAATCCCAGCACTTTCAGAGGCTGAGGCAGGCTGATCACCTGAGGTTGGGAGTTTGAGACCAGCCTGACCAATATGGTGAAACTCCATCTCTACTAAAAATACAAAAATTAGCCAGGCGTGGTGGTGCATGCCTGTAATCACAGCTACTCAGTAGGCTGAGGCAGGAGAATCGCTTGAACCTGGGAGATGGAGATTGCAGTGAGCTGAGATCACACCACTGCCCTCCAGCCTGGGTGACAGAGTGAGATTCCGCCTCAAAAAAAAAAAAAAAAAAGAAAAAGAAAGACAGAGAACAGCTCTCTGCTACAGGGAGGGGTCCCAGAAAAATGGGTTGCCCATCCGAGATGAAATGCAGAGATTTTTATAGATGAGCTAGTGGGGAGGCAGTGTCTGATCTACATAGGGCACGAAAAACTGGTTGGGACCGGGCGTGCCATCTACATAGTGTAGCACCCCAATCTTTTTTTTTTTTGAGACAGTTTCACTCTTGTTGCCGAGGCTGGAGTGCAATGACACGATCTCGGCTCACCGCAACCTCTGCCTCCCGGGTTCAAGCGATTCTCCTGCCTCAGCTTCCTGAGTAGCTGGGATGACAGGCACACGCCCCCACACCCAGCTAATTTTTGTATTTTTGGTAGAGACAGGGTTTCATCATGTTGGCCAGGCTGGTCTTGAACTTCTGACCTCAGGTAATCCACCCTTCTCGGCCTCACAAAGTGCTGGAATTACAGGCGTGAGCCACCGTGACCGGCTGGCACCCCAGTCTTTTATTATGCACGTGGGAAGCTACTCCGTGCCGCTCATTTTTTTCTTACTGTGCGTGTGTGCTAACTAAGAGGGACATGGAGCCCCAGGGTGGACGTTCCTGGCCCCAGGGAGCCCTTTCTGTCTGTGCAGCTGCCTCCATGTCCTGTGAAGCTTCCAGCCTGATCTGTTTGCCGCCTAATCTTCCAGGCTGCTCTTTGTTAAAAAAGAAGTGATTTCTTGGGCTGCTTTCTGCTTTTTTTGTTTTGTGTGGAGACAGAGTCTCTCTCTGTTGCCCAGGCTGAGAGTGCAGTGCTGCGATCTCGGCTCACGGCAACCTCCGCCTCCCAGGTTTAAGCGATTCTCCTGCCTCAGCCTCCCAAGTAGCTGGGATTACAGGCACCCGCCACTATGCCTGGCTAATTTTTGTATTTTTAGTAGAGACGTTTCACCATGTTGGCCAGGCTGGTCTGGAACTCCTGACCTCAGGTGATCCGCCCGCCTTGGCCTCCCAAAGTGCTGTGATTACAGCTGTGAGCCACCTCGCCCGGGCCTGCTTTTTGTTAGAAGGGAGGTTCTGCTGAGGACTCTTTTGCCCTCATTATCTACCTAAATAATTTCTTTCTATCTCCTGTATCACCACCACAGTGGGAGGAAGCTGCCGACTTGGGATGTGGAGGTGGGGGCAGAGGGTCCTCCAGCTGGCCCTAAACAGAGTCCTGCCCCAGGCCTGCCTGCTCCTGGCACCTCCTGGCCCTGCCCAGGACTGAGGTCACAGGCACTGTGCCAGCCCCCTCTGACCGGTGAGAGCCCAAACAGGGCACACAGGAACCCACACAGAATCACAGAAGCCCCCCACAGGGGCTGGGAGCAGTCCCCTGGGCACTGTCGGCCAGTGCAGCCCCGCCGGGGGGTGCAGCTGCTGGTGTCCTGGGGTGGTCTCCGTGCTCATGACGGTGCCTGCATCCGTGCTGGGGGGTGCTGGTGTGTGCACGTGTGTGCTGTGTGTGCACAGGTGAGTGTCCGCTGAGTGTGCACGTGTGTGCTGTGTGTGCACAGGTCAGAGTGTCCGTGGTGTGTGCACGTGTGTGCTGTGTGTGCACAGGTGAGTGTCCGCTGAGTGTACACACGTCTGGTGTTCATGCACGAGTGAGCCCATGCTGTCCCGGGTCAGTGACAGGCGAGCATCGCGTGGGCCATGGACTGTAAGTGGGTTTGGGTAGTAAGGACACAGTGACCCCTAACCCCAAAACCATCCCTGGCTCTTGGGTGGGGAGGGGAGAGTCTGGCACAGCTTCCCTTTGGCTGTTCCCGCCTCCCCGGTTCCTGGCCCGTGGCCCCTGCCCCATCCGCCTTCTCCATGTCTGGCACTGCCCTTCCCTATGTGGGGCACGGGTCCTCACTCCTTGGGTCTCAGCTCCCAGGCAGCCCTCCCAGGCCCTGCGAGGACCCTGTGGGTGTTTGTCCCTGTGTGACTGAGGCACCACATAGAGCAGGATGTGCTAAGGCTGTACGCCTGGGCCCCACGGTCAGACGGATAGACAGAAACGTGGATGGACCGACGGGCAGCTGGTGGCCAGCGCAGGCTGCCGAGAATTGGCGGAAGTGGGGCGGGTGGCCGGCGGGCGGCCTGGCAGATCCTGGAAATCCTCGCTTCCTGTTTTCCCAACAAAGGGCCTCTGTCCCCCCAGGAAGGCCACTGGCTGGCGGCAGTGGACGGACATTCCTTTTCCGTAAACAGGATTGTTTTCCTTTTCTCCTCTGGACACAATAACAGCAGCCCCCATGCCCCCCATCCTGTCTCCTGTCACCACTAGCCATGGGGCGTGGACAGTGTGGACGGGTAGGGGGTCCACAGAGCAGGCTTTCCTGGACCAGGTGCCCATTCTGTCACCCTGGGAGTGGGAGTCACAGTGGGGGCCATAGCCTAGTTGACGGCAATGAGGCCTCCAGGGCAAGGAGTGGGAATTCAGTGACGTCTGCCCCACAGGGCAGGTGGGAGGCTGGACCAGCCTTGGGCTAAGGAGACCCTGTGAGCCTCATGGCCCGAGGCAGCAGTGCTTGGGGCAGAGGCCAGGCTTAGGTCTCTGCAGGGGCTGGGCCTCCCTCCAGGTGGACCTCCCCCCGCCCCAGGCTGGCTTTGGGTGAATGCATCTGACTTCCAGAAGCCCCAGAGCAAGACCCTAGAGTAGCTAGAAGCCCCAAGGGGACCCTGGGCGTGGCGGGAGGGGGCAAGGGAAAAGCCTCCAGAGGGTTCAGGGCCCTCCCCTGCCACAGGAGACCCAGTGAGGGCTGCAGGGACAGCCTGGATCTGTGCAGTGCAGATGGCGTGGAGGGGCAGAAGTGGCACGGTTCCCGCGTGCACAGCTCTGAGTGAGCGCAAGTGTGGCTGCTGTGCACACCCAGGCAGCGGGTGCCTGAATGGGCCTGTGTGAGGGGCTGGGACTATTTATAGCCGCTCCTAGCCCAGAGGAGCTATTAATAGCCAGGGTTGAGGGGGACGGACAATGTCTCCTGCTGGCCGCTGCCTGCGGGTGGGGTGGGGGTGGGTGCCATTCTGTGCCCGGAGACACCCGGGGCTGGTACCCCAGCCCCCACCCAGGCTTCGGCACAAGGGCCACTGTTATCTGGTCAGCAGCTGAGCCAGGGGTCTGCATTCACCTGGGACAGCAGGCTGGGGGTGCACCAGGCTACAGCCCCCACCCTGCTCTCCCCGGAGGCCGTTCTGCAGCCACACTGACCCTGAGGAGGATGGGATGGTGGGCACGTGAGCTGGCAGCAGCAGGGCACCCCGGATGGAAAGGGATGCTGAGACCAGGACCCCCATATCTGGTTCTCAGATTCCAGCATGGGGAAGGGGTAAGGAAGTGCTGTGGGGACCGCAGAGCCAGAAGTGGATTTGAGAGAGGCCGGCCCTGCAGGCCCCCCAACCTGCCTCTGGCAGTATAACCAGGTGTCCCTGAAGTAAACAGGTGAACTGAGGCCAAGTCAGATGGGCCTTGGAGCCACTGGAGGGGTGTGGATGGAGGGCTGTGGGTGGAGGAGAAGGGCCCTGCCAGAATTCAGGCTGGTGGGGGCAACAGGCAGCCTCATAGCCCGCTGTCCTGGCTGAGGCTCATTCCCTGTGATCATTTTTGAGAAAAAAAAAAAAAAAAAAAGGGGGGAGGGCGCCTAGCTTGTAAAAAGACCAGATCCCGACCCCACGAAGGGTGAAGTGTGACCTGGGTGGGGCGGGGGGCACCCCTCCAAGCCTTGGCTGCACCCGGCTCCCTGTGCCACACGCGTCCCCAGCATCAAGAGGCGCACCCCCCACCTCTCCCTAAGCCCAGCCAGGCTGCAGAGAAAACAGGAAAGCTCGGAGGCCCAGCCAGGCGCCCTGTGGGCGGGCCTGGGGGAGCTGGGGACGCAGGTTCTGGCTTCCACCCCGGGGGGGCGGGGGGTGTGCGGCGGCGGCGGTGGCGCTCGTGCATCTCATTCTGCGCCTGCTCCCGCGGGGGCTCCTTTCCTTCGGGGAGCCCCCGCCCCCGGGGCCGTGACTAAGCGGAGTCACCTGCCGCCAAGGGCTTTCCAAGAAGGTCAAGGCCAACCGCGCTCCGGCCCACGCCCCAGAGCTCGGGCCGGGCCCTCACAGCCATCGTCCTGCTCATCGTCATTGCTCCCGCAGGGGGTTCCCAGCGACGAGGAGCGCGGGGCCGGGGCGGCGGGGGAGGAGCGCGGGCGGGTCCCTATGGGGCTGGGCACGGGCTGCAGGTCCCCTCCCATGCTCAGCCCAGGCCCCACACCCTCCACCCCTGCTCCTCCCGGACCTCCACCCTCCCCTCCGTCCCTGCTCCTCCCGGACCCCCACCCTCCCCTCCGTCCCTGCTCCTCCCGGACCCCCACCCTCCCCTCCGCCCCCACCCCTGCTCACCCCAGGCCCCACACCCCGCACCCCTCCTTCTCCCAGACCCCCAGGCTCCCCTCCGCCCCTACCCCTGCTCCTCCTGGACCCCCCACACCCTCCCCTCCGCCCCAACCCCTGCTCATCCTGAACCCCCCACCCTCCCCTTTGCCCCACCCCTGCTCCTCCCACATCCCCACCCTCCCCTCCGCCTCCACTCCTGCTCCTCCCGGACCCCCACCCTCCCCTCCGTCCCCGCCCCTGCTCCTCCCGGACCCCCATCCTCCCCTCCGCCCCCACCCTGCTCCTCCCCGCGCCCCCACTCCCCGCCCCCACCCTCCGTCCCCAACACCTGCTCCTTCCCAGACCCTCATCCCCCTGCCCCAGTCTCGCTCTTCAGCGCACCCCCGGCACCTCCATTGCGTCCCCTCCCCCCACCTCCTCGTAGCGCCCCCATCTGCTCCCCGCCCCCGCCCGCCGGGGAAAGCCCAGCTGACGCTTCCGGCACCGCCCCCTTCCCGGCAGGGCCGCTCCCCGCCCTTCCCGCCCGCGGGAGCAACACCGCCCCCCGCGCCCCACCCCGCGCCCCGCCGCCCGCCCGGGTCCCCCAAGCCCGCTCTGCGCAGGGCGGGGTCCTTCCTCTGCAAAGGGCGGACCGAAGACCCGGGCGCCGGGCAGAGGCTGGAGGGGGGCCCGGGTGGGGTGAATCCCCAGTGGGTGCCCGCTCCCCACCCCCACCGCGACCACCAGCCCCCGCTCCGAGCAGGGACTCCGAGGCTTGCGGGTGACCCTCGAGTGGTGGCCGCCCTGTGGCCCAGAGAGCCCCGTCGCAGGCAGGTGGGTGAGCGCAGAAAGACGCTGGCCCTGGACTGCCGTTTGAGGGGTGAGGGGCCAGATACCCCTCCCTGGCTCTGGGGGGATCCTCCCAAAGGCCAGACCGGGGTAGGGGGGAGAGCGGACCCTGCTCAACGGCTGGGAACGGTCTCTCCAGAAGGATCCCCCGGGAGTGGGTGGAGGGGGTCTCTGGAGAGGTGGGTGCCCTGCAGCCTCCTCAGGCCAGGCCACTCCCGGCCCCTCACTGGTGCAGAGCAGCCGGCTTGGGGTTTGGGAAGACCGCAGCCCCAGGGAGGCGGGGAGGGGCGCTGGGCCTGGAGGGGGAGTGTGTGGCCTGAGAGCCGGTGGCCCCCACCAGCCACATTACAGTAAGCCTTTCTGGGCCCCAGCACCGCCCCCCACTCCCCTGCAGGACCTGGGCCCTTCTGCCCCCCGACCCCCAGGGCCCACCTGGCACAGGCTCAGTCCACACCCGCGTGCTGGTCACGGGCATATGAGGAGGAGGGCAGGGCCACTGGGCCAGGGCCCTCCACCCTGAGTCACCCCACTGACGACCACCCTTCCCAGGTGGCAGGCAGAGTCCCCACCCCAGGCCTGCGGGGTCTGGGAGTCTGAAAAGGGACAGAGCCGGACCGGGGGGCTGAGGGAGCAGCAGGGGCAGGCTGAGGAGAGCACCCCACTGAAGGCCACACCCTTTGAGTCATCCTGTGGTGGCCAAAGGCCCAGCCCCCTCCTCACAGCTCAGCACGCTGAAGAAGTCTCAGGGTGCCTCACCTCACCCAGCCCCCAGGTCAGCTGAGGACATGGCTGAGGCGCCAAGACCGCCTGCCACTCTGGAGCCAGCCACAGACAGGCAGCGCCAGGGAGGTGTACAGGCAAAGGCACTCTGTCCAGCGGGCACCACTGGCGGTGGACGCGACGGGAAGGGGCCTGCACTCTTGGGGTGGGTGAGCCTGGGGTGAGAGTCCAGGGGGCACAACCTTGAGAACAGTGTCCTCGGGGGGCTGCTGGTGCCCGCCCCTGAAGCTCTGGAAAAACAACAGAAGGCTGCATGGAGAGGCCAGGAGAACACGCACAGACTCAGTGACCAGAGGGGCCACCAATAGGTGACCCCATCCCCGGGGGTCTGCTGTGCCCCGGCCTCGGTGCTGGCTGGGAAGAAACAGGATGTCTCCAAACCGTGCCTCCTCCGTGGGAGAGGCCGGCCCCCTGCCCCGGCTCCCCAGGACCTGCCCGAGACCCTCCTGGGATTACCCAGGACCTGCCCGAGACCCTCCTGGGATTAAGTTGCAGTGTATCCTGGTGGGGATGTGCTGGCCCAGTGACAAAGGGGCCACAGCCTGAAGGAGCCCGGGACCCGAAGCCGTGCCCAGCCAGATAAGCTGCATGTGGTGGACGGCGGAGAGCTGACGGGTTGTGGGCCCTTTTCTGAGGACTAGGACCCCAGGAGGCGGTGTCCTCTGCTGCTCTGTTTCACGGCCCAGAGGCTCCTGGAG
This sequence comes from Homo sapiens, assembly GCF_000001405.40. Classification (NCBI taxonomy): domain Eukaryota; kingdom Metazoa; phylum Chordata; class Mammalia; order Primates; family Hominidae; genus Homo; species Homo sapiens. Next base: position 49,933,590 of record NC_000022.11, on the reverse strand, counting down.
TGTGGGACACACGTGAGGAGGGGTGAATGTCAGAACAGCCACCGCAGACAGGGGCTGAAAGTCATGTGGCACCACAGATCCCAGCTGTCCTCTGGAACTGAGAGCAGGGGACGGTCACAGCACTGGACTGGCTGACAGGGACGGGGGTGATGGCCAGGCAGCAGCATTTGACCATCAGTGGCTGTGAAGGCAGCTCTCTAATGAGTTGCAGGGCTGGAGCGGGCCCAGGGTCAGAGCTGCGTGGGGTTGTGGAGGTGGCTGATAGAACAGCATGTTCCTGGGAGAGGGACAGGCAGCCCACAAGAGACTGCTCAGCTTGTTGGAGCAAAATATATTAGGGTTGTGTGATGCGGAGGTCAAGGGTACTCGCTCCAATAAAAAGTCAGGGCCGGTCGTGGTGGCTCAAGCCTGTAATCCCAGCACTCTGCGAGGCCAAGGCAGGTGGATCACTTTGAGGTCGGGAGTTCAAGAGCAGCCTGCTCAACATAGTGAAACCCCATCTCTACTAAAAATACAACAGTTAGCTGGGCGTGGTGGCAGGTGCCTGTAATCTCAGCTACTCGGGAGGCTGAGGCAGGAGAATTGCTTAAACCTGGGAGACAGAGGTTGCAGTGACCTGAGATCACACCACCGCACTCTAGCCTGGGCAACACAGAGAGACTCTTTCTTGAAAATAGATAAATAAGGCCGGGCGTGGTGGCTCACGCCTGTAATCCCAGCACTTTAGGAAGCCGAGGTGGGCGGATCACGAGGTCAGGAGTTCAAGACCAGCCTGACCAATGTGGTGAAACCCCCATCTCTACTAAAAATACAAAAATTAGCCGGGCGTGGTGGTGCATGCCTGTAATCCCAGCTACTCGGGAGGCTGAGGCAGGAGAATCACTTGAATCCGGGAGGCAGAGGCTGCAGTGAGCCGAGATCGCGCCACTGCACTGTCAGCCTGGGCTACAGAGTGAGATTCTGTCTCAAAAATACATAAATAGGGCCGGGTGCTGTGTCTCACACCTGTAATCCCAGCACTTTGGGAGGCCGAGGCGGGTGGATCACGAGGTCAGGAGATCGAGACCATCCTGGCTAACACGGCGAGACCCCCGTCTCTACTAAAAATGCAAAAAATTAGCCGGGCGTGGTGGCAGGCGCCTGTAGTCCCAGCTACTCGGGAGGCTGAGGCAGGAGAGTAGTGTGAACCCGGGAGGTGGAGCTTGCAGTGAGCCGAGATCGCGCCACTGCACTCCAGCCTGGGTGACAGAGCCAGACTCCATCTCAAATAAATAAAAATAAATAAATAAATAAATAAATAAAAAGTCATGACGCTGCCCAGTTTCTAGACCTGAGTGGGTTTCTGACCCAGAGAAATCTCACTAAAGTGAAGGCTGAGTCCCTAAGAGGAAGATGTGCAACGCCAAGGCAAATCCACACCATGATGATTCTGGCCCCCTGCCCCCGCCCCCGCCCGCCACCACCACCAGACGGCCTGTGGCCGCCGACCTCGGTAACCAGACACAGTGCAACGGAAATACGCACACATCTTCAGAAGTGCTGGACACAGGGTTTGAGTGATGCTGGCATCTGAAGGCCTGAAGCATCCTCATGGCTCCCGTTAGAGCGAGGGGCTGACAGGAGCCAGGGAAGCAGTGGAATTCGGGCCAGGTCTGATCCACCAGCCTCGAGTCTGCACATTCATCCAGTGGGTCATTTCCCCAGTCACAGGACGGATGGAGCTGACATTCTTGATGGTAGACACCATTTCCTTGGCCATCATAATGGGTAAGTCCAGTGCAAATCTGTGACCATCCCCACCCAAAATAGTAAATCAAAACTGGGGGAAACTAGGGACACATCTAAAGATCTAAAAGAATGCAAGGATCTCCTTTTTTTTTTTTTTTTGAGACGGAGTCTCGCTCTGTCACCCAGACTGGAGTGCAGCAGAGCGATCTCGGCTCACTGCAGCCTCCGCCTCTCGAGTCCCAGTGGTTCTCTTGCCTCAGCCTCCTGAGTTGATGGGATTACAGGTGCCTGCCGCCGTGCCTGGCTAATTTTTGTATTTTTAGTAGAGATGGGGTTTTGCCATGTTCCTGGTCTGGAACTCCTGACCTCAGGTGATCCACCTACCTTGGCCTCCCAAAGTGCTAGGAATACAGTGGCGTGAGCCACCATGCCCGGCCAAGGATCTCCTTTTATTCCACCAATCTGACCACTGCAAAAGGCAGGTGGGTGGGTCCTGGAGGAGAGTGGACTGTTGCAAAAACAACCCAGCTAGATGTGGCGCCTTTGCTAGAGAAGGCTCCCCAGCCCCAGGTGTGCAGTGAGGCCACTGCTGGGTGTGCATTCTTCTCCATCTCCTGTCTGGCAGGAAGATCAGTCACACTGCCTTGGAACTCAAAACAGGAAACACTCAGTTCCTCCCCAGGGCTATGGTAACGTTCCTGCCCTCTCTCACAATAATCCAGAGACTGGCACCAGCTGAATGAATGTCCCCAGGATGTCACACTGGCCCCCTCTATCGATGGTGCTGTGCTAATGAGACCAGATGACCAAGACATGGTGAGCACACTGGGCCCTCCTGAGCGAGAAAATCCCCTCCAAAGCAGAGGACAGATAAGTGGCTGCCTCTTGCAGCCCCCGCCAGGACACACGGCACCTGGAAGGCTTCTGGGAGCTGGAACAGTATGTTCCACATTTGGGGACTCTGTTCCAACCCAATACTGGGGGACACAAAAGGACAGCTCTGAACAGGCACAGAGCAGGACCAGCTCCACCGCCGTCCAAGCCCAACTCCGGTGTCCCGGCTGCTACTTACGATCTGACTCTGCAGACCAAAGGCACGGGTGGTAAAGGAGGGGTTAAGGTCAAGTGCCTGTGGAAGACCCTCCCCAAACACAGTGCAGAGGAGGCCCATGCCATCCTCAGTGTGTGCCTGCGTCGAGGACTCCTGCTGTGGTTCTGGGCCCCTGTGGAGATGCACAGCCTGGCCATGGGATGCCCCATGGCTGTGTCTCTGCCTTGCCCGCTGGCACTGGCTATTAGACCGGCCCTGTCATGAGGTTGAGCAGGCAACGGTCATCTTCAGGGGGATGTGGTACATCCAGGACAGCAGGACGCAGCACGCATAGGTGGTCCCGGCCTGCGCGGACCCCACCCCATGATTCGTGTTCCCAGAGCAGACCCACGTTCACACCATGGCCGCCTCCCTGTCTAACATGCCTTGGCTGAGGTCCAGGCCCCTGTCCAGGGACTGCTGTGAGCATCTGTCTGCCTTGGTGGCAGCGGGAGCTGGCTTGTCCTCTGGTGGGGGCCATCCTCTGTGGCAGGGTGTCCTGTGCCCTGGCAGAAGCACTCCTCACCAGGTCGTGACAACCCACAGCACCTCCAGAGGCGGTCCCCTGTCCCCTGGAGGACACAACAGCTGCCTGTTGAGAACCGCTGGCTCACAGAACGTCTCATCCTGCGGATCCCGCCCACTGTCTGTTGCATTCGACCAAGGGACGCGTTTACAGCAAAGCCAGGGGTGGGCTTGACCAGGGGGCACTTCTAGAAGCTTCTAGCCTGACAAGGAGTGCCCTGTGGGGATGGAAGCCATCTCCAGGACCTGCGTATGTGCCAAAGCAAGATGCCGGGGTCTGGGAACCAAAGTGGAGGCCCTCTCGGCCCTGCAGACCCCAGTCCTGGCTCCCAGAGGGTGGGACTCCCCCAGGGCTATGGCAGGGTCTCTGCCTGGGCCCAGAAGGACAGCGGAGGTCCACAGTTCACCCCAACCTCCCCCTTCCAAGTTCCCCTTTTAGAAAGACGCCCCGGCAGCGCCGAGGTGTGACGGGGCAGGTGCAGCGGGCAGGGGCCGGCCGAGTCCCGGGAGCCGGGCCGAGCAGGGCGGTCCCACAGCGCCACCTGCTGGCCGCGCGCGTCCCGGTCCCCGACCCAGGCCGGGCGGCTCCGAGGGGCGGTACCTCGCGCGGCCTCGCGGTCCACCTGCTGGGCCCGGGCAGGGGTCGCGATCCGAGGCAGGGTCCGCTGTGTCCGGCGGGAGCGGGCGGGGCGCGGGCGGCGCCGCGTGGGGAGGGGCGGATCAGAGCCCCCCCAGGAGGCGGCGCTCCCGGTCCCGGCCCCAGCCCCAGCCCCAGCCCCAGCCCCGCAGGCGCCCCTCGAGCACCCGGGCAGGTGGACCCCAGCCCCGCGGTTCCAAGGACCCTGCCTGCGCCCTCGCCTCGGCCCTGCCGCAGGGTCTTGCGGGGTCGTCCCCCATTCCTGCTCAACCGCCCCCCCCAGTCCCCGTCCCCCGTGTCCCGCGGGCACCTCTCCTGGCCTGGCCCCGACCCCCCTCCGAGGACTCCCTAGCGTTCACTGGCGACAAAGTGGATATGCGCGCCCGGGGTCCTGCTCCCAACGTCCGGAACCGCGGCCCCTGTCCTGTACACCTCCCGTCCTCGACTCCCCGGGCCCAGGAGGGTCGCCGTCTCCAGCGTGGACGTGCGGGTCAGTAGTGCCAGGACGGTGCACAGCCTGGGAAGGGGGGGCCAGGGCAGGAGCAGGACAGAGGTCCCGGCTGGAAGATGGGGCGGGGGTCCCAGACCTGGCCGCGGTCCCACCTGATCAACGGCGGCTCCGCAGGTCTGAGCCGGGCAGGGACGCGCGGGACATGGGAGGCGCCTGTACCGCCGCTGTCCATGCACGTGAGGGTGCACAAGGTGGCCCTGGGCCAGCCCCTGCCTGGCTCCTCTTCTCCCCTGGGGCGTCCTCTTCCCTGGCTACGCCCTCTCTTCCTCCCCCAGGTACCCCCCAGGGACAAGGCCTGCCTTCTGGGCTTCCCGCTGGGGTCGCCTAGTTCCCACCCACCCGTGGGTGGCTCCACCCTCCCACGGGAGACTCAGGTGCTCGGCCCCCCAGGGACTCAGCTGGTGTTTCCCTACTTCTTTCCACGGCCATCCCTGTGGACTCTCCACCATGCTCTGATCCCACTTTCTGAGCCCCCCAAGGGCCCACCCAGCCCCCGCCCCTCTGGCCTCTGCCCTTGGTCTGCACCGTCAGGACCTCATCTCTAGGTGGTCCCATCAGCACATGAAGCGGAAACTGCCTGAGAGGGCTGAAGTGGACAAGAGCAGCCCCCACCTCGCCTAAGCTGAGCTGTGCCCCCTCTAGGGATTTGGGGCACCCTGGCCTAGGGTTAGAGGGAGAAAGGGAGAGGCCGTGAGGCTGCTGAGTGCAACTGACTCAGGAAGAGCCAGAGGCGAGATGCAGGGCCAGGCACCACTCAGCCTGCCCAAGTGGGCTGTGGCTGCCTCTGCGGGCCGGGGACCCACGGGGCAGAGTCCTACCACAGGGGCTCTTCCAATACCCAGGTAAGCGTGACCACCTGGGGCCCAGTGAGCATAGGTGCACTGAGATGGGGTTCGTGGGTACAGAACAGTGTGGACATGGAGGTCAGTAGTGCCAGGATGGTGCACGGCCTGGGAAGGGGGGGCCAGGGCAGGAGCAGGACAGCCACCTACCACTGGCGGCATCGGCGGGGTGGCGCGGGGAGGCGACAGGAGGGGCGGCGTGACTGAGGAGTGGGTGGTGGGGACCAGGCCAAGTGGGACTTGGGGGCTATGAGGAGCCCAGGGAGGAGGCCATGGCCCCCCGGAACGGAGCTCCCAGAGCCTGCAGCCTCTCACCCGCAGCCAGCTTTCTTCTTGCAGTGTCTTCATTCCCAGATGAGGAACGGGCAGGCCCTGCGGTTTGTGAGTGGCTGTTTCCTCCAGCGAAGCCCCCAAAGATGCTTTTCCCCTGCCTGAGGGTCCCTGCTTGTACATCCTTTGAATCACTGAAGAGGGCCCATAGGTTGGACCCCTGAAACCCACCTGGTCACGTCTTCAGGTTCTCGCCCAAGGCAGGGCCCTCCCCTCCTCCCCCAAGCGGCACGTGAGCCCTGTTCAGGGACAGCAGAGCCACCAGCCCAGGACCGGACCTGCTGCCTCTGCGGACCTCGGCAGCCCTGGTCACTCCCGGCTCTGGCAGGACAGGTGCAAACTCAGTGGTAAAGGTCCGTCCTGATTAATGAGACAAACCCACGCCCGTTCTCCTCCTGATTACCTACAATGGTCAATTTTATTACAAAGAACTGTATCAAAATATACAAGTCTGTTTAAGAACAACCAAGAAATGCAGCTGTTTAAGGGACAAATGAGAATCAACCGTTAGAGAGCAGGCAGCCTCTCCCCGCCGCTGTCCACTGCAGGAGACGGCATCCTCAGGGCCACATTTTCCACGGGACATCCTTCTGAATAATTTAAAGGGTAAGTCCGGCACATTACAGGTCTTCGCGGGAGGGCAGCTGTGTCGGGCTTTCTCCTTCTGTGGCTTCTGTCAGAAAACAAGCATAGGTCGTCAAGGCTGAGCACAAAGGGCCCTGGGGATGAGGCCTTTCCCAGGACAGCAGCGCATGTGCAGGGCCTGCCCGTCCAGTCCTGGCTCAAAGCCCCGGACGCAGCCATCCAAGGGCAGCTCGGAGACCCCCGTTTCCCACAAAGCAGATGAGAGATGAGGCAGACGGCATTTCAGAGCCCCCACGCTGCCGTGGGTGTGGAGGATGCAGAGTTGGGAGCGGCAAGGGGTTCCTTGCGGCCTGGCAGAATGGGAGCCTGAACAATGGTTGTGGCGGGAGGAGAAAGAGGGGACCGAGGGTGGGGGAGGTAGGAGAAAGAGGGGACTGAGGGTGGTACGGGGAGGGAGGGGCAAGAGGGGACCGAGGGTGGGGGGGAGGGAGGAGAATGAGGGGACGGGGGGGAGGGAGGGGCAAGAGGGGACCCGGGGTGGGGGGAGGGAGGGGCAAGAGGGGACCCGGGGTGGGGGGAGGGAGGGGCAAGAGGGGACCCGGGGTGGGGGGAGGGAGGGGCAAGAGGGGGGGAGGGAGGGGCAAGAGGGGACCCGGGGTGGGGGGAGGGAGGGGCAAGAGGGGACCCAGGGTGGTGGGAGGGAGGGGCAAGAGGGGACCGAGGGTGGGGGGAGGGAGGGGCAAGAGGCAGGGCCAGCCCAGGGCAGAGGGGACCGAGGGGGTAGCAGGCAGCCTTGTCTTCTGGCCTGTCCGTCTCTGCTAACCCCTCAGTTCTGTCTTGCTGTTGCTGTTTACTACGATGCTTCTAGATGTGGAATTGCTTTTATTTGTCCTGCTCAGGAAACAGCTTCTGGAATCTGAATCGTGCCTTATTCATTCTGAAAAACCCTTAGCCAATATCTCCTTGAACACTGCTTCTTTCCCACTCTCTATATTCTAGACTTCTGTGAGGACTGTCACGGGCAGATTTATGTCCCCCAAAACACGCTGAAGTCTTTACTCCCAGTACCTGTGATTGTGACCTTGTTTGGAAATAGGGTCTTTACCACTGGCCAGGTTAACATGAGGGCATTAGTGACTGGTGTCCTTACAAAGAGGGGAGGTTTGGACAGAGACAGACACCCGCATGGAGACCACGTGAAGACACGGGGAGCAGGTGGCATCCCCAGGCGAGGACAGAGGCCCGGAACAGACGCGCCCACCCAGCCTCCCAAGGAAGCAGCCTGCTTGCGTCTGGGCCTCTGACTTCTGGCTCCTGTGAGCGGCACATTTCTGTTGCTGGAGCCCTAAGTTCCTGGTTCTTGGTAAGGTAGCCCCAGGAAACAGGTGTGGGGGACCCGCTTGCCCTCCACCACTTCCTGCCTGTCCCTGTCTCTGCGGCACCCTGGGCAGCTTCCCCGGATGACTTTTCCAGCTCTTTAGCTGCCTCTTCTCCTGCGTCTGCTCCTCTGCTCATCGCCCGCTGAGGTCTGAGCTTCAGAGACTTCCCCCTTCATCGCCTGAACTTCCGTTTGAGCTGTGAACCTGGGGCTTCATCCTCAGGAAGCCAGTACCTCTCGCGCAAGCGTGCCCACACAGAGATGTCATGCACCTGTCTTCCGGGAATCCCCCTCTCACCATCTCAAGGCCACCATCTGTGTGGATTTCAGACCAAGCAGCCAGTCTACGTGCAAGCCCTGCGGCCCAGGGGAGGGCAGCCTGTGTGGAGGGCAGCCGTGCCACTCACCAGCCTCTGCCGGCGGCACACAGGCATCTTCCGTTTCTTCGAAGCCGTCAGGACACACACAGACGTAGCTCCCTGGAGTATTGTAGCAGTTTTCGTTTTTCCTCACACAGGTTTTTTCTGCTAGTGAGCACTCGTCCACATCTAAAATGAAAAGACTCCGTTTTAATAATTACTTTGCTCAGCAGACGCGCAGCGGATTATGAAATTCATTCATTCAGATTCATTCACATAAAGAAAGCACAACGATGACAAACGTCACGTTACAGAAAGGAGCAAAGATCAGGAAAGGCTTCGAGAGGGAAGAATTTCACGTCTCCAAGTTGGGCCCTCAACTGGTAGAAAATGCAGAGAAGAGACCTCCAGGTGGGGCCGGAAGGCCAGCATGCGCCCAGGAAGCCCACTTTCTTTTCCTTTTTTTTTTTTTTTTGAGGCGGAGTCTCGCTCTGTCGCCCAGGCTGGAGTGCGGTGGCGCGATCTCCTCTCACTGCAAGCTCCGCCTCCCGGGTTCACGCCATTCTGCTGCCTCAGCCCCCCGAGTAGCTGGGACTACAGGCGCCCGCCACCACGCCCGACTAATTTTTTGTATTTTTAGTAGAGATGGGGTTTCACCGTGTTAGCCAGGATGGTCTCGATCTCCTGACCTCGTGATCCCCCCGCCTCAGCCTCCCAAAGTGCTGGATTACAGGCATGAACCATGGCGCCTGCCCAGGAAACCCACTTTCTCCACCGGGTTCCATCCACGCCCAGGCTCACCCAGGCAGCCCACAACCATGGCAGGCCTGGACTTAAGCCTCGGGGCAATCGCCACCCAGGAGCTGGAGGGAGAGCAGAGGCGGTGGACCTGGGGAACGAGGCCACCGGCGAGAGGCTGGTGCAGCAGCGCCATCCACACCAGGGTCGGCCATGCAGAGCCCGTCCCCCACCCCCACTGCTTCTGTGTCTCACGTGGACCTCAGGGCGAGTGCACAGTGACCCTGGGGGAGCCACGTCTGCAGGACGGGTCTCAACTGCTTCCCATCCCTGGCAGTACCTGCTGGGGCCATTCACATCATGGTCACTTGGGAAGGGTCCACCAGCGTCCAGCACAGACCCCGTCACTGACCTGCACACTGTCCGTGCTCCCTCGCGTAGCCAGAGATACACTCTTTACAGTTTCCTGGGCCTTCCCCTGTGCAGCCCACACAGCTGGAGTCACACTCTGCAACAGGGAGCCAGCGTCAGACCCCGACATGCACAAGGCACCAGTGCCCGTCAGACCCCGACATGCACAAGGCACCGGTGCCGCCAGGATTTGGGTTTTCTCCTCATTCATCACCAAGTGACTTTATAACGATCTGTCTCTGTCTCCCGGCAAAAGCACAGACTCGCGTCCTGCTGTGCAGCAGGTGCTCCCGGAGAGCCATGGTGCAGACCACCTGGCTTGGAACTCTTTGGGAGAAACTGGGTGCTACAGAGATTCTAGAAACAAACCCACCTCCAGCTCGGTGACCATTGGTTTGCCAGCCTGCCAGGAGCTTCCTAAGAATAACCAGAGCCTCTCGCATGGCTTCCAGTATTAGTGGCTCACTGAGGGACCCACTGTCTGCACTCCCAACAGTGAAAACTGCCTGGGGCTGTCACACACACGGGGCAGAGGCGGCCTCCTCCCTGCTGCTGGGACTGGGGATCAGCACAACTTTTCTGGGGCACTATGGCTCTAAAAGACACATTCCCTTGACTGAGCGATTTGGAAATTAATCCACAGAAAATCATAAGGAATGTGAAAAGTTTACCTTCAAGTGTTCACAGTTTATAAGTTGAAAAACTGTTATGACGTAAACGTCCAGCAACAGACATTGTTGTAAAAGTATGAAATAATGGCTCCAAAATCATTAGCGTGACAGAGAAACCACAGGACGCAGAGACGTTCGCAACAAGCTGCTGAGTGGAAAACACCCGACAGGCGCTGCGGAAAGTCACGCAGGGCACGTTGCGGGGGCGCTGGGGGGGCACGAGCAGTGGAGGCACCAGCAGGGTGCGCTCTCCAGGGAGTTCCTGGGTTTTTAACTGTTTTCTTTTCATCTGACTTGAATTTTCTGATTTTCCTGCAGCAAATACCTATGACTTACTTTGCCACACTAAGTGTTCTCAGGGCAGGCAGGATGTATGGAAGTGACACTAAGAAGCCATAAATGAATGTTGACAAAGGCAGCAACGAAACCCGGCAGGCCCCGGAGTGCAGACCCGCCCGCCTGGCCCACCTTCGCACGTGTAGGAGCCGTTGGCGTTCTTACAGAACTGCGCAGCGCTGCAGGGAGGCGGCTCGGCCGCACACTCGTCCACATCTGGAACAGAGCGGCACAGCTGTGAGCGGCCCAGGACAGCCCGGCCAGGGAGCGGGGAAGGACCGATCATGGCCTGACACAGCCCGTGGCCAGGGCCGGCTGGGGAAGGGCAGGGAGGAGGGCAGCCCCTGAGGAGGAATCATCTCAAATGCCATCCTCGGAGGCCCCACGCGGCAGGGGAGGGGATGAGGCGATGGCCAGGCCCTGTCCTTAGACACTCAGTGCCAACCGGGGCAGGCGCCCCATGAGGATGGCGACACATTGTGTGAGAGTGAGACAGTGAGTGCCCCCACACCTCACGCCCCCACCTCACGCCCCCACACCTCACGCCCCACCTCATGCTCCCCCACACCTCACGCCCCCCACACCCCAAGCCCCACACCTCACGCCCCCACCTCACGCCCCCACACTTCACGCCCCCCTGCCTCCCGCCCCCATGCCTCACACCCCCCACGCCTTACGCCCCCATCTCACACCCCCCACGCCTCACGCAGGCGCCCTCCTCCACCCCCGGGCCGCTCCTCACCCACACAGGCGCCCTCGTCCAGCACCCAGCCCACTTCACACTCGCCGCAGTCTCTGTTGGTCAGGCCCGAGCACGTCTTGCAGGACTCGTCACAGGCTGGAAGGCAAAGGCGGGCCTGGGTACAAACCCCACTCTCAGGTACCAGCTTGGGGACAAGGCTCGTTTAAAAGTGAGGAATTTAAGAGGGAAAAGCAACACGGGATTTTCAGTGCCCATGAATTTAAAATTCTCAGCAAACCAGGACTCCAAGGAATTTTTAATAACCTGGAGAGAAGGCAGCTATCCATACTCTGGAGCTGTAGCCTGGCTGGGTGTGCGTGTTCCGGCCACGGATCCATGCGTGGCCCACGCCACGCCAACATCCAAGAGACAGACAGCAAGGCGGGTAAGAATCGGAGAGGCCGGTCCTGACTGCTGAGGGGCGTAAGAATCGGAGAGGCCGGTCCTGACTATCGATCCACGGGTCTGTCTGCCCAGAATAGCCTAGGGGCTGCCGGCCAACCACACACTCACGTCCGAGACACTCAGAGTTTTCCTACATATCAGTGACAACCAGGGAGAAAACGTCCTTTGGAAAGATGCCACTCATAACGGCCTGCAGGGATTTGACAGATGCTGCTCTCTGGGCCGGTGCGGGGCCCACACGGCACCTCCAGGACCTGTGCACTGCATGGCCCATCACAACTCAAGGTCGGGGTGGACCTTGAACTAGAGAGAAAGGTGAGTAGCTTCTCCCTTCTGAGGGCTGTTACGGGACAGGAAGTGCCCGACAACCTCTGCCTCTATCCTCTGATGTTTTCATTCATCCTTCTGGGCCCTCGAAGCTTCCTTGGACATCTGGGGTTAAAGATCAACAGGCCCCTGTTCCCATCTAGGCAGGCAGCTCCAGCAAGGGGCTCTTGTCATCCCGCCTCAACCCCGGGGCCAGCCCAGGCGTAGCCCGTACCTGTGCAGATGCTGTGGGTCTCGTTCCGGAGCGAGCTGAAGTAGCCGTCCATGCAGTCAGTGCACAGCGGGCCCTGGTACCCCATGTGGCACCGGCAGGACCCGTCGCCCTGTCTGCTCCCATCTCCGCTGCAGTGGCCATTCCCGCTGCAGGGCCTCTGGGATCCGCCCTGGCATGCTTTAGGGGACACAAAACCATGCTCAGAGCACACCTGGTGGTGACCGGTGCGGTGTTCTCACACGGAGAGAACGCATGGCACCCAAACCCTGTACGATTCTGAGGACGTACATGAGCCTGAAGGCTTGGAGTGGGTGTTTGGGGAAACTGATTTCCTGGGTCTGCAGGGCTGGCGGTGGATCGCCTGAGTGGAGCAAGCCACAGGCTCCTGGGCTTCACTATGGCCACGTGCTGCATGATGACGTTTAGGTCAACAAGGGACCCTGCATAGCACAGCTGTCCCCTAAGATGATACTAAAGCTGAGCGGCTCTTATTGCCTAGTGACATCACAATGTGCCTCATTACCTGTTCTATGTTTAGATGTGTTCAGGTGACACATTCTTACCACGTGCCAAATGGCCCACAGTACTCAGGACCCTCACGAGCCGTGCAGGTGTGCGGCCTGGGAGCAGCAGGGCCTGCCAGGCAGCCTAGGTGCAGAGCGGCTGCACCATCTAGGCGTGTGGCGTGTGGCGTGTGGAGTGCACGCTGTGATGTTTGCACCATGACAAAGTCGCCTAATGACGCATTTCTCAGAACACGCCTGGTCGTTACACATGACTGCACTTTGTGTGGCTTTGGGCAGCCTCAGCTGAAACATGGTGATAGGGACACTGACGCGTCAGGCGCGGGGACTGCAGGGAGAGTGGGAACATTAGCTGCGGCCTCCAGTGCATGCCAGGGACAGCAGCAGGGGCTGGCAGAAGGCTGATGGTGGGCGGGTGGGGGGTCTGAACCTGAAACTTCTGCTACCTGATCTCGCTTGACCACGAGATTGGCTTTTATAAACAGTAAACCGTGACTTCAGTTTCAATGCACACTTCTTCACAGAAGAGCCCTGTCCCTTGGCACCCATTGGGGCTCAAGGCCATGTGCCCAGCCTGATAGACACCCAGTGCCCTGCGCTCTCTGCAATAGCAGCCACAGAAGTTGTGGTGTGGTCACCTCTGTGCACACAGGGAGAAGCACCTGGACAGGTCAGTCAGGACAGACTCTCAGGTGAGTGGACTCAGCTGTGAACAACCTGAGTCTGTGAACCCCTGAATTAACAGCACAGCTGGGAAGACATACTCAGAGTTTTACGCTAAAGCATGAGGTTAGTGGTGAGGCTGCAGCCAGACGGTGCGAAGTGCTCCAAGCTGTGTTGGGGATGGGGGAGGCAGCCATCCGGCAGGGTCCCAGACCCTACAGAAAGCTGATGCACCCCAGGTCCCCTCTGTGCTTTTACCTCCCAAGAATCATGAGAAGAAGAGGGGAAGTGACGTAGGAGATGGGATTTCCCTGAGGAGAAACGCACCGAGACAGTCGGGACCGTAGGTTCCTGGAGAGCAGCACACTTTCAGTGTCTTCACACAAAACCACTCGAATAAGTCAGGATATTCGCTCTTCCTGAGGATGGAGGAAAACATTCACTGAATCCCAGCAGACACGGTTCTTTAAAACAAACATGCAGCTGAACGTAACATATGCTCTGGAGTATTGTAAGGTCCAGGAAACAAGAGTCTAGGTGTGGACAGAATCTTCTCCTTAATTTCCTGGTTTTGATCGCTGACTCTGGTGATAAAAAACGGTAATGCAGGGGTAAGGTGGGTGCGAGGCAGGTGGGAGCTCCCTACTGTTCCTGTACCTTTCTAAGTCTGAGGTTATTTCAAATTCTAAGTTGGAAAATAAAAAGTATCTTCTAAGAGGTTTTAAGGCACTCACAGCTGCAGCCACCAGGCCTCCAGGTGCTCCTCCTGCGCCTCTAGCATCTGATTGCATTCGAAGTCGCTGCTCTCGCACAGCCCCTCCAGGATCTCCAGCAGGCGAATCTCGCTGAAACACAGGCCCACACCGGCCCACCGTCAGCGCCTCCAAGGCAGTGAAGAAAAATCCGAACCAATACGCCAACCTGGGTGCAGGGGCCGGGGAGCCAGGACTCCGGGCACAGAGAATAAGGGGACCCCACTGTCAGGGGAAGCCAGGAGCGGTTCCCACAAGTGGGGCTGGTGTTCCAGTTTACATTTTGAAAAGCCACTGTCTGTTGAGGGGGTAGGGACCAGAGCAGAAGCTGGAAGGCCAGAGAGGGGCCAGCCATTAGTCCTCAGGGAGAAGCCGAGGTGACTCGGACGGGTGACTGGTGCCTCGGGGGCTGTTCTGTCTCCCTGTCATTAACACAGGCACCAAAGGCAGGACACGACTTCCCAGGACAGCGCCAGGCCAAGACCCACAGGGGTGCTCCAGGGCACCCACCTGGACTCGTACTTGGACAGCGTCTTTTCCTCCCAAGCCGTGTTCCCGCCGCCAAAGTTCTTCTTTGCGGTGTCCACCATCCCCTGCGAGGAGACAGTGCCCATAGTGCTTGGTACCACCTGACCCGGGTCCAGGGTGGGGGCGAGCCCAGGTCGAGGGTGAGGGGACTCCAGGCCCACGGTGGCGTCGACCCTGGTTCCACGGTGGGGGTGGATCCGGGTCAAGGGTGAGGGGGACTCCAGGACCACGGTGGAGGGACTCTGGATCGACGGTGAGGGGGATCCCGAATCCAGGGTGAGGGGGACCCCGGATCCAGGGTGAGGGCGACCCTGGGCCCAAGGTGGGGCGACCCCGGATGCAGGGTGAGGGGGACCCCGGGCCCAAGGTTGACGACCCCGCCCGGCCCCTTCCCACCTGGTTAAACTTGTCCACCAGCCCCCGGCACCGGTGGCAGGGCGTCGGCTTCTTGGCGGCCTCCGGCGCGGGCGGCAGCAGCAGCAGAAGCGGCAGGAGCCCCAGCGCGGCCCGGCGCGGCAGGCGCATGGCGGGTAGCGCTGCGGGAAGACGCAGCCGGAGCTCCAGGTCCTGCGGCCGTGCTGCTCCGGCCTCCCGGCCGCCCACCCGCTCCCAGCCGCGCCGGCCTGTCCCCCAGGCTACTTGACGGCGCCGGCGAGGCCCCGCCCCACCCGCCAGCCCCGCGCCGCTATTGGTTGATGGGACCCGCCCCGGCCTGATATGGCCCAATCCGAGTTCGCCACGAGAGGTGACCAATGGGAAGGCCCCGGATCAGCGGCCGCCAGGAGTCCGGGGGCGGGGCGTGCAGGTCCGACCCCGCCTCCCGCTCCCCGCCCCTCGCGCGCAGCCCGCGGCGGCCATCTTTACTCAGGGCACAGAGGGTCTCTGCGGCCGTAGCGGCCGGGGCTGCGGTAGCCACTTTAGATTTGGGCAAGGACTTTAGATTCGGGCTCTGTTCTGTTTCCGCCGTCCTGCTTCCTGCCGAGGCTGGCCCAGGCAGCCGCGCTTCGAAGGACGCCGCCGGGAGCTGCGGAGGTCAGTGCGCGCTGCCGCGACCGGGGCCTTCAGGCGGGCGCGCGGCGAGACCAGGGAGGAGGCGGGCGAGGGCGCGACCCGAGCTGGCGCTGGCGCTGGATTCCTGAGGCCTCACCGCGCATGTCCACGCGTCACAGCCCCGTGCTCCTTACCTGGGGCTGCACCCCTCACTTGGGGCCGGGCTCCTCACCTGGGGCTGGACCTGTCACCTGGGGGCCAGACCTCTCACCCGGGGGCCGGACCTCTCATCCGGGGGCCCGACCTCTCACCTGGGGCTGGACCTCTCACCTGGGGCCGGGCTCCTCACCTGGGGCCGGACCTCCCACCTGGGGGATGGGTTTTTCACCTGGGGGCTGGGGATCTGGGGTCCACTTAGGGTCTCTGGGGGCTGGGGATCTGCATTTCTACAGGCGCTTGAGGTGATGAACACTCGCTCATGTTCAGGAACCCCTGGTTTAAATTAGGGGAAATAAAACGTGCAGCGTCTGGATTTCAGAGAACTCCTGCCTGTGGAAGGAAGGAGTGCAGATAACACTGCACATTTAAAAAAAAAAAAAGTAACATCTGATTTGACCAGTTTCTTTTCTGTTTTTTTGAGACGGAGTCTCACTTTGTCGCCCAGGCTGGAGTGCAGTGGCGCGATCTCAGCTCACTGCAAGCTCCGCCTTCCAGGTTCCTGTGATTCTGCTGCCTCAGCCTCCTAAGTTGGGATTACAGGCACCCACCACCAGGTCCGGCTAATTTTTGTATTTTTAGTAGAGACGGGGTTTCACCATGTTGGCCAGGCTGGTCTCGAAGTCCTGACCTCAAGCGATCTGCCTGCCTCAGCCTCCCAAAGTGCTAGGGTTACAGGCGTGAGCCACCATGCTTAGCCTGATTTGATCAATTTCGGTAGAGGCCTTAAAATCTGGATTGATGGGGACAAGAGGGTCTTTGCAGGTCATTCCCTAATCTGAGATGCCATTGTTCTGTAAACCACCATTTTAAAGTGTCATGGCCTGGGCCCGTTTTAACCTGTGGGTGCTCTCGAAGCACCCGTCACTTAGATTAGCCACAGCTGCTGCCCAGCTGCCCAGCAGAGTGGGCTAGTGCAGGACAGTGTCCGTTCACCCTCGCCTGGTGGGGGGTTCGTCGTGGTTTTCGTGCTTGCTGGTGTTGACTTGGTCTTCCCGTGCTCCTGGCAGAGAATCCAGACTCACCCTTGGTCTTCTCATGCCCTCGAAAGTGAGCTGTGCTGGTCATCAGCAGAAGGCACACCTTGTTGGGTCCGAGGAGGTGCTGGGGGCCCGCCAGGAGTGTCAGAGTCAGCACGTAATGTTTTCACCCCACAGCTGAACTCTTCCTTGCTGGGGAACTCCCCTGGGTGGAGAGGTGTGGAGTGGGGTTGTGGGGGACTGCCAAGCAGCACTTGCTGTGTGCACCTCCCACATCTTGGCACGTAGATGCTCCCCGTTCCGTTTTATTTTTTATTTTTGTAGAAATGGGGTCTCATGATGTAGCCCAAGTTGGTCTTGAACTCCGGGCCTCAAGCAGTACCCCCCATGTCAGCTTCCTGAGTAGCTGGGATTATTTTTGTGGAGATGGGGTCTGGCTCTGTAGCCCAGGTTGGTCTTGAACTCCTGAGTAGCTGGAATTACAGGCGTGAGCCAACACATCCGGCTTGCTTCCTATTTCTTTTTTTTTGAGACGGAGTCTGGCTCTGTTGTCCAGGCTGGAGTACAGTGGTGCGATCTTGGCTTGCTGCAACCTCTGCCTCCCGAGTTCAAGCAATTCTCCTCCTCTGCCTTCCAAGTAGTTGGGATTACAGGCGCACACCACCATGCCCAGCTAATTTTTGTATTTTTAGTAGAGATGAGGTTTCACCATGCTGGCTAGGCTGGTCTTGAATTCCTGACCTTGTGATCCACCCACCTCAGCCTCCCAAAGTGCTGGGATTACAGGCATGAGCCACCACGCCCGGCCGTTGGAACATATTTTTATTTAATTTAATTAATTTATTTATTTATTTTTGAGATGGAGTCTTGCTCTGTCGCCCAGGCAGGAGTGCAGTGGCGCGATCTCGGCTCACTGCAAGCTCCACCTCCTGGGTTCACACCATTCTCCTGCCTCAGCCTCCCAAGTAGCTGGGACTACTCGCCACCACTCCAGCTAATTTTTTTGTATTTTTAGTAGAGACGGGGTTTTACCATGTTGGCCAAGCTGGTCTCGATCTCTTGACCTTGTGATCCACCCGCCTCAGCCTCCCAAAGTGCTGGGATTACAGGAATGAGCCACCGCTCCCGGCTGCTGGAATTTTTAATAAGCACGTGAGCTGGTGTGATGAGAACCCCATGTAGGAGTTTTTACCGATTTCTTCTTCGGCAGCCTTGTTGAGTGCCTACTGTGCGGCAGGCTTTGCTGATTCAGCAGTGAGTCCACCAAGCAAGCCCTGCCCGCAGGATGAGTCCAGCAGGGGAGGTGGCAGCGAGGCAGCCTTCAGGCCACAGCGGCTGGCCTCTGTCCTTGGTGCTGAGGCTGCGCTGGTGGGAAAAATCATCCAGCATCAAAAACCCCCCACCGTCAAAAAGCTTGTGTCTTAGCAAGTGGGAGACAGCTGAGTGGGCCCTCCCTCAGTTAGTGATTCCTAACCTAGTCCTTCGACCTTTCTCTTTGTTTGATACCAAGTTTATTTTTTTAAATTTTTTTATTATCTATTTATTTATTTCTGAGACGGAGTCACGCTCTGTGGCCCAGACTGGATTTCAGTGGTGTGATCTCGGCTCACTGCGGCCTCTGCCTCCTGGGCTCAAGCGATTCTCCTGCCTTAGCCTCCCGAGTAGCTGGGATTATAGGCGTGCACTACCATGCCCAGCTAATTTTTGTATTTTTAGTAGAGACAGGGTTTCACCATGTTGGCCAGGATGGTCTTGATCTGCTGACCTCGTGATCCACCCACCTCAGCCTCCCGAAGAGCTGGGATTATGGGAATGAGCCACCGCACCTGGCCCTCAGCCTCCCAAAGAGCTGGGATTACGGGAATGAGCGACCGCGCCCGGCCCCAGGTTTTTATATTTGGCAAAGGAGAGAACTGCATACCATTTCAGTCGTAAAATTATTAAAGCTTTCTTTTTTCTTTCTCTCCACCCCCTGCCCACCATATCAAATAGGGTTCTCCTTCCTTCTAATCTACAGATTTTCCTTTGGTTGCCATCTTTGTATACTTCTTAACTCTCCGTTTGATCAAAAGATAGTTTTGGCTGGGCATGGTGGCCCACGCCTGTAATCCCAATACTTCAGGAGGCCAAGGTAGGAAGATGGCTTGAAGCCAGGAATTCCATACCAGCCTGGGCTACAAAGCAAGACCCTGTCTTTACAAAAAATAAGAAAACTTAGCTGAGTGTGGTGACCCACACCTGTAGCTGCGGCTACTCAGGAGGCTCAGGCAAAAGGATCCCAGGAGTTTGAGGCTGCAGTGAGCCATGATCACTCCACTGCACTCCAGCTTGGGTGACAGAGTAAGACGCTGTCTCTTAAAAAAAATTTTTAAAGTAGTTTTAATAAATGGTAAGCCCTGGGGTTCTCTCTCCCTTTGCTTCTGGCCCTTCTGGTTTGGATTGAATAAAATCAAATCTGTTTTAAAAGAAGCCAGAAACGTGAAGAGTTTGCCCCCTCCCCTCCCTTGGTCTCTCACGTGTAGCAGCTGGACATGTTGCTGGCCTCTCAGGAAGCTCCGTGCCACGGGCCCCTGAGGTTGTCCTGTTAGTGTTTGGGGGACCCATTGCCAGTCTTCCCAGGCTCACATGCAGGCTCATGGCCAGTGTGGTGCCACCTTTGGGAAAGCCGGCCATGGCTTCTCCCAGCCCCCAGGGTGGGGTTCGGCGCAGGCGTCCACAGCCCCATCCCACCATTCCTGGGAGCGGGGGCTTTGCTGGCCACTCGAGCCCTGTGTCCCAGCAGCTGTACTACGTTCAGTTTCTTGCCCTCCCGGGGCCCCTGTCCACCACTCTCCAGCTTGGTGCCTCCCACCCAGCTAACTGGCACCCCTCAGCCTCCCATTCCGTCTTCTTCAGCCGGTTCCCTCGGGGCCAAGCCTGGGTTTTGCTGACTCTCCTGCCAGATTTAGACTGGGGGGCAGGGGCCATTTACCACCCTCCATTGCCCTCGTGGCCCAGGCCTGGTCAGACTCAGGGTTCTGCGACTGAGATCCTTCTGCCTAGAAAAACATTCACAGAGCTGGAAGTGTCAGATCACTGGTTACAGTATGAAAGATTCTCAAGTGTGATTTTTTCTCCAAACTTTCCATCTTGATGCGTTTTCAGATTTGTAGTAGTGCGACTAAGACAGTAGTTCAGAGAATTCTGCTAACCCTTTACCCGGATCTCCCAAACGTGAGCGCAAGCGTGACTTTCGAACCTCAGGAATCTGTTTCCACTTTTCCAGCATGCGTGGAGTGGCAGTGCTAACGGCTGGTGTCTCGCACTGTTGGCCTGTGAAGGTACGTGAAGCTGAAAGCCTGGAATGGCTGGAAAGGGGTCATCAGGCAGGCGGCCCCTGCTGCTGGGGCTGCTGGTGGCCGTAGCCACTGTCCACCTGGTCATCTGTCCCTACACCAAAGTGGAGGAGAGCTTCAACCTGCAGGCCACACATGACCTGCTCTACCACTGGCAAGACCTGGAGCAGGTGAGGGGCCCCTGCTGTCTTTGGGGAAAACCTCATGTTACCAGCTGGCAGGGCCCCGGTGCACTGACCTGCCCTTCTCCTCGCAGTACGACCATCTTGAGTTCCCCGGAGTCGTCCCCAGGACGTTCCTCGGGCCAGTGGTGATCGCAGTGTTCTCCAGCCCCGCGGTTTACGTGCTTTCGCTGTTAGAAATGTCCAAGTTTTACTCTCAGCTAATAGGTAAGGGGGTCTTCAACAAAGGAGGAGGGAGTGAGGGACTGTGGTGTCATCGGGTGACCTCAGCGAGGCCGCGGTCCCTCCTGCCCAGGAACGCTGTCTGTTAGTCTTGCCTGCCCTCGATCACCGTGGCATGGCGGCTCAGAGCAGGTGCTCAGGTCAGGCCTAAGACGTCTGAGTCAGCCCCTCTGTGCCTCCACACTCTTGACTGTGAAATTAGGGGTGACGGCAGGTACAAGAGAAATGCCGACTGCCTGTGAGGCAGCTCTCGCCACCTGAGCCTGCTGCTCCCGCCTCACCTGGCAAGCCCCCATGGGGTCAACAGCCTTTATTCCTGCAGAAGCAGCACCATTTGCCTTGGGGAATGTTACAAACAGAAACCTCACATTCCCAGAGGCCACCACTGCAGGGCCTGTGTGCAAATCCTGGGTCTTTCTCTGTGCCCACATGAGGACTTTAAAAAAAAAAAATTAGAACGTTTTGTACATATTGTTCTAAAAACCGATTTTTTTTTCTTTTTTGAGACAGGGCCTTGCTGTGTCACCTAGGCTGAAGTGCAGTGGTGCAATCATAGCTCACTACAGCTTTGAACTCCTGGGCTCAAGTGATTGTCCCACCTCAGCCTCCCACAGTGCTGGGATTACAGGCATGAGCCACCACGCCCAGTCACACAACCTGAGTTTTTGAAGTCAGCAATCACCACTTTTTTATTTCAGTACGCTTTTATTGCTTTTAATACCCAGACATGCTTCCAGCGAGTCAGTCCAGCTTGTGTGGAGAGCTTTAAGAAGTAGCACGTTCCTGGGGAAGGAGCAGTTCTGCTTCTTGAAGGGGCAGATTGGGAACGGAAACCCACCATGGCACGGGGACAGCTGGACAAGCCGTGCATGTCCTGTAGAGGCATCAGGAAGCCCCAAATGGGGAGGAGTTGGGGGGCCACGAGCCAGGGAAAGGAAGTCCACAGGCAATTCCGGGGCTGAGTCCACATTCCCTTGGAAGCTTCTGCTTATTCCAGGGTTGGCAGCAAGAGGTTGGGAGGTTGGGCAGAGCTGGGTGGACTCCAGCTGGACAGAACCTTGGAGGGCTGCAGCTTCAGCTGGTGAACGGGAGCCCACCCTGTGTCCTTCCTGATCCCACTAAGGTGACCTGGAATTGCTAGTGCCCCCCCCAGCCCCTGCCACAGGCCAAAATCCTTCCTCTCTGGATGAAGAGCATGTCATCCTGGGGCCGAGGGTGATCCCGGGGCCGAGGGTGATCCTGGGGCCAGGCTGATCCCGGGGCCGAGGGTGATCCCGGGGCCGAGGGTGATCCCGGGGCCAGGCTGATCCCGCGGCCGAGGCTGATCCCGGGGCCGAGGGTGATCCCGTGGCCGAGGCTGATCCCGGGGCCGAGGGTGATCCCGCAGCCGAGGCTGATCGTGAGGCCGAGGCTACCCTTGTTGGGCACGGGGTTGAGATTGTTGGGCATTTGGGAAGATGGAAAACCAAGAGAAGAGACGCAGGGGATGGACCTGATGGGGAAAAGGGGAAGCGGGGCTTTGCTGGGGTCTGTGAATTGTTTAAAAGCCCGGGGGAAATTCCAGCACCAAAAATACAGCAGCTGGAGCCAGACCCACTTGTGAGTATCAGTGAAAAATGTCCTATTAAGACATTCAGACTGGGCATGGTGGCTCACGCCTGTAATCCCAGCACTTTGGGAGGCCGAGGCGGGGGGATCACCTGAGGTCAGGAGTTTGAGACCATCCTGGCCAACATGGGAAACCTTGTCTCTACTAAAAATACAAAAATTAGCCGGGCGTGTTGGCATGCGCCTATAATCCCAGCTACTCCGGAGGCTGAGGTAGGAGAATTGCTTGAACCCGGAAGGCAGAGGTTGCAGTGAGCCGAGATTATGCCACTGCACTCCAGCCTGAGCAACAGAGGGAAACTCTGTCCTTAAAAAGAAAAAAAAAAAGACATTTGCAGTCCGAATCCAGCAATCAGTGAAAAGAAAATGCCTGGTATGCACATGGGGTATTCTGGGAACAGCAGGTCCAGCCCTCAGACATCCGTGGCCCCCTTGGCAGTGCCTGGGTATCTCTGCCCATTGGCCCCCACAGCTGCCTGGACCCAGTTGCTTCTCACATGGCTTCGAAGTTCCTCTGGCCTTCTGGAAAGGTAGCAAGAGCCACCCAGAAGTTCATTTTTCTTCCTGTTTTCAGTCTCTTGCCAGCGGCTGACAGGCCGGTCCACGGTGAGGATGTGTGGTCGGCTGGGTACTGTCCTGGGCACACCTGCCCCCTCACCACCTCCTCATCAGACCACCAGCCCAGAGGTGGCTCCTGCTGTCAAATGGGGAGAGGGGTCCTGACCCCCTTCCTGCCTGGGAGCCTGTGTTCCTGCCACATCCCACCTCCTCATGGCTGCTGGTTAGAGCAAGGTCTGAGCCCGGCCTTTGCAAACATTTCCCCTGGAGATGCCACAGCCCGGTGGGGTCTCTGGTTTAGTGTAGGGCTCAGCTCGTGGCACCCCCAAGTTGTGTGTCCTCCCTCATGCTTCAGAGAGCAGCCCCCGCAAGGGTCCTCAGTTCCCGACAGGAGCGCAGGGGGCCTGGGTCCAGTCGTCTGTTTTCAACATGGAGACGATGCCCTCAAGGCTGCTTTGCCTGACGTAGCCGTCAGCTGGCATTGCAGCAGCATAGAAAACTCCATATAGAAAGATCTGTGTAGAAGGACCCACGTAGGGGGCCCCACTGGATACTCCTCCACTGCAGGCTCAGGTGCTGTCACTGTCTTTGTTTAGTTAGAGGAGTGCTTGGACTCGGCGTGATTTTTGGACTCTGGACGTTACAAAAGGAAGTGAGACGGCACTTCGGGGCCATGGTGGCCACCATGTTCTGCTGGGTGACGGCCATGCAGTTCCACCTGATGTTCTACTGCACGCGGACACTGCCCAATGTGCTGGCCCTGCCTGTAGGTACGTAGCTGCCGGCCGGGCCTGCACACCCATGGTGCCGGGCAGGGGCTCCCCTGAGTCGGGCTGTGCAGCTGATGGCAGTGCCTCCCCCGTAATGGCCATTCCCCACTGGGTTCCTCAGGATGGTCTGTGACCTGAAACCAGGCTCTTTGTTTTCCATGCTGGGTTGGGACACACTTCCTGGCCAACAGCATAGGTGCGGGGAGCGGCTCTGAGCAGTTTCTTTTCTGGGATATTTGTGTGGCTTTTATAATAGGAAAAGGAATCACCCTTCACTTCCCCGGGTGTTTTCTGGGCCGGGTGGGCCCTGTGTCTTGACGAGCACCCTCCCGCACTGTCTTGCAGTCCTGCTGGCCCTCGCGGCCTGGCTGCGGCACGAGTGGGCCCGCTTCATCTGGCTGTCAGCCTTCGCCATCATCGTGTTCAGGGTGGAGCTGTGCCTGTTCCTGGGCCTCCTGCTGCTGCTGGCCTTGGGCAACCGAAAGGTTTCTGTAGTCAGAGCCCTTCGCCACGCCGTCCCGGCAGGGATCCTCTGTTTAGGTAAGTCAGTCACTGTGGGATGCTTCTAACTGGATTTTGTTTTGCCTTGTTTTACAAAGGTCAAGAGAAATTTGGGAGGTTTTCATCCCCATGAAATAAAATGACCCTAAATTTAGCAGTGTTGAAAACATTTCAATCCTAAGCCCCCTGCCCGGGGATCTCCAGGGGGACCCACCGTGCGCCTTAGGAGCCCCTGTTCACTGGTCTGTCCCTTGTCCTTGGGCTGGGGGAGGCCACAAGAGTGGAGGGCGGCTTGTCCCTGCGCCAGGCGGTGGTTCTGGGCAGTGGTGTCCTCGACACAGTTGGTGTCTTTTTTCTTTTTTTGTTTTAGAGATAGTCTTGCTCTGTCACCCAGGATGGAGTGCAGTGGCATGATCATGGCCCACTGCAACCTTGAACTCCTAGGCTCCAGCAATCTTCCCACCCTGCCCAACCTCTTTTATATGAAAGCAGCTTGTAGTTTCTGTAGTGATGGGGGCTGCATTGTGGCGGGATGTTTACTGATGGCTGTGTTTGCGACTAAGAAACTCTATTTTATTTTGTCAGGACTGACGGTTGCTGTGGACTCTTATTTTTGGCGGCAGCTCACTTGGCCGGAAGGAAAGGTGCTTTGGTACAACACTGTCCTGAACAAAAGCTCCAACTGGGGGGTATCCTTCAGTGTCCGTGCAGGAGGGCGATGGGTGGGACCTGCAGCCACATCTCCTGGGCCTCCATGGGCAGTGGAAGCAGCTGCTTCTCCCTTCTCTGCAGCGTGGCTGCAGGGTCAGGATGGAGCCCCTCCCTCCCACTTGCTCCTGGGAAATGCTGGCCATGGGAGGTGAGGTCCTGGCTGCCCTCTCTCAGCCAGGAAACAGCCTGAGGGCTGGAAACAGCCCTGCCCCAGATTACCCCAGCCTCTCCTCTGCTCCTCGGACAATCTGCTTTTTTTTTTTTTTTTTTGAGACTGAGTCTCGCTCTGTCGCCCAGGCTGGAGTACAGTGGTATGATCTTGGCTCACTGCAACCTCCACCTCCCTGGTTCAAGCAATTCTCCTGCCTCAGCCTCATGAGTAGCTGGGACTATAGGCGCACGCCACCACACCTGGCTAATTTTTGTATTTTTAGTAGAGGTGGGGTTTTACCATGTTGGTCAGGCTGATCTTGAACTCTTGAACTCAGGTGATCCACCTGCCTTGGCCTCCCAAAGTGCTGGGATTACAGGTGTGAGCCACCACGCCCGGCCCGGACAATCTGCATTTAAAAAGTGCTTTCTTAGGAATTATGTCAAACATACACGCATAGATGGAACAGCATAACGAATCCCAACATGTGTGTCACCCGTGACCGTCTGTTTTTTGTTTTTTGGTTTTTTTTTTTTTTTTTTTTGAGACAGAGTCTCACTCTGTCGCCAGGTTGGAGTACAGTGGCATGATCTCGGCTCACTGCAACCTCCAACTCCCTGGTTCAAGTGATTCTCCTGCCTCAGCCTCCTGAGTAGCTGGGATTACAGGCACATGCCACCATGCCCAGCTAATTTTTGTATTTGTAGTAGAGACAGGGTTTCACCATGTTGGCCAGGATGGTCTCGATCTCTTTACCTCGTGATCTACCCACCTTGGCCTCCCGAAGTGCTGGGATTACAGACATGAGCCACTGCGCCCGGCCGACCATCTGTTTTTAACAGTGAAGAAAAGGGTACAGAGACCGAACGTCCTGTGGCCCTTGCTGCCTTGGTCCTGCCTGGAGGGGGCCCGACGCCCAAGTGGTATGTGTGCACCCGAGCTGTGGCCTGGGCTCTGTCTTTTAGGAGGGGCCTGAGGCCTGAGTGGTGTCTGTGCACACGAGCCGTGGTCCAGGCTGCATCTCTCAGCACAACTGTCTTCAAGCGTCTTCTCCACCTTGACCCTGCCACCTAGCCCACGGGCTCATGCGTGGACAGGTGCGTGGCCTCCTTAACCCAGCCCGCAGACCTCCCCGCTGCTGTGGTACTTCTACTCAGCCCTGCCCCGCGGCCTGGGCTGCAGCCTGCTCTTCATCCCCCTGGGCTTGGTAGACAGAAGGACGCACGCGCCGACGGTGCTGGCACTGGGCTTCATGGCACTCTACTCCCTCCTGCCACACAAGGAGCTACGCTTCATCATCTATGCCTTCCCCATGCTCAACATCACGGCTGCCAGAGGCTGCTCCTACCTGTGAGTGCTCTTTTTGTGACATGCATTTTTATAGTTTCATTGGAAACAGGTTCACTGATTTACTGTTGGGGGGATGTATGTGTGTGTTTAATTTTTGAAACAGGGTCTTGCTCTGTCGCCCAGCTGGAGTGGGGCTTACTGCACCCCTCAACTCCTAGGGGGTTAAGCCATCCTCCTGCCTCCTCCTCTGGAAGTGCTGGGATTGCAGGTGTGAGCCACCAGGGCTGTTTTTTAAGATAAACACAGGGTGTGTTGAACTAGGCGCTTATGTCAAAGGAGGGTGACCCCAGTCCTCTCTCCTCCCTGAGGGCTGCATGGGATGGGACCGGCCTGGCATTGTGCTGACAGAGGGCTTTGCTCAGGTGGTCTCTGTCTTGGGTTAATTTGGTGACTGGTCCACATATGGTGATGCACCAGCGGTCCCAGTCTCTGTCATGGGAGAGTGACACTCACATAGGTAGCAGCGGCAGAGGGCAGGGGCAGCCAGGCCTGGGAGGCTCTGAGGGCGACAGGTCAGGTAGAGGAAGGGCGTTCGTGGCCATCCTGACAGGGCCTCGGGCTTGAGGGCGTTTGTCAAGGCGGGTCATCTGGCTGGAAGAGGGGGATGGTGAGGGAGGTGCCTATGGCTGGGTGCAGAGGGCCCAGCGTGGCCCAGGCTCAAGGTCCTGTGGAGGGCAGGGGGCTTCCTGCGGGGAGGGACTGCAGGCAGCAGGTGATGGAGGTGGAGCTGGGGGCCTGGCAGGGCCTGGGGAGGGCACTGCCTGGGCTGAGGGTGGGGTGGTCTGAGCGCGGCTGCCACTCAGTGTTGCAAGCCTCAGGGAGCCAGGAGAGTCCATCACTGCCGGGCCCTGTGGGTGCTGGGGAAGGACCCGGGGCTCAGGCCCAGGAGAGTCCATCACTGCTGGCCCTGTGGGTGCTGCGGAAGAACCCAGGGCTGAGGCTGGCCAGCTCTGTGCCCGTTCAGAGTTTGCTGCCTTGATGGGAACAGGAGGCCAACTCAGGCCACGCTGGGCATTGAGGGGCGGCAGGGCTACAGGCCAGGAGGGCCGCGGCCTGGGGCATTGAGAGGTGCCCACTCTGGCTGGAGAGGAAGCCCCACAATGCGGTCCCTGATCTCAGGCAGCGGTCAGGTGCTTTCCGGTGCCACTTGTTACAGGGGAGGGGATGGTGCCCCCCAGCTCCGACTGCCCCGCACTGCCCTCGGGCCTGGGAGCTCCTCTGGCTGCCGTGACTGTTCCTCGCTGGGGGTTCCTCCGGCTGCCGTGGCCGTGCCTGGGTTGGGGGCTCCTCTGGCTGCTGTAGCCGCGCCTCAGTGGGGGCTCCTGGGAGCTCTGCCTCTGCTTTTCTGTGCCTTTGGCTCCCTCTCGTCTCAGGGGTCGGCTCAGGGCTGGAGGAGGAGCAGACCCCAGCCAGAGTCATGGAAAAGAGGGTAGGAAAGACGGGGAGAGCGGCGCGGATGGATTGTATTCGGTGACAGGCTTTTCCAGCAGGGAAGAAGATCCAGTGGGAACTGGACCCAGCTCTGTGTCTTTGAGGCCTGGTGTGCTGGGCGTGAGGGGCTGCTCCATGCAAGGGCCCCTGCTGTGCCAGTCGGCCTTATCCGGAGGAGGACAAACTTGGGGAGTCCAAATGAGGGGGTGCAGGGTAGAGCAAGGCCCCCTCCGAAGTCAGGTCCTCAGCCCGGCCACCCTGGGAGCAAGAGCAGGCCGTTTCCCACGGTGTCAGGGCCCAGGGCCTTGAGACAGTCCTGGGGGTGGAAGGTTTCTGATTGCGAGCTTTCCACAGTGACTGCCCACTCCAGGTTTGGGCGGGAACAAAGGACGAACGCCCTGGCAGTGCTGAGCTCTTTGGGGCAGGCACTTAGGAGGCTGCGGTCATCCTAGGTGGGGCCTCGAGCTCAGAAACCGCACCAGAGATTGTTCAAGGGTGCACTAGTCTGCTCTCGCACTGATGTAAAGAAACACCTGAGACTGGATAATTTATAAAGAGGAGGCTTCATTGGCTCGCGGTTCCGCAGGCTGTACGGGAAGCGTGGTACTGGTGTCTGCTCAGCTTCCAGGCTGGCCTGGGAAAACTTTCCATTATGGCGGAAGGCGAGAGGGAAGCGGGCACGCTTTTATGTGGCCAAAGCAGGACGAAGAGGGACGGGGGAGGTGTCACCCATTTTCAAACAAGCAGACCTCTCGAGAACTCACTCGGTATGAGGAGAACAGCATGGAGGGGATGGCGCTAATCCATTCCTGAGGGCTCCACCTCCATGACCCAGTCACCTCCCACCAGGCCCCACCTCCAGCATTGGGGATCACAGTTGGACATGAGATTTGGTGGGGACGCAGATCCAAACCATAGCAAAGGGCAGGGCCTGTGGAGAAGAGGGCTCCGAGGAGCCTGGTGGGTTTGGAAGAGAGTGAGTCTTGATCGGGGGTTCAGGGCGTTTAGACCAGGGTTGGCAAGCTTTTCCGTTAAGGACCAGCTAATAAAGAGCCTCATCTTCGTGGGCCACACTGTCTGTGGCAGCTGCTAACTCTGCCGTAGGATCCTGAGATTGGCATAGTCGATTGTGAGAGAACCGGCGGCACCCTGTCCCAGAGAGTTCACTCAGACCTGCTGGGAGTGGGCTTGGCCGCGCGGGTGGCACTCTGACCTACACAGTCACTTGGGATTGTTTGAAAATATATTTTTAGGCTGGGCGCAGTGGCTCATGCCTGTAATCTCAGCACTTTGGGAGGCTGAGGCGGGCAGATCACGAGGTCAGGAGTTCAAGACTAGCCTGGCCAACATAGTGAAAGCCTGTCTCTACTAAAAATACAGAAATTAGATGGGCATGGTGGCGTGCACCTGTAGTCCCAGCTACTTGGGAGGCTGAGGCAGGAGAATCACTTGAACCCAGGAGGCGGAGGTTGCAGTGAGCCGAGATCATGGCACTGCACTCCAGCCTGGGTGACACAGCGAGACTCTGTCTCAAAAATATATATATATTTTAAAATCTCATCTAAATTTTAAATTGGCATCTTGGGTAGAATTTCACAGACAATTCTTGAGGCAGTATCTTAACCACTTTTACGGGTTACTGACTCTGTTTTATTTGGTGGTGAACTCTTTGTTATGACTTGGTGAAGTTGAACAGCAGGTTATGCTCCTAGTATGTTTTGTAGGTAGATTAATTTTATTGTCATTACGTTCTGCCTATGATGTGTAACCATTCTTTTTTCAGGCTGAATAACTATAAAAAGTCTTGGCTGTACAAAGCGGGGTCTCTGCTTGTGATCGGACACCTCGTGGTGAATGCCGCCTACTCAGCCACGGCCCTGTATGTGTCCCATTTCAACTACCCAGGTGGCGTCGCAATGCAGAGGCTGCACCAGCTGGTGCCCCCCCAGACAGGTGGGTGCTGGGGGCACTGCCTGGGGACTGCTGTGGCTCCGACTGCAGGGCTGGGCTCTGACGGCAGGCCTGGTTTTCCTAGACGTCCTTCTGCACATTGACGTGGCAGCCGCCCAGACAGGTGTGTCTCGGTTTCTCCAAGTCAACAGCGCCTGGAGGTAGGATCCACACACAGCACGGCCCTCCCAGAGGCCATGTGAGGGCCCCTTGGGGGCGGGGGACAGGGCGATGTGGGGGCCCTGGGCAGGACCACCAGCTCTCATCCCACAGGTACGACAAGAGGGAGGATGTGCAGCCGGGGACAGGCATGCTGGCATACACACACATCCTCATGGAGGCGGCCCCTGGGCTCCTGGCCCTCTACAGGGACACACACCGGGTCCTGGCCAGCGTCGTGGGGACCACAGGTGTGAGTCTGAACCTGACCCAACTGCCCCCCTTCAACGTCCACCTGCAGACAAAGCTGGTGCTTCTGGAGAGGCTCCCCCGGCCGTCCTGAGGGGGACCAGGCAGCCCTCAGCAGCCACAGGCCTTCCAGGAGCTGTTATCACTACCAGTTTCTGGCACAATTCCAGCACAATTATGACAATTCAGAGAAGCAAGTCAAAGGACTGGGCACCTGCCTCTGACAGACACCAGACCAGGTCCAGGGCCTCCTCCACAGCCTCAGCTGGGGCTCTCAGCACCAAAGAACGAGGGGCCCAGGTCTTGTTGGCACCCCGGGAGCCACTGCCCAGGGTGATGGTGGCCAGCTCAGGGCTTCCTGCGGGTGACTGTCGCCCAGACCAGGTGCCATTCATGACTAATCAGGAGCAGCGGGCTCACCCAGGCACCTGTCTGCCAGGAGGCCACGTGTGTCCTGCCCACCCAGGGGGAGCTGTATTTTGGCAGCACCCCACGCTTGCTGCCCGAGGGCCTCTTGGGGCACCTAAGACAGCACCCCCTCTCAGGGGAGACCATGGTGGCCCCGGCCGCACCCCCCCACCCTGGTGCCACCACTGCAACTTTTGTATTCACAGGCATCCCATCTCCATCACAGATAAAATCTTAGGAGATAAACACATTCAAAAAGGAATGAGATAAAAAGAATAAGGCAATAAATGTTGATTGGAACCTCTCAAGATTACAGAAAATAATGAGAATGAAATTTTAAAAATGTTTCCTATGTGATAGCTTATCACAGGTGACTATTCCAGGTGTTATGGTAAAGGGACAGCTTGGTGCTGTCAGCCTCACTGACCATGCATTTATAAAGCACCAAAGTGCGTGTGATGCTGCTGGGCACTGGAGATGGGACCAGGTGCTGCTGCACACGTATGCACACACCATGCATACATGCACACACACCACACACGCATGCACACAGTGCACACGTGCACACACCATGCATACACACCACACACCGTGCACACGTGCACACACCATGCATACACACCACACACAGTGCACACGTGCACATTACCATGCATCCACACACAGTGCACACGTGCACACACTATGCATACACAGTGCACACGTGCACACACCATGCATACACACCACACACCGTGCACACGTGCACACACCATGCATACACACCACACACAGTGCACACGTGCACATTACCATGCATCCACACACAGTGCACACGTGCACACACTATGCATACACAGTGCACACGTGCACACACCATGCATACACACCACACAGTGCACACGTGCACATTACCATGCATACACAGTGCACACGTGCACACACCATGCATACACACCACACACAGTGCACACGTGCACATTACCATGCATACACACAGTGCACGCGTGCACATTACCATGCATACACAGTGCACATGTGCACACACCATGCATACACACCACACAGTGCACACGTGCACACACCATGCATACACAGTGCACACGTGCACACACCATGCATACACAGTGCACATGTGCACACACCATGCATACACACCACACACCGTGCACACGTGCACACACCATGCATACACACCACACACAGTGCACACGTGCACATTACCATGCATCCACACACAGTGCACACGTGCACACTATGCATACAGTGCACACATGCACACACCATGCATACACAGTGCACACGTGCACACACCATGCATACACACCACACAGTGCACATGTGCACACACCATGCATACACACCACACACAGTGCACACGTGCACACACCATGCATACACACCACACACAGTGCACACGTGCACATTACCATGCATACACAGTGCACACGTGCACACACCATGCATGCACACCACACACAGTGCACACGTGTACGTTACCATGCATACACACAGTGCACGCGTGCACATTACCATGCATACACAGTGCACACGTGCACACACCATGCATACACACCACACACAGTGCACACGTGCACATTACCGTGCATACACACAGTGCATGCGTGCACATTACCATGCATACACACAGTGCACACGTGCACACACCATGAATACACACCACACACAGTGCACACGTGCACACACCATGCATACACACAGTGCACACGTGCACACACCATGCATACATACCACACACAGTGCACACGTGCACATTACCATGCATACACCACGCATGCACAATGCACGTGCACACCATGCATACACACCACACATGCATCCACACACAATGCACAGATGCGCACACCATGCATACACACCATACATGCATGATCACACGTGCACACACCATACATACCCACCACGCATGCACACACACAATGCACAGGTGCACACACCATGCATACACACCACACAATGCAATCGTGCACACACAATGCACACGTGCACACACCATGCATACACACCACACAATGCAATCATGCACACAATGCACACGTGCACACACCATGCATACATACCACACATGCACACACGTGTGCATAAAGACATGATTTCTTCCTGTGCTCTTTGAGAGCTTGTGGCTGTTGCCCAGGTGCCCTGGGGCTGCCTCTCCACCTGATGCCTCCTGGTTTTCCCATTGCGTCTGGCGAACATCTGTGCAGACACTTCCTGACTCCCACAGAGGCCAGATGGTGAGGGCTGGAGAGCAGGCTTCCTGGCCCCAGCATCCCACAGACATGGGCTCCCTCCCCCATCCATCCACCTGTGTGTCTCAGGTATTCACTGGTTATCCACGCTCGTTTGTTCTCTTTTATCGCTGGCCACATGTGGATTGCCTCCCGACTTCAGTGGTCTGTGAGTCACTCCTGTCTTTAATTATCCTGGTGTTCAAAGTGTACGAGATTTGCTGGCGGGAACCCTGCCATGCTCTGCCTGTGTGCCGTGCCTCTCCTTCGAGCACCTCCTCATGACCAGGCATGGCAGGGCGTCCTCTTGGGCCTCTGGCCTCGGCCATTGCTCTGTGGGTCTTGGCTCCCTTTGGTGGGGAACAGCGTTAGAGACCGGGATCTAGACACGAGGTGTGCTCGATGCCACGGGGTGCCTGAGCTTTAGGCCCTTTCTGTGGACAGGCTAGGGAGGACAGGCATGCTGCGTGCAGTTGCACACGTACATATGTAATATGTGTGTACAGATCTGAAACAGCACAGAACCGTGCCTGGATTCCGTCCCACCTTGCACGGTTCTCCCCCACCCCCCATCTCCACCCTGAGGACCCTGGCCCCCAGCAACAGCAGCATCCTCACGCATCTGCTAGGGAGTCCAGTGCACGCCTGCTCGAGAGCTCCAGTGCAGCTTTGCCACAGGATTGCAAAAACAAACCCACCATGAAGAGGTCGGGATTGTGTGCAGTTCACTCCCTGCCCACAACTGCGGGTGCCGTCAAGCACTGTGCTCATGAGTTCCTTGGGTCGGCTTCTCCACCGTCAGTGTAGTGGTGCCTTCGTTGGAAATACAGCTGGGTTCATCCTTCCCGTTTGCTTTCAGTCTTGTGCCTCCCACCATACCCCACACCCCCATCCTGTTAGGTTTGTAGAGTGTGACCATCCTTCTAGATGTCAAAACTGCCCCTGAAGACAGATGCAGGGAGCCACTCCCTCCTGTACCTCCTCCTCGCTTTTTGGTAATGAGCATAATTGTCTCCTGGTTTATCTCCCATGTGTTTAATTTTGTAAAGATAAACATTACACATATATTCCCCTCTTTCCTAGACGGAGCATTCTTTGTAGGCTCTTTTGCACTTTGGCTTGTTTTGTTTTAGAGACAGGGTCTTGCTCTGTCACCCAAGCTGGAGTACAGTGTTGCAAACATAGCTCACTGTAGCCTCCATCTCCTGGGCTTAAGCCTTCCTCCCACCTCAGCCTCCCAAGTAGCTGGGACTACAGGTGTGTGCCACCAAGCCCAGCTAATTTTTAAAAAATTTTTCTTGAAGAGATGGGGTCTCGCTGTGTTGCCCAGGATGGTCTTGAACTCCAGGCTTCAAGCAATCCTCCTGCCTTGGCCTCCTAAAGTGCTGGGATGACAGGTGTGAGCTTCCAGCCACCGTTTTTTTCACCTAACACTCTCTCCTGGAAACCATGGTGTCGATGCAAGGATTTCTCACTGGCTGGCACTCTACCACATGATAAGCCACAGTTTCCTCAGCTGCTGTCCTCTCTGTGGTCAGTTAGGTTATTTCCAATATTTTGTAAATTCAGATAACCCTGCCATGAATAACTGAGTGCGTTTGTACTTTCATATTGTTTGAGGTGTGTCTTCAGGGTGAATTCCTAGGTGTGGTAGTGCTGGGCTGCGGGGTGATTGCACATTGGTTGCATTGGGTATTGCCACGTTCCCTCCACAGGGTGGTCCCATTTTGCAACCCCACAGAGCCGAGCCTTTTTAATTGGCCAGTCTGAGGGGTGAGTGGTGGTTCAGTGTCGTTTCAATCATTTTTTTTTTTTTTTGAGATGGAGTCTCACTTTGTCACCCAGGCTGGAGTGCAGTGGTGCGATCTCGGCTCACTGCAACCTCCGCCTCCCAGGCTCGAGTGATTCTCCTGCCTCAGCCTCCCAAGTAGCTGGGACTACAGGTGCACACCACCATGCCCGGCTAATTTTTTTTGTATTTTTAGTAGAGACAGGGTTTCACCATATTGGCCAGGCTGGTCTCGAACTCCTGACTGAGTGATCCACTCGCCTCGGCCTCCCACCCAAAATGCTGGGACTACAGGTGTGAACCACTGTGCCCGGCCTGCATCATTTTTCTTATGAGTGAAGTTGAATGTCTTTTCATATGCTAATTTTTTGGTATTTTTTGTAGAAATGGGATCTCACTGTGTTGCCTAGGCTAGTCTCAAACTCCTGGGCTCAAGTAATCCGCTTGCCTTGGCCTTCCAAAGTGCTGGAATCGCAGGTGTGAGCCACTGTGCCTGGCTGGGGTTAATTTTTTAACATGGTGTGAGGTACGGATCAATTTTTTTTTTTGTCTATGAATATCCAGTTATTCTAGCCCCATTTGTTGAAAACATTATCCTCAGTGGTGCACGCCTGTAGTTCCAGCTACTAGAGAGGCTGAGGCAGGAGGAACCCTTGAGCCCAGGAGGTTGAGGCTGCAGTGAGCTGTGATTGCACCACTGTGCTCCAGCCTGAGTGATGGAGAGAGACCCCTATCTCTTAAGAAAAGAAAGAGAAAGAAAATACTGTCTTTTCACCACTGAATTGCCTGTGCACTTTTCTCAAAAATCAATTCACTTGGCCGGGTGTGGTGGCTTACACCTGTAATCCCAGCACTTTGGGGAGGCCGAGGCAGTGGATCACCTGAGTTCAGGAGTTCAAGATCAGCCTGGCCAACATGGTGAAACCCCGTCTCTACTAAAAATACAAAAATTAGCCGGGCATGGTGGCGGGCACCTGTAATCCCAGGTACTTGGGAGTCTGAGGCAGGAGAGTCACTTGAACCTGGGAGGCAGAGGTTGCAGTGAGCTGAGATCGTGTCACTGCACTCCAGCCGGGGCGACAAGCAAAACTCCATCTCAAAAAAAAAAAGAAAAAAATCACTCAAGAGAATAAGAAGACAAACCACAAACTGGGAGAAAATATTTGATATTTGTGAAACACATATCTGATAAAGAACTGGGTCAGGTGTGGTGGCTCACGCCTGCGATCCCAGTACTTTGGGAGGCTGAGGAAGGAGGATCGCTTAAGCCTAGGAGTTCTAAAATTAGCCTGGGTGATATAGTGATACTCCGTCCCTACAAAAAACAACAACAAAAAATTTATTCAGGTGTGATGGTGTATGCCTGTAGTCCCAGCTACTTGGGAGGCTGAGGCAGGAGGGATCACTTGAGCCCAGGAGGTCAAGGCTGGGCAACAGAGTGAGACCCTGTCTCACTGGTCTCCAATATATACAAAGTATATATTGAACTGGTATCCAATATATACAAAGAACTCTTAAAACTCATAAATAAGAAAACAATGTGATTGAGGCCGGACGTGGTGGCTCACGCCTGTAATCCTAGCACTATGGGAGGCCAAGACGGGCAGATCACGAGGTCAGGAGGTTGAGACCATCCTGGCTAACATGGTGAAACCACATCTCTACTAAAAAAAATACAAAAAAATTATCCGGGCGTGGTGGTGGGCACCTGTTGTCCCAGCTCCTTGGGAGGCTGAGGCAAGAGAATGGCATGAACCCATGCAGTGAGCCAAGACTGCACCACAGCACGGCAGCCTGGGCGACAGAGCAAGACTCCATCTCAAAAAAAAAAAAAAAAAAAAAAGAAAACATGGGCAAAAGATCTGAATAGACCCCTCACCAAAGAAGATACGCAGATGGCAATTGAGCATATACAAAAATGCTCCTCATTATATGGTCATTAGGGAATTGCAAATTAAAACAAAAATGAGACACCACTACGCACTTGTTAGGATGGCCAAAATCCAAAATGGATAATGCCAAGTGCTGGTGCGGATGTGGAGCAACAGGAACTCATTCATTGCTGGCGTGAATGCAAACCAGTGTAGCTGCTTTGGAAGACAGTTTGGCAGCTTCGTACAGAACTAAGCATACTCTTACCCTGTGATCCAGCAATCAAGCTCCTCAGTATCTACTCAAGGGAGTTGAAAACTTACGTCCACACAAAAGCTCGTACAAGGATATTCATAGCAGGTGTATTCATAATTGCCAAACCTTGAAAACAACCAAGATGCCCTTCAGTAGGTGAATGGATAAACTGTGGCATGTCTGTTATTCAGTGCTAAAAATAAGTGAATGACTAGCCCATAGAAAGACATGAGGGAATCTTAAATGCATATTAGTGAATGAAGCCAGTCTGAAAAGGCTACATACTGTATGAGTCCAACTATTTGATATTTTAGAAAAGGAAAAATTATGGAGACAAAAAAGACCGGGGCTGGCAGGGAGGATAGGATGAGTAGGTGGAGCATTGAGGAATTGTTTTTTTTTTTGACTGGGAATTTTCTTCTGCTTCACTTTAAAAGTGGGCCAGGTGTGGTGGCTCACGCCTGGGATCCCAGCACTTTGGGAGGCCAAGGTAGGTGGATCAGCTGAGGTCAGGAGTTCAAGACCAGCCTGGCAAACATGGCGAAACCCGTCTCTACTAAAAAAAAATATACAAAAATTAGCCAGGCGTGGTGGCAGGCACCTGTAATCCCAGCTACTGGGGAGGCTGAAGCAGGAGGATTGCTTGAACCCGGGAGGCGGAGGTTGCAGTGAGCTGAGATCACGCCATTGTACTCCAGCCTGGGCAACAAACCAAGACTTCATCTCAAAATAAATAAAAAATAATAAAAAAAATTAAGAGGACAAAGTACCAAGGTAAATGTTGACAGGAAAAGAGAAAAGATATTAAGACTTCACTGATGCTGTGAGACTGAGGGTGCTGTGGCAGAGAGACAATGGGCTGGACCACGCCAGAGAGGAGCAGGGGACCAGGACCTGGGCCTGCATAAGGGCTCACATGGCCTTGGGACCATGGACATGGCAGAGGCTGGGGGCAGGTGGCCATGTGGCCTCTCCTCCCTCACCCACCTCAATAGGAGGATACTAGAGAGGTCCCCCAGGACCCACTCCAGCCGAACAAGGTCTGCTGGGATGCTTCTGGAAAAACCTTTATTTCCTGAAGAAAAAGAGCATCTCACGGGGAGAGATTTAGCCACAGACGTTCCTGAGCATGAGGATGACGCCTAGGTGAAAACTGAGGCCCAGGGCCCTGTTGTCAGCACCCCAGAAGTCTCATGCAAGAGACACGTGCATATTTAGAATTATTTTATTGAGCCACACCAGTGGGTTTCCTCTGGTCTGTTAACAGACTGTGCAGGAAGGTGCAGCAACAGTCACTGAAAGGCTGACATGGACATCAGGACCAGCTCACTGGGAAGAGATGGTGGGCGGAGACCCAGCAGGGACACGGGCCCTTCCCTGGGGCACAGTGCTGAGCAGAGGGGCTGCTCACAGGAGACCCAGCATTTGCCCTTCCCAGAACTCAACCAAGACTGCCAAGTGGACTGATGGCTGAGTGAATCTAATCTCATTTAACTGCAGCTGATCAAATATTAAGACTCCTTTAGAGTGACTGGTCCTACTCAATTAAAATCCACTACATTTATAAGTAGAAGGCAATTCTTTAATTGTTTAAAGAAAACCTAGTATTTTAATTAGTAACCTCAATAAACTAAATGTTAATTGTAAAGCCGTAAGTAAACATAAATGGTCTTCCCTCAAGGATACAAACTCTCCTTACAGCACCACTTTTTTTTTTTTTTTATTTTTGAGATGGAGTCTCGCTCTGTTGTCCAGGCTGGAGTGCAATGGTGCGACCTCAGCTCACTGCAACCACTGCCTCCCAGGTTCAAGTGATTCTCCTGCTTCAGCCTCCTGAGTAGCTGGGACCACAGGTGCGCACCACCACACCTGGCTAATTTTTGTATTTTTAGTAGAGCTGGGGTTTCACCACGTTGGCCAGGCTGGTCTCGAACTCCTGACCTCAGGTGATCCACCCACCTCGGCCTCCCAAAGTGCTGGGATCCCAGGTGTGAGCCACCACACCTGGCCCACTTTTAAAATGAAGCAGAATAAAATTCCCTGTCACAAATCCAACCAAAATTACAAAATCCCTACAAAGGACCCTAACGAGAAACGACTAGAATGAAGCGAGTGGATGTTAGAGCAGGAGGATGGGAAGACTTACCCCTGCAAATGCCTCTGCCTCTCAACTCAGAAGCTCCAATGAGAATTTTTATGGTGATAAAATACTGAATACAGCCACAGAGCCCTATAAAATAATGAAGTGGGTTTACTAACATAGAAAGATGGGCTGTAAAGCAATGTGTACAGCATGGTGTCACCTGGGGCTCAGAGCCTCCCCTCTCCCTCCATCAGCCTGTCTGCCCCCAGCGGCAATGCTCCTGCCCCTCCTCCTCCTCCTGGGCTTCACTCCCACATGTGACTCCCTCCAACTCTCCCCTCCCTGCTTCAAGGGTGTCTCCCTCTCTCCTCACTCAGCTGTCCCCCAGGGCAGTGCCTTTGGGGTGGGTGGACGTGAGAGGCCTCTGGCCTCCACACACTGCCCACTGCTACCCTTGCTCAAGGCTGCTCAACCAGGGAGGAGACGGCCGTCCGGCAGGATGGTCACTGGGGCCAGAGGGAGTGGTCAGTCAGGACACATTCTGGAACAACACTCACTTTATTTGCTGCTGAGGCAAGTGTTCAGATCTCTCACTGTGATTGTCTATTTCTCCTCTTAGTTCTTTCTGTTCCAGTCACATTTTGGAGTTGTGTTCTTTGGTGCTTTTATGTTTAGCATTGTTGTGTCATCCCATTAACCTCACCACTTGGTCACTGAGCTGTCCCTCCATCTCTAATGAGTCCTCCTGCCTGAGGCCGTGCTGTCAGATGTGAACAGCTGTAGCAGATGTGTGGGTGGTGCCCTGGCTTCTGGCCTCTCGCATTCACTCTGCATCCTTGGACTCGATATGTGAAGCCTGTGAATGAACATAGCTGGGTTTTGTCTATCCAATCTAACACACTTAATTGGAGTTTGCATTCCACTTACATTTAATATGCTTGCTGACACATTTGGTTTAAAGCTACCATTTGCCTCTGTTTCCTATGTGTCCCATCTGGTTATTTTTCCTTTCTTACCTTCTTTGGGATTAGTGAAAGTAGGTATTAGTCCAGTTTCATCAACATGTTTATTGCTTTTAGCGGTTACCCTAGAGATCACGTCTGATGTCAGAATCTACTTTATTATTTTTTTTGAGATGAAGTCTTGCTCTGTCGCCCAGGCTAGAATGCAGTGGTGCCATCTCGGCTCACTGCAACCTCCGCCTCCTGGGTTCAAGCAATTCTCGTGCCTCAACCTCCCGAGTAGCTGGGATTACAGGCATGCGTCACCAGGCCCAGTTAATTTTTTGTTTTTTCAGTAAAGACGGGGTTTCATCATGTTGGCCAGGCTGGTCTCAAATTCCTGACCTCAGGTGATCCGCCTGCCTTGGCCTCCCAAAGTGCTGGGATTACAGGTGTGAGCCACTGCACCTGGCCCAGAATCTACTTGAAATCCATACTTTCACCCCTTGCAGGATGGTGCAATCCTTTATTTCCCTCCCACCTTTTGTCCTTACTGTCCATGTATCTTAAGTCTACCTGTATTTTGAACTCTAAGAGATAGTTTTAGGCAGTCTATTATTTATTTAGCTTTCCCGTTTCTGCTCCTTTCAGGAGTATTCCTTGTTCCTTCCCACATCAAGTGTCCACCTGGAGAATTCCCTCCAGGATATATTTTAGGGCTGGTTGGCTGGTGACAAGTTTCTGCAATTTTTTGTTTTGTCCAAAAACTTAAGTTCATCCTCACTTTTGAGGAATCTTCTCACTGGGTATATAAATCTAGATTGGTAATTATTTCCTTTCAGCATTTAAAAAAAGCCACTCCACCATTCCAACTATTTGTTTTAGAGAGTCAGCTGCCAGCTTTATTGCTCCTCTGAAGGTAAAAGTGTCTCTCCTCCCTCCCTCTGCTTAAGGTTGTCTCTTTCTCTTTGGGTTTCAGCACTTTGCCATGATGTGCCTAGGTGCAGGTTGTTATTTTCAATTTATCCTCATTGGGGTTCAAAGATATTGACACCTATGGCTGATGTCCCAACAGTTCTGGAAAGTCCTCAGCTGTGATCTCATCCAAATGGCGCTCCACCCCTTCTCTCTCCTCTTCTGGGACTCCCGTCAGCTGTGTGCTAGTCTTTTCTCTTGCGCTGTGTCTCTCAGGCACTTTTCATCTCTCTGTACTTCAAGATGAATGTTTTCTACTGGCTTGTCTTCCAATTCAGTAATCCTTTCATCTATAAGCCTAATTTGGTACTAACTACATCTAGGGAATTCTTCATTCATCGTTGTGTTTTTCAGCATTAGCACGTTTACAGATTCTCTCTGGTGGCATTCTCCACCTTCTCATCCATATTATTGAATGTATAAATCATAAAGTCCGTGTCTGAAAACTCCAGTATTTGGATCACCTGTGAGACTATTTCTATTGTCTTATGATTCTCTTTTCAGTCACTTAGTCCTTTTTTTCAGTGTGTCTCATA
This sequence comes from Homo sapiens, assembly GCF_000001405.40. Taxonomy (NCBI): domain Eukaryota; kingdom Metazoa; phylum Chordata; class Mammalia; order Primates; family Hominidae; genus Homo; species Homo sapiens. The sequence continues at coordinate 49,892,844 of NC_000022.11, read as the reverse complement.
ATTTTTTTATGAGAGTCAAACTGTTTATCTGTAAAGTTATAGGAGCTCTGATGTTTTCATTGAAAGAAAATTTAGTTTTCCTCTAGCAGAAAGGTGAGGCAGATCGCCCTGATGCAATCAAGGCTGAGATGGCTCAAGCCATGTCCAGACTTGGTGAGGGTTGGTCCCTCTCCAGTTTGCCCTTCAGGGGACTCACCTGGAAACCTCAGAGTTTTCTCAATGGCAGGCACTGAAGTCCCAAGTTTTGTCTCCCTTGCCCAAAGATGTCTCAGCTTTCCAGCCTTTTGCTGCTATATTTGGGTTTCCAAGCCTCTTGCCTCAAGCACAAGCAGCAACCAGGAATAGGCACCTGCTGCAGGGGAAGCTGCACACTGGGAATTCGGCCACTTCTCTGAGGCTCCTGGCATCCTGGCCAACATGACAGCTTGTGTGTTGCTGCCGGTCTCCCAGCCCAGTGACACCACGCCAGCTCTGGTTGCCACCTTCTGTCAGGCCTTAGGGCAGGACACCAGCAAATGGCCCAACAGGAAAAAATGTTGTGAACACAGGACTCACCTTTATGCAAGTCTCATCTTACTAGGATTTTGTTTCTTCAAATCCTGGCTGTCTTACTCTCTGATGTCTTCAAAAAGTTTTTTTTTTTTTTTTTTTTTTTTTGAGACAGAGTCTTGCTCTGTCGCCCAGGCTGGAGTGCAGTGGCACGATCTCGGCTTACTGCAACCTCTGCCTCCCAGGTTCACGCCATTCTCCTGCCTCAGCCTCCAGAGTAGCTGGGACTACAGACGCCCACCACCACACCCAGCTAATTTTTTGTATTTTTAGTAGAGACGGGGTTTCACTGTTTTAGCCAGGATGCAAAAAGCTCTTTTTAAAAATATATTTTATATGGCCTTGATAGTTCTTGGGAAAGGTTTGGTCTGATAGCAGTTGCTGCCTCATAGTCAGAAGTGGAAGAGAAGGGAATTTTAGCTTTAAATGAAGTTCAATGTTTTATTATTGCAGGAGTGGTCTTCAAAAAGTTCATGGAAAATGCATATTATGACAAAACTATGCATGCATTTCAAAATTCTTTTGCTCCAAAATAAACTCATACTAACTTGTTAGAACATGCCTGAATAGATCTAGTTTGAGGCAGTAAGAATCAGTTTGAAAAGGGCTCCTAGCAGAACATGAATTCTGCAAAAACTGAAGCAAAAACAAGCATCAAATCTATAGTGAACCTTGGGTGGAAGAATGGTGAAAATCATGATGCTTTACAAAAAGTGTATGAGGACAGTGCCCTAAAGAAGTCAGCAGTATACACATAGATACCTCGTTTTAAGAAGGATCAAGACAACATTGGAGATGAAGACCACAGTGGCAGACCATCCACATCAATTTGCAAGGAAAATATTGATCTTGTTCATGCTCTGATTAAAGAGGACTGACGATTAACAGAACAATAGCCAAGACCACAGACATCTCAACTGGTTCAAAATTGAAGTTGAGCAAGCTTTCCACTCGATGGGTGCCAAAACCGTTGTGCCCAGATCAGCTGCAGACAAGAGCAGAGCTTTCAATGGAAATTTTAAACAAGTGGCATCAAGACCCTGAAGCATTTCCTTGAATTATAACAGGAGATGGAACAGGACTTTACCAGTACCATCCTGAAGACAAACCACAATCAAAGCAATGGCTACCAAGAGGTAGAAGTGGCCTAGTCAAGGCAAATGTGGACAAGTCAAAGTAAGGTCATGGCAACAGTTTCTTGGGATGCTCAATGCATTTTGCTTGTTGACTTTCTGGAGGGCCAAAGAACATTTTTTTTTTTTTTTTGAGATGGAGTCTCGCTCTGTCGCCCAGGCTGGAGTGCAGTGGCACAATCTCAGCTAGCTGCAAGCTCTGCCTCCCAGGTTCACGCCATTCTCCTGCCTCAGCCTTCCGAGTAGCTGGAGTAGCTGGGACTAGAGGTGCCTGCCACCACGCCCAGCTAATTTTTTGTATTTTTAGTGGAGACGGGACGGGGTTTCACCATGTTAGCCAGGATGGTCTCGATTTCCTGACCTCGTGATCTGCCCACCTCAGCCTCCCAAAGTGCTGGGATTACAGGCGTGAGCCACCGCATCTGGCCACAATAACATCTTATTATGAGAGTGTTTTGAGAAAGTTAGCCGAAGCTTTAGCAAAAACACACCCAGGAAAGCCTCATCAGTGTCTTTCTCCACGATGACAATGCTCCTGGCTCATTCTTCTCATCAAATAAGGGCAATTCTTCAAGAGTTTTGTTGGGAAATCATTAGGCATCCACCTTACAGTCCCGATTTTGCTCCTTCTGACTTTGTTTCCTCATTTTAAAAAATCTTTAAAAGCACTCATTTTTTCTTCCGTTAATAATGTTAAAAAGGCTGCACTGACATGGTTAAATTCCCAGAGCCTGCAATTCTTTAGAGGTGGACTAAATGGCTGGTGTCACAGCTTACAAAAGTATCTTGATCTTGATGGAGCTTACATTGAGAAATAAAAATGTTGTTTTGTTGTTGTCATTGTTGGTGGTTTTAAGAGAGAGGATCTTGCTCTGTTGTCCAGGCTAGAGTGCAGTGGTGTGATCACAGCTCACTGCAACCTCAAACTCCTGGGCTCAAGTAATCCTCCTCCCTCTGCCTCCCAAGTAGCTGGGACTACAGGCATGCACTACCAAACCTGGCTAATTTCTTGAACTCCTGGCCTCAAGCAGTCCTCCCACCTCAGCCTCCCAAAGTACTGGGATTACAAACATAAGCCACTGTGCCCAGCCAAGAAATAAAGTTTTTATTTTTTTATCATCTTTTACTTCAGTATTTCCACAAATTTTTTAAAGTCCCTTCGTATAATGACTGGTAATTTCATTCACTGAAGAGACAGTTCTGAGGCTCATACAAAGAGCTTTTTATTATCTGAGACAGACCTGAGAAATTAAGGAACCTGCCTAAAACATCATTTCCAGGCAGGGAAACAAACAGCTCGCAGCTGGGGTTCTGAACGGAGAGGCAAGGTGGGAATGGCTAAGAATCAACATATTTTCTAGTTGCACCCACAGTCCCCTCATTCAAGTAGTGAGAGTCGTGTGACTGTCAGCACTGGGCCTCTTGTCCATCTTCCTGCAGGACTGTCAGCAACTGGAGGGCAGAGACGGTTTGACCATTGAGTGCCGGTTTCAACAAATGTCCACCAACGAAATGAAGGGAATGTATGAGATAAAATGACTCTCCTAGTGTCATTCAGGAAGGGCCATATTTTCTGTTGAGTAAAGCAAGCCCTCATTTTTTTCTGCAATCCCCTTTTATACACTGACTGTTACTCAGAACACTTCAACTAAAAATACAGCAGCATGAAGCTGAAAGCTTAAAAAAACAAACAAAAAAAACCCCATAAAGGCAGGCTAGCTCAAGGGCCAGCAAACTTGCTATTCTGGAAAGGGCCAAACAGTGAGTATTTTCAGCCCTGTTTGTCCCTTTCAGTGGGCCTGTGGTCTCTGTCACAACTATTCAGTTCTCCCGTCGCAGCCTGAAAGTAGCCAAGACACCATGTTAAAAAAACAGCTGTGACTGTATTCCAAGAAAATTTCACTTAGAAAAATGGGCAGAGTGCCGGACTGGGTCTGTGGTTGCAGCTTGCCAATCGTGGACTAGACTATATGCTCTGTGAGACTAGAGACTGTGTCCACGGAAATCTCTGTTGCATTCCAGGAACTAGCCCAGGCCCTGGAAAAGGGAGGGCACTTCATCTCAGTTGAATGAATGAGTGGATACAATTCTGCTACAGTTAGTTGTGCTGGCTTGTTTTGGAGAGAAAATCCATGAAGCTCAATATCCCAAAATTCTAAGGATATTACCATTCCAAATACAATCTTAAGAAACACAGGACTGCAAGCTGGTCGTGAGCACAGCTAAGCAAGAACTGTGGCTCCCTCCTATCCTGTGCGCAACCCTTTCTACACCAGGATGACACTGGCCAGGGCTGCTGGCGAGGGAGAGATGGGTGGGCCATGGACCCCACCTCCTCTGCAGCCTCACGGGCACTGTCCCTGACCAGCACTCCTGGGCACTCTGGAAGCAGGCTGTTCTCACGGGAACAAGCGCACAGCTACCGGGTAAGAGGACACCAGGAAGAGCGTGCACAGAGGCTGCGGCCAAGGCAACCCCTCAGGGCTGCCCACCGGCTCCTGCATTCTGGCACCACTTGAACACGAGACCTGGAAAGTCATCACCATGGCCATGATCAGAACTGTTGTTGTAAGAATTACATCTCCACTTCCCTGGAGCCCTGTCTGGGGTTAAGGTGAAATTTCAAATGCTGCCCAAGTATGGGCTCTAGATAATGGACCACAAAGAATATGCCTGTTTTCTTATCCTAAAAATAAAAAGCCAGTGTCTGCCAGCACTAGAAAATTGCAAATAAGAAGTTTAATTTCAGAAACTGAGTTCACCATTTATAAATACACTAAAACATAGTCAATGCAAATTTAGATTAAGCGTACGTACAGTATTTCAACAAAACAACTTTTCTAAAAGGTCGTAGGCAAATGAGTGATTAGTCTCACTCAGAATATTTAATTGGTTTAAAATGAGAAAATGAATCTTTTTTTCTCTGAAGACATAACTTTTAAAATCATCTGACAACTGACACTTCACTCTGATGTCCTTGGGATTTGAAAATATCCCAGTGATGGCCGCATCTTCCCTATCATAAAAAAATCTAAACACTAAGGCTATTCTTACAACTGGAATATAACAAGCTTCTTCCCTGTTAATAAGCCATCTCTTCTAAAAAAATTTTACACAAATTTGATCAAACAAGGGGGTCAGTGCACACATTTTGAAAGACAGCTTCAGAGCGTGGAGATGCTGAAGCGGAGGCGTGGGGGTTTCAGCAGGGACCACCTGCCATCAGCGTGTCATTGAACGCACTGGCGAAGTGATGAGCACAGTTACAAAGGGATCACATTTCAGAGGAGCTGATGATAAACAGCTGGGGTATCTCTGAGTTAACTGACCATGTAAAGCCTGAATGCAGAAACCTGAAATGGGAAAGTTCTCAAAATAAGCTCCATGAAACATCTAAGTTTCGTTTCCAAATGCCACGTCTCTGTCGTAGTAAACAGTTACCTTCCAGAATATTATCTGTACTCCGCGGGACACTTTAGAACCTGCGGTTAAAAACTGCTCAGTCAGGATGGCTTGCCCTCCACCTCCTATTTACAGATTTCATTTGATAGCCACAAAAGCTATTCTGTTGCAATTAAAGCAATGCTTCACTAAAATACAGTACCTGATTTGTGGTTTGTACATAATTGAGTAAAAAGCCTACAGAATAAAATGGTTTACATCTTCTTTGTCATTCTAGTAAAACAAATTACTAACCCAAAACTTTAAAAAACTTTACGGTTATGAATTAAAATCTAGTCACCATATTTCATAGTTGACAGGACAAGCTATTTCTAGTGGACGTCTTAATAAAACACCCCGCGAAACTTGGCCTGAAGGAGAAGGGGTAAGGCACGTGGAGACACTGTGGTGAGCTGGAGAGCGGCCCTGAGAGTGCCTGGTCTGATGTCGTACACAGCCGTGGGCAGAGCGGGTCATAGACCTGGTACAGGCTGCTAACGCTGGGGCAGCCACGCCTCTGGCCTAGTGGTGCCGTCGTGAGTTTCAATACTGAAAGTATATTAAGGGAAGATTCACTTTCAAAAAGATAAGTTTTTCAAAATGTTCCATCATGAGCCTGGATTGGCCAAGGCTACCGTTCTCAGTGGGTGTGTTGAACAGCTTTTCTGAAGGGACGATGCTTGGGGGGCAGCCCAAAAATCTGACGGCCAGCGCGGACAGCCCCGGCCAGGACGCCTTCTTCAGGTTCCAGTAGGTGAGCGGGTCACAGCTGTGTTCAAGCACCTCCTCCTCCAGATACGCAAGCACCATGGCTTCAGGCAGCTTTTCTCTTGGGTCTTTCTTCTTCACCTTGGCCACAAGTGACCACAGGTTCTCCTCTGCGGCAGAGTCTTTCGACGGGGAGCCAGCATCACACCTGTGGGAGGCAGCCACGTCCTCTGAGGTAGAATTCATGAGTTCGAGTTCCCTGATTAAATCCTGTTTGTACTGCTCCGCCTCCTCCTCCGTAAACAGGGAGGCCTTGTAGCGAGGATCCAGCAGCGTGGCGAAGACGTACCGCGGGTCGTGGAGGGTGGCAGACAGGCGGCTCACCATGGCCTCCTTCAGAGAGCGCAGCATGGTGTCGATGCCCATCGTCTCCTCGAAGAGCATCTCCACCTTCCTGTTGAGGATGTGTACCATGGGGATGACCTGGCTGAGGGTGGACATCTGCGTGCTCATCTCCCGGCTCGCAGCCTCGAAGGGCTTTAGCGCACGGCACACGGACTGCATGACCTCCCACTGGTCGCAGCTGATCAGCTCTCGGAAGTTACACTCGACGGACATCTCGTTAATGGCCCTTTTCTGCTCAATGAGCCGCTCGAGCATGTGGAAGGAAGTGCTCCACTTGGACGGGACGTCCTGGATGAGGTGATGCTGAGGCAGCGCGTACTCCCTCTGCAGCTCGGCCAGTTTCTCCTTCGCCTTGGGCGACCGGTGCACCCGCTCGCAGATCTTCCGGGCGAGGCTCAGCAGGTTCTGCACCATCCGCTGGCTCTTAATGGCCTCGCTGACGATCAGGTTCACCGTATGGCTGAAGCACTGCACGCTCGAGTGCTCCCCCTCGTTCAGCGTCTTCCCGATGCTGGCGTTGTCGGTGACGGTGATGCCCACCTGAAGGCCGGTGGAGGTCACCCACGCTTCCCACCAGCACTCCAGCTGCTTCTGAATGCTGTTGCCACTGTAGTCGCAGTCCACCTGCGACACGTCCAACAGCGCCGAGCAGTGGTGGTCGTCACAGCGCGGCCGGGCTGGCGACTCGAAGGAAACCCAGTGGGCCGTGAGGGTCAGGTACTCACGGGTCTGGTTACTCATCCATATTCCAGACGTGAAGTGGATCACACCACTCTCAGCTTCCTTAAGGTGGGACATAATTATCTGCTTCACATTATCATACATACCTGGGATAGCTGTCCTGGAGAAGTAGGAAGGGGCGGGGAGGGAGTACTGAGGTTTCAAGTATTCAAGCAGCCTGTTAAAGCCAACGTTGTCTACAAAAGAATATGGCTGGAGGTCAAGTGCAATCATTTCAGCTATGAGACTTGTGATTTTTTTGGCAACTGGGTGAGAATCGTAAAACTTCTCATTGGTGTCATCAAAAGAGGAAGCGCCTGATAATTCTGTGCCCCGCGGCACCCGGGTGTCCGGAGAGGAGGGCCGAGCCGTCTCCGAGACCTCAGTTTTCAGCACGTTGCTATGGAACCGCTGTAAATGTCTCAGAAGACAGCTGGTACCCAAGTTAGTCGGCTTCTTCCCCCGGCTGATGGTCCGGCCACAGTGCAAGCACACGACTTTTGTGGAGTCTGCGGAGCAAATAGAAAAATGATTCCACAGCTTCGAGGTCTTTTTGCTATTAACAGGAAACATAACTTGATTGTTTTTTGTGACCACTGTTGGCAAGTCAGTCAATTTGGAAGAGGAACTTTCTGCAGAGGCCAAAGTGGCATACGGAGAGTTTGCCAGACTTGCACCCAGGAAGCCCTTCTGGCTCCCGACAACTTCTGGATGGCGCCGGTAGAGATGTCTCATCAGGCAGCTGGTGCCCACATCACCCTTCTTCCCCCGGCTGATGGCACAGCCGCAGTACCGACACTCGGCCTTGAGGCTGTCCATGGGGGCCAGGGAGAAGTGATGCCAGACCTCCGACTTCAGTCTTTTCATGACCTTTTTATTCTGCTGGAAGATGGCGCCAGATTCAAACAATCTAGGACTCAGCCCATCAGCCTGCTGCTTCTCAGGAGAGGACGCCGAGGCCTCCCCTATGTCATCGGAAGATGAGAAGGCCGCCACGTCTTCCATCAGCCCATCTCCAGGGTTCAAGTGAGACTGCAAGTCCTCAGTCAGCCTGTCAGGGGAGGAGGAGGCCGAAGGGGACTCTCTGACCGGCTTTACTGGAGACGAGGACACAGAGCTGAGCTCCCCCTCCGGCGGCAGCAAGGAAGGCAGCAGAGTGGGAGGGGTGGAGTACAGTGGCGGGATGCCCGTGCCCCCGTTCTCCTGCAACACGATGGCGCGGTGTGCCCTCCACATGTGCCTGATGAGGCAGCTCGTGCCCAGGTCCTTCCCATTCTTCCCCCGGCTGAACTCGTTCATGCAGTGAATGCAGACAGCTTTGGAGTTGTCCAGTGGCGACAGGTAGAAGTGCTTCCAGACAGCGGACCTTCTCCTGGACCCAGAGGTGCTCTTTGGAAGTGGAAGGCTCTTCTCCGCTAAGTTCTCTGCAGGTTCATCGTAATGGAGAGCAGGGAGGTGGGGAGACGACCCCACCAGGGCTTCTTCTCTGCCGCACTTCTCCGAAACGGACATGTCAGAGGAGATTTCTTCAGAAGAAACTACAGACACAGACTCCTCTGTTATTCGATCGGGGGACGGGATCTTAGACGCCACTTTCTGGACAAGTTTGATGGGTGAGAGGATGGTGCTGAGGTCACCCGCGTCCGCAGGCTGTGGTGGAAGCAGGAGTGAGGGAGAGGGGAACGAGGACACGGCAGACACACTGCCATTTTCCTGAATGAGCACGGTCGGGTGTGCGCGCCTCACGTGCCTCATGAGACAACTGGTACTCAAGTCTTTCTCGTTTTTGCCTCTGCTGAACTCCTTCACACAGTACATGCATATTGCTTTAGTGCTGTCTCGGGGAGAGATAAAAAAATGCTTCCAGGCTGGAGACTTCTTCCTGGAGCTCATGTTCCGGCTGGAAAGGAGGCTCTGGGTCACGGCCTCCATGGCCACGTCGTATAGGGTGCTGCTGTACTGGGAGAACAGCGCGCCATAGTCATCCTCACTCTCTGCAGACAAGTACTTCCCCGGGGGCTTGCAGCTGCAACCCGTCCCACCGAGGCCCGCTCGCTCCCCACCGCTGTCTGTCTGCTTCATGTCCTCCTGCTCGCTTTTAAAGTCCATTCTTTCCAAACTATCAGGAGGAATTCCATCATCATCTTCCTCTTCTATTTTAAACTTTATTTTATCAGAAACGAAATCACCGTCCTCTTTGGGACAAGTTTTCAAGTTATTCTCCATGACTGACCATAACTACTCCGGCTGTATCTTAGGTTCATAAAACACTGATCCAAGTGCTCATTTGTGCCCCCGAATGTAGATTATCTTCACTTTTTCGTCATAATTCCATCTTTCAGGATGTTTCTAGAAATATGGCTAATCATAAATAGTACTGAAAAAAAGAATCTGTGACTCATGGTCTTACAGCATAGATCACTGCTTTCCAAGAGTCCTGCTACTAAACACTCATGGTGTAGACAACAATGTGTGCAGCAGAGACGTGCTTCTGGTCCTGAGGACAGGATCTGCCTGATCATCTTGAGAGCATACACGTGACCCTTGTGCATTACCTATAAGAGATGAAATCAAATTAAGCATGGAACTAAATCACACATTTTAACCTCTACCGTCATGGCTCCATCCGCCTAAATATGTATAGAAAAAAACTGTATAATGGAAAACTGGAATCGAAAAACTTGTTCTCTGACTTCCTGCAATCCGTTTACAGGATGACAATACCCCCAAATTGCAAAATAAGCAAAAAATAGAGACATGAAAAAAAATGCAAGTGGCCTATTAATAAAGGATTGGGGAACATGAATTAAAACCTAGAATGGTATAAAGAGGTTGCCTCATCTAGAATTTATGCCCTCATCCTTCAAACAGTTCATGAGAGGTACTCACAGCTGCTATAATCAGCAAAGCTGAATTCCTTGAGATCTATTCATCCTTCCTTGCTAGAAGACCTGATACATGAAATACGAATTTGAAAAACTCTAGCTAACGTGTGAAATCATCAACCCAGACGAAAAGCTGAATAGGAAACGGACCACAGTGGCTCCTGCATCTGAGAAGGGAAAGGCGTCCTGTGGGTGAAAACCGCTTCCAGCCCATCCTCCTGTCACCCATTCAATGCCCCGTCCCCAAGTGATGCTGCGCCGTGCTGGAATGCAGCCAAGAGGAGACAGTCACGGGACCTGACAGCCAAGAACCGTGAGATTCCAGCTATGGTAAACGCTGGAAGTGAAGGAACATGGCGTTACAAAGACAGGAGAGAGCAGGGCAAGACGGAGAACAGGGGCAGGAGCTGTAAGGGTGTAACTGAGCCGAAGCTCGGAGGACGATGGAGTCATGTGGGGTAGGAGATGGAGCAGTTTACTAAGGAACTAAAACCAAGTAGCAACAAAAGCATGTTTTCAGTAATATGGCAGCATAAATATTCTATAATAAAACCAGACTCTAGAAAACCTCTAACAAACTTTTTTTGAAGAGACGGAGTTTTACTGTCACTTAGGCTGGAGTGCAGTGGCGTGACCACAGCTCAGTGAAGCCTCGACTTCCCAGGTGTGAGCCCTCCTCCCGACTCAGCCTCCCAAAGTGCTGGAGTTATATGCGCGAGCCAATGCGCCCACCACAAACTTACTTTTTAAAGTATTACTGGGCATGCCAGAAAGTGGGAGAACTCTTCAAGGGACACAGGGAGTGGCAAATGGGCAGGAGAGGTGCGCCATCCCTAGCCTGGTCAGCATGGGTCACCCCCACAGGGAGGAGCTGAACCCGACATTCCTCCACCATGCAGGAACCAAGAACTGAAGTCACCACATCATGTATTTTCTAAACCAGGGCATTTCTGAGAGTGAAAGGGAGCTATTAATAATACTGCTGGGGAAACAGGCTTAAGCCAAACCTATCTGTAGCAAAGCAAGATGTATGGTTGCCCTAAAAAGTGTTCCAAGGTTAATAAAAACTGCTAGCTCCCACCAGAAATAAATGCAGGTTCTTTCTGAAAAGCATTCCCAATAAGTTCTACAAAGTACAGCCAGATAAAAAAGAAAAATAAAAAATTAACACAGGCCAGGCACAGTGGCTCATGCCTGTAACCCTAGTACTTGGGAGGCTGAGGTGGGAGGATCGCTTGAAACCACAAGTTTGAGATCAGCCTGGGCAAAAAAACAAGACCCTGTTCTCTACAAAACAAAAAACAAAACAAACAAACAAAAAATGCCAAGTATGGTGAGCCTGTAGTCCCAAGCTACTCAGGAACTCAGGAGGCTGAGATGGGACGATCACTTGAGGGCAGGAGTTTGAAGACTAGCCTGAATAATAGTGAAACTCTGTCTTTACAAACAAAATTAGCCAGGTGCGGTGGTGCGTGCCTGTATCTCAGCTGCTTGGAAGGCTGAGGAGACATGATGATTTGAACCCAAAAGTTTGAGGCTGTGGTGAGCTATCATTGTGCCACTGCACTCCAGCCTGGCCAACAGTGAGATCCTATCTCAAAAAAACAGCAACTGTATTTCTACAGATGAATTAGAAAATGAAAAACAAATTTTTTTGAGACGGATCACTCTGTCGCCCAGGCTGCAGTGTGCAGCGGCACGATCTCAGTTCACCGCAACCTCCGCTTCCTGGGTTCAAGTGCTTCTCCTGCCTCAGCCTCCCAAGTAGCTGGGATTACAGGCGTGTGCCATGACACCCGGCTAATTCCTTTTGTATTTTTAGTAGAGACGGGGTTTCGCCATGTTGGCCAGGCTGGTCTTGAACTCCTGACCTCACGTGATCCACCTGCCTCAGCCTCCCGAAGTGCTGGGTTTACAGGCCTGAGCCACTGCGCCTGGCCAGAAAATGAAACATTTTTAAATTCCACATATAATGTCCAAAAGCATGCATGAAAGCATGAAATAAGATAAAATTTTTAAAATATGCTTGTTTTAGTATACAGGTACACAAGTATACAGGTCTTAAAAAGAAGACCTGTATACTGAAAGCTGCAAAACACTGCTGAAATTAAAGGCTTTTAAACAAATGGAGAAATATACCAAGTTCATGGATTAGAAAACTCAATGTTGACATCAGTATTTTCCCAAATTGACCTATAAATTCAATATGATCCCAGTCAAAATTCCAAAACGCTTTTTGCAGTAGCTGATAAACAGAAGTCTAAAATTGATATGGGAATACAAAGAATCAGGAATAAATAAAATTATTTTGGAAAGAAAGAACAAAGCTGGACTCACAGTCACTTCCACTTCTAGCCATGATGAACAAAACAAAGGAAACCAGGTTGACCTCAGACAACTCATAAGCCAGACGCCGTGCACGAAACGACGTTTTCAGACGCTGAGAGAGAAGAGAAAGCACAGGACAGTGATCACAGAAGTGTGAAAGCTAAAGAGGGAGCCCCACCTGCCCTCGCTCACGGCGGGGCTTCCAGGCTTCCAGGCTGCGGGGCGGGGAGTCGGAACTTGGCAGAGCCCGGTGGTCTCGAGCATGTCCCGAGCGCGGGAGAGGAGGGAGCTACGCAGACCTGCGGAGGTTCCTCGTGTCTTTGGCTGAATACTGATCTGCATCTGCATTTGAGGAAACCACCCTCAGAGAACCAAAGGGGAAAAGAACTGCCAGGGCTCCCTGGAGGCTGGGAACAGCTTGTGTTTCCACCACCAAGAGTGAACAGCAAGCAGGGTCAGAAGGGTCCGGACTGAACAGTGGGCTTCACAACAACGGCCGCTCTTTTAAGCCGTGTTAGGAGCCACCCGAACACAGCTTAAACGCCAGCCTCAAGAGGAGGAAACGGTCTATGATTAACTTTACTACAACCTAAAACAAGTCTCAACAGCATTTAAAGGAATATAACAAAATCCTGCACCCAATAAAGTAAAATACAAAATGGCTGACAAAAACAACCAGACCTGCGATGAAGCGGGAGAAAACCACCTCTGACCAGGAGAAAAACCAACCAATAGAAACAGGCCCAGACACTGACCAGGAGAAAAACCAACCAATAGAAACAGGCCCAGACACTGACCAGGAGAAAAACCAACCAATAGAAACAGGCCCAGACACTGACCAGGAGAAAAACCAACCAATAGAAACACGCCCAGACACTGACCAGGAGAAAAACCAACCAATAGAAACACGCCCAGACACTGACCAGGAGAAAAACCAACCAATAGAAACAGGCCCAGACACTGACCAGGAGAAAAACCAACCAATAGAAACACGCCCAGACACTGACCAGGAGAAAAACCAACCAATAGAAACACGCCCAGACACTGACCAGGAGAAAAACCAACCAATAGAAACACGCCCAGACACTGACCAGGAGAAAAACCAACCAATAAAAACAGGCCCGGACATAAGACAAATAATAAAATTAGTGGACAAGGACATGAAAACAGCTATTGTAAGAGCGGATATAGTGGTGTGTGCCTGGGCAACATGGCAAAACATCGTCTCTGCAAAAAAATACAAAAATTAGGCTGGGTTTGGTGGCTCACACCTGTAATCGCAGCACTTCGGGAGGATGAGGCAGACGGATCAACCGAGCTCAGGAGGTTGAGACCAGCTTGGCCAATATGGCGAAACCTGGTCTCTACTAAAAATACAAAAAAATTAGCGCGGCGTGGTGGCGCGTGCCTGTAATCCCAGCTACTCGGGAGGCTGAGGCAGGAGAATCGCTTGAACCCGGGAGGCGCAAGTTACAGTGAGCCGAGATTGCGCCACTTCACTCCTGTTTTTTTTTGTTTTTTGTTTTTTTTTTGAGATGGAGTCCCACTCTGTGGCCAGGGTAGAGTGCAGTGGCGCGATCTCGGCTCACTGCAACCTCCACCTCCCCAGTTCAAGTGATTCTCCTGCCTCAGCCTCCTGAGTAACTGGGACTACAGGCACGCGCCACCACACCCGGCTAATTTTTTTGTATTTTTAGTAGAGACGGGGTTTCACCATGTTGGCCACGATGGTCTCTATCTCTTGACCTCGTGATCTGCCCGCCTCGGCCTCCCAAAGTGTTGGGGTTACATGCATGAGCCACCACGCCTGGCCCACTCCCGGCTCATTTTTTTTATTTTTAGTAGAGACAAGGTTTCAGCATGTTTGCCAGGCTGGTCTCAAACTCCTGACCTCAGGTGATCCACCCACCTCGTCTTCTAATTCTTTTACTAGTGTATTTTGAAGAGCATAAGTTTTTACTTTTGATGAAGTCCACTTCACTCATGTGTTCTTTATGGATTGTGCTTTTGGGCTTGTACCAAAGAAATCTTTGCCTAATTCAAAGACTTTCTTCTGTGTTGTCTTTTAGAAGTTTTAAGTTTTATATTTAGATCTCTGAAGGATTGAAGTTCATTTTTTTGCACATGGATGTCTAACTGTTCCAACACAATCTGTTGAAAGGACAATCCTTTCTCCATGAAGTGCCCATGTAACTTTGTTGAGAATTGGTTGCTCGCATATGTGTGGATCTATTTCTGGATTCTCTATCGCTCCACCAATCTCTTCTTCGGTGTTTATACTGACCACGTAACCCAGCTGTTCCACTCCCAGTTATTATTACTCTTGAGAAATGAAAGCCTATCTCTGTATGAAGACTTTTTTTTTTTTTTTTTTGAGACAGTGTCTCACTCTGTCACCCAGGTTGGAGTGCAGTGGTGCGTTGGCTCACTGTAACCTCCGCCTCCCGGGTTCAAACGATTCTCCTGCCTCAGCCTCCTGAGTAGCTGGAATTACAGGTGCCTGTCACCACGTCTGGCTAATTTTTGTATTTTTAGTAGAGACGGTGTTTCACCACGTTGGCCAGGATTGTCTTGAATTCCTGACCTCAGGTGATCCGCCCATCTCGGCCTCCCAAAGTGCTGGGATTACAGGCATGAGCCACCACGCCTGGCCTCTGTATGAAGACTTACATATAAAATTCACAGCAGCTTTATATGTAGTATCTAAAAACTAGAAGACAAATTGTGATACAGCCCTACAATGGATCATTATGCAGCAATAACAAAAGAATGAATGGATACACGCAACACGGATGAATCTCGAAACAATCCTGCAGAGTGCGGGAGGCCAAAGGGCAGGTCTGTGCTGGCGGGAGGAGGGGCCACGAGGGGCAGAAGACACAGTCAGGAGGGATGTGTGTGTCCATGCCACCTGCAGGATGGGTTTATGGATACACAAGCATGTCCATATGAAGATTCATATGCAAATGTTCACAGCAGCTGTTTAGGCATACTATATGGATATGGATATATATTTATCAGATTATGCACTGTAAATATGTGTTTATTGTATATCAATTATACCCAAATAAAGCTGTTTTTTAGGCCAGGCGTGGTGGCTCACACCTGTAATCCCAGCACTTTGGGAGGCCAAGGTGGGAGGGATCACACGAGGTCAGGAGTTCAAGACCAGCCTGGCCAACATGGTGAAACCCCGTCTCTACTAAAAATACAAAAATTAGCCAGGTGTGGTGGTACATATCTGTAATAATAGCTACTTGGGAGGCTGAGGCAGGAGAATCATTTGAGCCTGGGAGGCGGAGGTTGCAGTGAGCTGAGATCGCACCACTGCACTCCAGCCTGGGCGACAGAGCAAAACTCCATCTCAAAATAAATAAATAAATAAATAAATAAATAAATAAATAAATAAATAAATAATAAAGCTGTTTTTTTGAGACAGACAGGGATTGTCAGAATGAATAAAAAAGCAAGACTTCCTATATGCTGCCTACAAGAAACACGCTTTAAACATAAAGACACAAATAGCTTAATCTTTTTCTCGTTTAGGAAAAAAAATTGCAGCTCACTGCCAGCGTTCATTTACTTTTACATAAACACACTCTTTGAGGCTGAGGTAAATCTGACTGATTTTCAATGTGAAAATAAAACATAAAAACTGTTCTTGGAATTATTTCTAAACAGAACTAACATCAGAGTCATCTGAATCATCAGAATCATCTATTTTGGAAAAATCGGATTCATCAAAGGAATCTTTGGCCAGCAACTGGGAACGATGTTAACACCACGTGTGGGAACGCTGTGTCTTCTGGGATCTGACGTTTTCAGCAACTGAGAATTCCTATATTTTGTAAATGGAAATACCACTACTAAAAACAGAATGCCATAAATAGAACGAGGTCTTTTGTTTCCAAAGTCGATATACTCGAGCAATGCAGAAGTCATCATGAAAACGAGAGATTTCATGGCAAACTTATCTCGGGGTAAACGCTGCAGCTGCAAGCACTGCCGGTGAGTATTCTCAGGGCAAACAGGAAAAGGGCTAAAAACAAATGGATGAAAAAAGGTATACCATGTTAATACAAACCGAGAGAAAGCTGGAGTGGCGACATTAATACCGGGTAAAGATTTAAGAATAACATACTAAATATAACAAACAACATCACAAAATTATAAGGGGGTCAATTCATCCAGAGCGCATTCTCCCAAAGGTGCATATACCTGCAAAGAGACCTTCAAAACCACGAAGCAAAGCTGAGAGAACTAAAGGGAGACAAGGTAAGTCACCATCACGGATGGAGATTTCCACAGAACTATTCAATAAGTAACCAACAGGTACATAAAAATCAGTAAAGACACGGAAGATTCAAACAACACTATTATCCAAGTTGACCTAATGGGCATTTATTGAGCAGTCCAACAACAACGGAATACACATTATTTACAAGTGTACACAAAACCTTCACCAAGACAGACTCTTCTCTGGACAATAAAGCAAACCTCAATACATTTAAAAGAACCAAAATCAAAGAATGGTTTCTGACAAAGGAACTGAATAAAACTTCAGCAATACAATAATATCTGAAAAAATCCAAACTATTTTCAAATAAATAACACTTTTATATTACACGCAGTATCAAAGAAAAAACACACAAAAGTAAAGCAAATTTAATCCCAAAGTAAGCAGCAAGAAAAAAACAATAAAGATGTGAAATCAATGAAATAAAAAAAAAAGAAAAAAAATCAATGAAACCAAACTCTGGTTCTTGGGAAAGAGCAATAAAATTGATAAGCTTCTACAAATATTGATTAGAGAAAAAAATGGAGAAGACAGAATTTACCACTACCAGGAATGAGAGAGGGAGTATCACTACAGATCCTACATATATAAAAGGATAGTAAGGAAACATATAAAAAATTTTATAAAAATAAGTTCTGCAACTCAGATGAAATGGACAAGCTGGGCGGGGTGACTCACGCCTGTAATCCCAGCTCTTTGGGAGGCCAAGACAGGTAGGTCACTTGAGGTCAGTAGATCGAGACCAGCCTGGCCAACATGGTGAAACCCTGTATCTACTAAAAATACAAAAATTAGCCGGGCGTGGTGGTGCGCACCTGTAACCCCAGCTACCTGAGAGGCTGAGGCAGGAGAATCCCTGGAACCCGGGAGGTGGAGGCTGCAGTGAGCCAAGATGGCGCCACTGTACTCCAGCCTGGGTGACAGAGCAAGACTCCGTCTCAAAAAAAAGAAAAAAAAAAAGAAAATAAATTATGCAACTCAGATGAAATGGACAAATTACTTGAAAGACAGAAACTACAAAAACTCAAGAATAAGCTGATTAGCCTTTTATTTACAAATTGAACTTATAGTTGAAAAACCTTCCCACAGAGAAACTCCCAGGCCCAGATGACTTCAGTGGTGAATTCTACCAAACATTAAAGAAAAAAAAAATACAAATTCTTCCAGAAAATAAAGGAAGAAACACCTCCCAATTCTTTATATCAGCAGCATTACCCTGATACCAAAACCAGCAAAGACATTACAATAAAAGAAACAACTTGATACCCTATGAGCACAGAAAAAAAATCCTTAACAAAACTGTAACAAATTAAATTAAACACTATGTATCAAAGATAATACGTCATGATTCATCACAGGAATAAAAGGTTGGTTTAATAGTCAAAAAATTAAAACAGGCCGGGTGCAGTGGCTCACACCTGTAATCCCAACACTTTGGGAGGCCAAGGTGGGCAGATCACCTGAGGTCAGGCATTCAAGACCAGCCTGGCCAACATGGTGAAACCCCGTCTCTATTAAAAATACAAAAATGAGCCGGGCATGGTGGCACGCACCTGTTTTCCCAGCTACTCAGGAGGCTGAGGCAGGAGAATCGCTTGAACCTGGACGGGAGGTCGAGGTGCAGTGAGCTGAGATCGAGCCATTGCCCTCCAGCCTGGCGACAGAGTGAGACTCCGTCTCAAAAAAAAAAAAAAAAAAAAAAAAAAGGCTGGGCATGGTGGTTCACGCCTGTAATCCCAGCACTTCGGGAGGCCAAGGCAGCTGGATCACGAGGTCAGGAGATCAAGAGCATCCTGGCCAAACTGGTGAAATCCCATGTCTACTAAAAATACAAAAATGGTGGTGGGCCCCTGTAATCCCAGCTACTTGGGACGCTGAGGCAGGAGAATCGCTTGAACCTGGGAGGCAGAAGTTGCAGTGAGCCGAGATCGCACCACTGCACTCCAGCCTGGGAGATAGAGCAAGACTCCATCTAAAAAAAAAAAAAAAATTAAAACAATACATTAGCAAAAGGAGGAAAACCATATGGGCACGTCATTCGATGTAGAAAAACATTTGCCAACACTTCTACCTCTATTCACAGCAAAAACTCTGCACAAACCAGGAATGGAAGGAAACATCTTCAGCCTTATGAGACGCATCCGGGAAACAGTGCAGCTCCCATCATACTCATCAGTGAAAGAGTGAGTGCTTCCCCTCGGCATATTCTATACAGCACTGGATGGGAGTCTGCCCAGGCAGGAGGCGGCTGTCAGAGAAAATCAGAACTGCCTTGATGGGCAGACGACAGGGCCATCGATGTCATAAAGGTTGTAAGGCCTCTACAAAACAGTACTAGAGCTAAAGAGTAAGAGAGTTCAGAGAGGTCACAGGACTCAAGCTCATTCTTGTTCTCGGCACGGGCCAGCTCCCCGGGAATGTCCTAATTTCAGGCATCTCTCCTCCCTGGTGGCAGCGCCGCCCCATTCCCCAGCCCTTATGTTCTCATTCCAGGATGATCTTGTCCTCCACGCTCCTCGCTCCAACCTACAAGGTGGGCCGTGCATCCCTGTGGGTCGAGAAGAACCCAGCTGTTCTCTCTTCAAAACAGACATCTCATTCTAGGTTGGTCTTGACTCTCTCTGAGCCTTTCTTGGGGCTGCAGGGTGGGGGTGATGAGGTGGGAAGACCCAATACCTCATATCACCTCATATCACCGCACCTCGCTTTACTGCTCTTTGCAGATACTTTTTTTTCCCCCAAATTGGAGGTTTGTGGCAATCCTGCATCAAGCACGTCCATCGGTGCCATTTTCTAACAGCAGGGGCTCTCCACCTGTGTGTCACATTTTGGTAATTCTGGCAATATTTCACACTTTTCCATTATCATGGTATCTGTTATGGTGATCTGTGATCAGTACTCTCTAATGCTACCATCGTAATTAACGTGAGCCACCACAAGCCACACCCATGTCAGACAGTGAACTTAACTGATAAATGTGTGTCCTGACTGCTCCATCAACCAGCAGTTCCCCGTCTCTCTCCCTCTCCTCCAGCCTCCCTCTTCCCTGAGACACACGAGAAATTAGAATTAGGCCGATTAATCCTCTACATGTTCAAGTGAAAGGAAGTATCACGTCTCTCATTTTCAAAAGATAGAAATGATTAAGCTTAGTGATGAAGGCACGTCTAAAGCTGAGAGAGGCCAACGCTAGGACTCTTGTACCAACAGCCAAGACGTGAATGCAAAGGAAAGTTCTTGAAGGAAATCCCTGGCTGTAGTGGCTCATGTCTGTAATCCCAGCACCTTGGGAGGCCAAGGCAGGTGGACTGCATGAGCTCAGGAGTTTGTGACCAGCCTGGGCAACATGGCAAAACCCCAGCTCTACAAAAAATTAAAACATTGGCTGGGCGCGGTAGTTCACGCCTGTAATCCTAGCACTTTGGGAGGCCGAGGCGGGTGGATCACAAGGTCAGGAGATCGAGACCATCCTGGCTAACATGGTGAAACCTGTCTCTACTAAAAATACAAAAAAATTAGCCGGCAGGTGCCTGCGGTCCCAGCTACTCGGGAGGCTGAGGCAGGAGAATTCGCTTGAACCTGGGAGGCAGAGGTTGCAGTGAGCCGCGATCACGTCACTGCACTCCAGCCTGGGCGATGGAGTGAGTCTCCATCTCAGGAAAAAAAAAAAAAAATTTAAAAATTAGCCAGGCTTGGTGGCATACACCTGCAGTCCCAGCTACCTGGCAGGCTGAGACGGGAGGTTCGCTTGAGACCAAGAGGTTGAGACTGCAGTGAGCTGTGATCGTGACACTGCACTTTAGCCTTGGTGACAGAGCAAGACCATATCTCTAAAAACAACAAAAACAAAACCATGTGTGATTCCTGGGACGGGAAAATACCAACATTACCAGGAGAATGGGTTGAAGGAAGTTAATTCTAACCCTCATGGATGACTCTGAGGGGCTCAGACTTCAATGGAGGAAGTGACTGCAGATTTGGTGGAAAGGGCAAAAACTAGAATTATACACAGAACCCAAAGATACGGCGGAATTGCTGTACTCTTAGGATAAAACTTGAGTGAATGAGGAGCTGCTGCTTAGGGATGAGCAAAGAAACTAGTTTGTTGAGATGGAATCTACTCCTGGTGGAGATGCTATGAACACTGTTAAAATGACAATAAAGATTTTGGAATATTCTATAAGCATAATTGATAAAACAACAGCAGGGTTTGAGAGGATTGACTACAATTTTGAAAGAAGTTCTACTGTGGGTAAAATGTACACTATGGAGAACTCTTTCATAGAAGAGTTAATCGATGTAGCAAACTTCATTGTCTTATTTTAAGAAATTGTCAGCCGGGTGCAGTGGCTCACGCCTGTAATCCCAGCACTTTGGTAGGCCGAGGCAGGCGGATCACGAGGTGAAGAGTTCGAGACCAGCCTGGCCAACATGGTGAAACCTCGTCTCTACTAAAAATACAAAAATTAGCTGGGCATGTTGGTGTGCACCTGTAATCCCAGCTACTGAGGCAGGAGAATCGCTTCAACCCAGGAGGTGGAGGTTGTAGTGAGCTGAGATCACACCACTGCACTCCACCCTGGGCGACAGAGTAAGACTCTGTCTCAAAAAAAAAAAAAAATAAATAAATAAATAAATTGTCACAGCCACCCCACCCTTCAGCAATCTGCACTCTGATTGGTCAGCAATCTGCACTCTGATTGGTCAGCAGCCCTGGACACCAAGGCAACATCTCCTCCCAGCTGAGATTATGAGTTGCTGAAGGCTCAGATGACTGTTGGCATTTTCAGCAACAAGCTTTTTAAAAATCAAGGTAGGTACATTGTTTTAGACGTCATGCTATTGCACGCTTACCAGACTACATTATACTGAAAATGTAACTTTTTTTTTATTTTTGAGACAGAGTCTCACTCTGTCGCCCAGGCTGGAGTGCAGTGGCAATATCGGCTCACTGTAAGCTTCGCCTCCCAAGTTCAAGCTTTCTCCTGCCTCAGCCTCCTGAGTAGCTGAGATTACAGGTGCGTGCCACCACACCCAGCTAATTTTGTATTTTTAGTAGTGACGGGGTTTCACCACATTGGCCAGGCTGGTCTCGAACTCCTGACCTCGTGATCCACCTGCCTTGGCCTCCCAAAGTGCTGATGAATTAACTTTTAAAAGAGAATTCTAAGCCAGGCACAGTGACTCACGCCTGTAGTCCTAGCACTTTGGGAGGCTTGAGACCAGCCTGGCCAACAGGGTGAAACCCCATCTCTACTAAAAAAAAATATATTAGCCAGGCATTGTGGTGCACACCTGTAATCCCAGCTGCTTGAGAGGCTGAGGCATGAGAATTGCTTGAACCCTGGAGATGGAGGTTGCAGTTAGCCAAGATTGCACCACTGCACTCCAGCCTGGGTAACAGAGTGAGACTCCATCTCAAAAAAAAAAAAAAATCTATCTTTTAAAAATACTTACTGAAATGTAGCTACGTGAATTATGATTTTGGGTATTTGCTTCAAAATAATTGAGTGGATTGTAACAGAAACAAAAATTGACAACTGGGACCTAACTAAAGAGCCTCTGCATAGCTGAAACTATCACAGAAAAGGAGACCATCGACAGAATAAACAGAAAACCCACTGAATAAGAGAAAATATCTGCAAACTATGCATCTGACAAAGGTCTGAAATCCAGAATCTATAAGAAGCTTAACAAGAAATAAAATAACCCCATTAAAAAGCAAGCAAAGGACATGAACAGATACTTCTCGAAAGGAGACATAAAAGTGGCCAACAGACGTGAAAAAATGCTCGACATCAACAGTCATCAGAGAAGTGCAAATCAAAACCACAACGAGATACCATCTCACACCCGTCACAATGGCTTTTATTAAAAAAAGAAAAAAATAACAGATGCTGGAGAGGCTACAGAGAAAAGGGAAACTCAAGCACTGCTGGCAGGGATGTCAATGAGTTCAGCCACTGCGGAGAGCAGTGTGGAGTCTTCTCAAAGAACTAAAAACAGAGCTACCATTGGACCCAGTGATGCCACTACCAGGTATGTACCCAAAGAAATAAATCATTCTACAAAAAAACCCCATGTACACATGTATGTTCATCACAGCACTATTTACAATAGCAAAGACATGGAATCAACCTACGTGCCTAGCAATGGTGGACTGGATAAGGAAAATGTGGTATATCCACACCATGGAATATTATACAGCCATAAAAAAGAACAAAATCATGTCCCTTGCAGCAACATGCATGCATCTGGAGACCATCATCCTAAGTGAACAAACACAGGAACAGAAAACCGGATACCACATGTTCTCACCTATCAGTGGGAGCTAAGCATGTGGTACACAGGGACATAAAGATGAGAACCACAGGCACTGGGACTGCGAGAGTGAGGAGTGAGGGAGGGAGGAAGGGAGGAGGGGACAAGACTGAAAAACAACCTATTGAGTACCATGCTCACGATCTGGGCGACGATCATTCTTATCCCAAACTCAGCATCACGCAATATACCATGTCGTGAACCTGCACATGTGCCTGATGAATCTAAAATCAAAGTTGAAATTCTTTTTAAAAACAAAACTTTTTAAAAAGTGAGTGGAGGACACAGATGAAATGGGAATGGCTGTGAACTGGTAATTCTGAAGCTGGGGATGCGTGCACAGGGTTTATTATGCTACCCTTTCCACTTTTACGTATATCAGATTATTTCCATGAAAGCTATTTTAAGAAAAAAACCAATGAGATACACTGCTGACTTTTTAAGAGAAACAATGTAAATCAGGAGACAGAGGAATGACATCTTCAAAGCTGTGAAAAATGAGAGCCAAACCAGAATTCAGTAAGCAGTACAAATATTCCCTGAGGAATAAACAGGAACTAAAAAACACCATCAGACAAACCAAACACAGAACGTGTCTCTAAGTGACCCACACTAAAGTCCACGCAAGAGTGTTCTCCAGTCAGAGATGAAATAATCTGGTCTGGAGGACGAGCGCTGCCAAAAAGGCCCGAGGTGGATAACCACCACGCGGGTACGAGGTAGGCAGCCGTGCACTCACTGTTACGGGTGCCTCTGCCTTTAGGCCCTTCCAGCGGAAGCACTAGAACCCATAAACACACACACCAACATGCATGTGTGTACGTGAATCAAAGCCACAACTTCACACTGACACCGCCAACTCTGCCCTGACCCTGAGATCACAAGACCGAGCATCCCCCTTTCCACAACCGTGATTTTTCTTTTTTTTTTTTTTTTGAGACAGTTTTGCTCTTGTTGCCCAGGCTGAAGTGCAATGGCATGATCTCGACTCACCCAACCTCCGCCTCCTGGGTTCAAGTGATTCTCCTGCCTCAGTCTCACAAGCAGCTCGGATTACAGGCATACACCATCACACCCAGCTAATTTTTTTTTTTTTTTTTGTATTTTTAGTAGAGACAGAGTTTCTCCATGTTGGTCAGGCTGGTCTCAAACTCCCAATCTCAGGTGATCCGCCTGCCTTGGCCTCCCAAAGTGCTGGGATTACAGGTGTGAGCCATTGCGCCCGGCCTGCATCCGTGACGTTTCAATCCACCTCTGGGAGGCTGGGCTCCCACCCTCCTGGCAGATTTCCTCATTTGCTCAACCCTACAACACATGCACGAAGTAGCTGCAGAATTACTAACCCAGGCCACCAAGAAAACAAGCCTTCTAGCTGGAGATCACAATTCATTTATAATTTTTATCTTTTTACTTGGAGGTTTATAATCACATCGTGTCCAAGAGTTTCTTGGGTCAGTTTTCATTTTTCTTTTTTGTTGGAAGAGACAGTCTCGCTCTGTTGCCCAGGCTAGAGTGCAGTGGCACAATCTTGGCTCACTGCAACCTCCGCCTCATGAGCTCAAGTAATCCTCCCACCTCAGCCTCCTCAGTAGCTGGGATGACAGGTGTGTGCCACCACCCAGTTAATTTTTTGCATTTTTTGTGGAGATGGGGTTTCACCATGTTGCCCAGGCTGGTGTCGAACTCCTGATCCTGGGTGATCCACCAGCCTCAGCCAGCTTCCTTCCTCAAGTGTAGTTATTTTATTCATTTGAAATATAGTAAGCTCATTTGTTTGCTTGTAACACTGCCTATATTTTATTTTTTAGTTTCCCCAAATCTCTCAATAAAAGGAAAACTAGAACAGTAAAACCACAATCCTCTGATGTTATCAACAACAACAAAAAAGAAGACTGACAAGGTCTTTCCGTTAACCAACAAATGTAAGTGGAAGGGACAAACCATGAATATGGGTAAGTGGGTCCCTGATTTAATGACGGTTCAACCTACGAACCTGCAACTTTACGATGGTGTGAAAGCCACTGGCATTCAGTACAAACTGTACTTTGAATTCTGAATGTTGATCTTTTCCTAGGCTAACAACATACGGTGTGACACTCTTACATGAGATATTCAACACTTTATGACAAAACAGGCTTTGTGTCAGGTGATTCTGCCCAACTGTGGGCTCATGTAAGTGTCTGAGCACATTTGAGGGGGGCTGGACTAAGCTATGATGCTCGGCACATCAGGTGAATTAAATGCATTTTCCACTGAAGATATTTTTAATTGATGATGGATGGGTGTATCAGGATGGAAGCCCCCTTGCAGTCAGTATTACAAGGCCTAGATGGTATTAGATCTGGCAGCTGGAAAAGAAAGATGTCATCAAGCGTGTGATACACCGAGCATCCCCAAGTAGCCAACAGGTATCACTGGACGGCCCACAGAACCAAGCTGCTGAGGTGGGTGACTTTCTGCACATCTGCAAAGCAGAGGAGGGTCAGGGTCCAAGGTCCGATCTGGGGCAAAACAAAACAGCTGACACTTCTTTCTGGGGCAAAAACTCCCATGAAGAGAAGCTGCTGGGCCTACCAGGCCACCCAGAACTAGACAGAAAGTCAGCGAGAACAGAGAAGACTTGAGCAATACCGTCAGCCAACTGACCCAGTGGATGCACCGCAGTGCCTCCCCAACCGCCGCTCCCACCGCCGCCTGGCACACGCTTCTTCAGGGGCCCAGGGAACCTCCCACAGTATAGACCACATGCTGGCCCATAACATACGCGTTGGGCATTTCAAAAGGACTGAAACTATACAAGTCCTCTAAACACAATGGAGTTAAATTATAAAGCAAAAGAAAGAAATCTGGGAAATAAGCAATTATTTGAAAACAAAATACAATTCTAAATAACTCACGGGTGAAAAACAAACCGTGAGGTAAACTGGAAAGTGTTTTCAACTGAACGACAATAAAAATACAACCCACCAAATGGATGAGATGCAGCTGAAGTGGTGGTTAGCAAGAAACTGAAAGCTCTACATACCTGTGTTAGAAAAGATGACCTCCAGTCAATAAAGTACTCACCTAAAAGAAAACACTAGAAAAAACAGCAAACCAAACCAATGCAAGCCAAGGAAGGCAGGTGACCTCCTGAAGGCGCAAGAGGTAAGAACGTGCATTTGCCGAGAGCCACCGTTCAAGAGCCGCCAGCATCTTGATTTAGCCCAGTGAGACCCATCTCAGATTTCAGATTCCTAATTTCCGTTTGTGTGAAGCCACTCGGTTTGTGGTAATTTGTTAAAGCAGCACTAGAAAACTAATATAATAGGCAACAGAAAAGAATTCTGTCACATCTCACAGAAGGGTATGAGAAAAACTAAAGAGCAGAAAAACATCACTGCAGATAACGAAATATGCTCACAGAAAAATGTGACCTCAGATTAAATGAAAACGGTAACTTCCTCTTGCAAAGAAACTAAAGAAATTAAGAAAATGATATAAAGAAACAACATAAATCAGGATAGAAAAATTCTGATGTGAGATTATAGGTCCCACAAAAACACTAAAAATAAAAGTAAAATATGACTTCAAGAATGAAGACCTAAAAAAGAAGAAACAGGAGAACAAACTCCACAGATGACAGCTTAAGATAAATGAAAGGGAAACACAATTTTTTTTAATGAAAAAGAAATGAGGGGATTAAAAAAGACTCAAGAGAAACGGACCAATTTAAAAGACACGTAAAGAAGATCCAACATATGTACAATCAGAACAGCCACCCCAGAAACAGGAGGGGACAGGGCAAGAGAACAGAATACTAAACACTTAAAAACCTTTCCTGAATTAGAAATTGTCAAGCCACATAGTGAAAGGGACTGAGAAAATCCATCCTCAACTAATAACACTAATTTATTTTCTAACAAAATTACTAGACTTAAATCCTTTGGGCTCTCAGGCAAAGTACAAAGTCACTTGGAAAGAAAAAACTGTCATGATTTTGACAGCAATGCTTTATCCTAGAAGACCATAGAATAACATAGTTAAGACATTCAAGGAAAAAAGTGAACTAGCCAGGCACAGTGGCCCACGCGTATAATCAGCATCGGGAGGTGGAGGCGGGAGGGCTGCTTGAAGCTGGGAGTTTGAGACCAGCCTGGGCAATATAGTGAGACCCCCAGCTCTACAAAAAATTAAAGGGAAAAAAAAAAAAAAGAAAATGTGAACCAAGGATTTTATACTAAGCCAAACTGACCTTCGAGCACAATGAATGCAGAAAAACTACTATCAAGATGCAGGAAGTCAAGACATCTTGTTCCATGAGTCCTTCCTGAGAGATCTACCGGAGAGCAAACCTCAACCAAAACACAACAGAAACATGAGGACCCAATGTGAGCATTTATTTTTATTTTTGTCCACTCTGTCGCCCAGACTGGAGTGCAGTGGTGTGATCTCTGCTCACTGCACCCTCTGCCTCCCGGGTTTAAGCCATTCTCCTGCCTCAGCCTCCTGAGTAGCTGGGATTACAGGTGCCTGCCACCACACCTGTATTTTAATAGAGACGGGTTATTATTTTTTTTTTTTTGTATTTTAATAGAGACGGGGTTTCACCATGTTGGCCAGGCGGGTCTCGAACTCCTGAACTCAGGAGTTCCGCCCGCCTTAGCCCCCGAAGTGCTGGGATTAGAGGCGTGAGCCACTGCGCCCGGCCCCCGTGTAAGCATTTAACACACACAGTCACGTGCTGCACAGCAACACCTCACTCGGCAAAGAGCAGCGCACCCCACAGTGGCTACATAAGATAACGACACCATCTGTTTACTGTGCCTTTTCTGTTTGGACACACAAATACTTGCCACGGTGTTACAAATGCCTACAGGCTTCAGTGTAGTAACTGCTGTGCAGAGTTGCAGCCTCGGAGTGACAGGTTATACCATCTGGGTTTGTGTAGGTGCACTCTATGAGGTTCACACAACGACAACATCGCTGAGTAACGCATTTCTCAGAACACACCCCTGCCCTTAGTGAGACCCGGGGCTGCCGTCACTTGCAGAGCTAGGACTGAATAAGGGTTTGCAGGGGAGAAACACAGCACAATAGCTGGACTCCGTGGTTTCTGACTTCACGGGGGGGGGGGGGGGCTTGCTGGGATAGAACCCCATGGTCAATCAAGGAGCATCTGAACTTCATCGATGGTTTGACTCGCAATCTTTCAGCTCTACGACGGTTTAATCAGGGCTTTTTTTTTTTTTTTTTTTGGAGACAGGGTCTCACTCTGGCGCTCAGGCTGGAGTGCAGTACACAATCTCAGCTCACTGTAGCCTCAAACTCCTGGGCCCAAGCAATCCTCCCGCCTCAGCCTCCTGAGTAGCTGGAACTACACCTGAGTGTCACCACACCTGGCTAATATTTTAAAACATTTTTTGTAGAGAGGGGGTCTCACTAGGTTGCTGAGGCTGGTCTCAAACTCCCAGGCTCAAGTGATCCTCCCACCTCAACCTCCCAAAGTGCTGGGATTATAGGCGTAAGCCACCATGCCCAGGCTCCAATCAGGTATTAAGTGCATTTTCGACTTTGATGGGTTTATCGGACGTGGCCGTGTCCTGAGTTGCGAAGCATCTGTAGTACGTAATGGCTACACACTCTGTAGTTGAGACCCTGCATAACTACACAGAATGGGAAGACTTAGGCAAAAAATATCTTCACTGTTTTCAGTAATGATATAGGTGGCAGTTGTACTGCCATTGTTATTTTGAGATTGTGATGTTTGTAGCAAGAGATAAAACAGATGAGACATTATGCGATATTCCAATTCTCTCATCTCCACTGTCCTTGAGACCAGCACTCTCAGTGGAAAAAGAGGACGGAGACGTAAGATTAAAGCACACCCATGTGAACGCCCTGCCGTCAGAAAGCAGATCACACACTCCAGCAGAGGCCTAGAACCAGCGGCCAACCCAACAGCAGTGAGCACCTGTCACATGCAGACTGTGGTTTTGAAACTTCCAAGCCCTTAAAAGAAACCAGAGCTGAAGAAATGGCTTATTTCAGGTCTGGAGCCGGAAAAATACAAGATGAGCACAGAACATATCAGACAGCCAGAAACCTCTGAGAGAGTTCAGGAATGATGTCAAAAGGATCCAGGAGCCAGCTTGTAGGGGCTCTCACTGTCCAAAGAGGACAGAATTTAACATCCCAAATATGTTTAAATTCATTAGTTCACCAATACCAACATCAAATCCCTAACTGGTCGCCTCTGGAGGCTGATAGGAAAATGATTCATCATTGTGAAAACTGATGAATTTAAAAAAAGAATCAGGCATTTATCTTCAGTTTTCTCCATGAACTATAACACCAGAGAGTGGATAAGAAGAGGTTTATCTTTAATAGTTCATCTACTACATAAAGAAGCAATAACTCAGCCAGAACATCACACTTTTTTTTTTTTTTTTTGAGACGGAGTCTCGCTCTGTCCCCAGGCTGGAGTGCGGTGGCGCGATCTCAGCTCACCGCAACCTCCGCCTCCCCGGTTCAAGCAATTCTCCTGCCTCAGCCTCCTGAGCAGCTGGGATTACAGGCACTCGCCACCACGCCCAGCTAATTTTTGTATTTTTAGTAGAGACGTGGTTTCACCATGTTGGCCAGGATGGTATCAATCTCTTGACCTCGTGATCCGCCTGCCTCGGCCTCCCAAAGTGCTGGGATTACAGGCGTGAGCCACCACACCCGGCCTACAAAAAAATTTTTAAAACTTAGCTGGGTGTGGTGATGCGTGCCTGTGGTCCCAGTTATTAGGGAGGCTGAGGTGGGAAAATCACTTGAGCCCGGGAGCACCACTGCACTCCATCCTGGGCCACAAAGCAAGACCCTGCCTCAAAACCAACCAACCAACCAACCAACCAAACACAATCTACAAGAAACCAAAGGATAGAGGAACACACTGGGCCTCTCCAGAAGAATGCAGCCAGCAAAATCTAGACCGTGAGATGCACGAGTCCAACCACCAAGTTACCTCAGAAAATACTTCCACGGGAGGTGGGGTGGATAATGTAACCTGTAGATTCAGACTGAAAGGCTGGCCGGGTGCGGTGGCTCACACCTGTAATCCCAGCATTTTGGGAGGCTGAGGCAGGTGGATCACCTAAGGTCAGGAGTTCGAGACCAGCCTGACTAACAGGGTGAAACCCTGTCTCTACTAAAACTACAAAAATTAGCCAGGCGTGGTGGTGGGCACCTGTAATCCCAGTTACTCAGGAAACTGAGGCAGGAGAATTGCTTGAACCCAAGAGGCAGAGGTTGCAGTGAGCCGAGATCACGACACTGCACTCCAGCCTGGGCGACAGAGCAAGACTTAAGTCTAAAAAAAAAAAAAAAAAAAAAAAAAAGGAAAAACTTAACTAATATTTAGAGGTACTCAGTTCAGTCAAAACAACAAAGAATAAGGAAGTAGCTGCTGTAACAGTAAGATTGAGGCAGCCTCTGCTGGGAGGGGCTGGGGCGGCACGCACAGGGGCTCTGGAAGCTGGCAAGCACCTCTTGACCCAAGCACCAGTTACAACTGTGTCCATCTTATCATATGACTCATTACGCTAGACACTGATTTTATTCAGTTTCTGTATCTGTGCCACACTTTAAAATAAAAAAGGTTTAAAAACACACTTATAAAGCTACACTAGGCTGGGCGCAGTGGCTTACGCCCGTAGTCCCAGCTACTTGCAGGCCACGGTGAGAGACTTGAGCACAGGAGATCAATTCCAGTCTCAGCAAAAAAGTAAGGCCTCCGCCGCACAAAAAATAAGAAAGACAGAGAAACCACCTTCCAAGCGACTTTGCGGCAGAAGCGTTGGGGCCGCTCCGTATAGGTTCCACGCACAGGGCCAACCGCCCTCGGGGACTTACTAACAAAATGAGCCACTTGCATTCAATGATCTCAACTGCTCCGTGCTACATCCAATTCAGTAAAGCACAGTTTTTTCATTTTTCACATTCAGATTGAAGCAAATTAAATGAAAACCCGTTCAAGATACCCCTTCTCACCCTACCATCCTGGCAAAAATCCAAATGCTTAGTAATGCCCTCTGTTGGTCAGGCCCTCTCCCACAGTGCTGACAGGGTGCAGGCCTGTGCGGGGGAACTTGGAAGCACTCACCAAAATTACATGTATCCTCCCACCCAGCAACCACACGCTACGAACAGACCTGAAGACAGTCCTCACCAGAAACACAAAAAATGCAACACACGGCAACGTCAGTCACAGCGGCATCCCACGGCAAAGGATCAGAGCCCGTCAATAGGACCCACACATTCATACATGTGCTGAGCAGAAAAACCAGACACGCAGGGGCCAGCCACGGCAGCTCACGCCTGTAATCCCAGCACTTTGGGAGGCCAAGGCAGGTAAATCGTTTGAGCCCAAGAGTTCAAGACCAGCCTGGGTAACATAGTGAGACTCCCATCTCTACAAAAAATTTGAAAAAAATCAGCTGGCATGGTGGCATGCGCCTGTAGTCCCAGCTACTCAGGAGGGTACAGTGAGAAAATCACTTGAGCCCGTGAGGTCGAGGCTGCGGTAAGCCAAGATCAGGCCACTGCACTCCAGCCTGGGCAACAGAGCCAGACGCTATCTCAAAACAAACAGGTCAGGTGTGGTGGCTCACATCTGTAATCCCACCACTTTGAGAGACTGAGGCAGGCAGATCATTTGCAGCCAAGAGTTTGAGGCCAGCCTGGCCAACACAGTGAAACCCCATCTCTACTAAAAATATAAAAATTAGCTGGGCGTGGTGGCGGGTGCCTGTAGTCCCAGCTACTCAGGAGGCTGAGGCACAAGAATCACTTGAATCCAGAGCGAGACTCCATCTCATAACAAACAAACAAGAAAAACCAGACACACACAGTGTCAACAGCCCATGCTAACTTTTGTGAAAGACAGGAGGGGAAATGAGTTGTGGGTGTGTTTTGCTTACTTTTACAGGACGTAGCAGAAGTAAAAAGCGTTGCCTAGGCCGGGCATGGTGGCTCATGCCCATTATCCCAGCACTTTGGGAGGCCGAGGTGGGTGGAATGCCTGAGCTCAGATCGAGACCAGCCTGGGCAACATAGTGAAACCCCATCTCTACTAAAGTACAAAAAATTAGCTGGGCGTGGTGGTGGGCGCCTGTAGTCCCAGCTACTCGGGAGGCTGAGGCAGGAGAATTGCTTGAACCCGGAAGGCCGAGGATGCAGTGAGCCAAGATCGAGCCACTGCACTCCAGCCTGGGCAACAGAGCAAGACTCTGTCTCAAAAAAAAAAAAAAAAAGGTTGCTTAGAAGAGTGGTGGGGATAAGAAAGGTAGCTTTTATGTAGTTCTGACCTTTATAACAGGTAATTATTTTGTACATAAAATTTGTAAAAAATCCTAAATCTAAAAATGATCTGAAACAAATGGGCAACATAACCAGAGAAAATAATATTTGTCTTATTTCTTTCTTGGGAAAAATAAATAAAATAAAAAATAAAACAAGAGTATTTGTCAAGGAACTTTAAAATACAGCACTTTATTCATCCAAAGTGGAAGATAACTAAGGACAAAAAGAACTCAACAAAAACCTGCAAAGTTAACTAAGCAGTTTTCTTACAGGAGTGGTATTGTAATTCTACAACCTACTGTATGCACATTTTAGCACAAAACAAGGCCAATGATATTATTAAGATTTTTCAGAATAACATATAATTTAAGAATCAAAGAAATTAAGTAAAACTATATATATGTATTTTTTGTTTTGTTTTGTTTTGTTTTTGATACAGGGTCTCACTCTGTCGCCCAGGCAGCAGTGCAGTGACGTCATTGCAGCTTACCACAGCCTCAACCTCCCAGGCTCAAGTGATCCTCCCACCTCAGCCTCCTGAGTAGCTGGAACTCCAGGCACATACCATCATGCCCGGCTGATTTCTGTATGTTTTTGTAAAGATGGGGTTCTGCCATGCTGCCTAGACTGGTCTGGAACTCCTGAGCTCAAGTGATCCTCCCACCTCAGCCTCCTGAGTAGCTGGAACTCCAGGCGCATACCATCATGCCCGGCTGATTTCTGTATGTTTTTGTAAAGATGGGGTTCTGCCATGCTGCCTAGACTGGTCTGGAACTCCTGAGCTCAAGTGATCCTCCCATCTCAGCCTCCTGAGTAGCTGGAACTCCAGGCACATACCATCATGCCCAGCTGATTTCTGTATGTTTTTGTAAAGATGGGGTTCTGCCACGCTGCCTAGACTGGTCTGGAACTCCTGAGCTCAAGTGGTCTCCCCACCTCAGCCTCCCAAAGTGCTGAGATTACAGGTGTGAGCCACCACACCCCGCAAAACTACATAATTTTAATGAAAATTAAAATTAATTTTAACTATAATTCAAATTGACTGAACTCACAATGTTTTAAATACATATTTTCTAGCTGTGTCCGCGAACAGGGCATTAAGCAATAACAGACAAGCACAATGACTACGTCTATGGCCTGGACCTCGGTGTCCAGATGCCTTTCTGCACTAAAAGGAACCCAGGCGCTGTGGAGAAGCAGCTGACGCAGGCCTGGGAAAGACATCACCGTGAGCCTGGGACACTGGGCCAGAAAGGATGCATTCCCAGGACCACGTATGGAGTGAAAAGGACACAGGGGCCAGCTTGGAAGGGGCTCCCAACTAGTCACATTTATAGCTATTTGAGCATCACAAAACAAAAGGCTTTACTAGATTATGACATGGAATAAATAAAATCCACTAGTCCACCTTGATACTCAAGGAAGACAAAGGAAAAGTAAAAATTTGCCCCCACAGAGGTGTCTACTAGACCATCTTCCGCTAAGAATTGGTAATAAAGAGAAAGAACTCAGCATTTTCTAAGACGTAACAAAGAAGGGAAACACAGACAAAAATAAAGAAAAAAAGAACAACAGCATACTAAAGCCAAGGTGCCACTGCCCACAGGTTCTGGGGAGACCAGCAAACAGCATGTGGAGGTCTGATGGGAGCAGAGCGTCCACACACCCCGAGACACCCCCTCATCTAACTCGCCAACTGTGGGGGGCAGGGACACAATTTAAAGGGCCAGTGAGCAAAGTCGCATCCGTCCTCATGGGACAGCCTCCGCCCACAGTGCAGCACACAGCATCACCTGCGCCCCAAACGTGCCCCTGTATCAAATCAGGCCTCCCACCGCCAGATCACAGGGGGTGCTCCGGGGGCACCGGAACGCAAAGAGACCTCACAGCCACTGTGACACGTGGCCCTGTACTCGATTCTGGTTGGGAAAAACAGCTAGTAAAGACGTTGGGGGACAACTTCAGACCGTGGACTGGCTACTGGATGACGCCAAGGGACACAGTCACGTTTTGTAGACGCCATCGATGACGCGACTGTCATTAGACAGTAGAATGTCCCTTTCCCTTTCTTAGGAGAAAGAACACTTAGAGAAGTGTCCAGATATCTGCAGTTTCCTTCAAGACAGTTCAGCACGTGCCAGGTGGCAGCTGGTGGCAGTCACGGTAGCTCCAGCTGGGGGCAAGGGACGTAGGAGTGCCAACTCTGTAAGTTAGAAACTTTATAATAACCTTCAAACAACAGAAATATATTCGTGTTCAACTCAGAGCACACGCACTCTCAACAAGCTGTCGAGTATACCCAGGGAGGCAAAGAGCTATGCATCAAGACTCCGGGCCTGGTTCAGACGGGGACATGGCAGTTTCTCCTCCTGAGGACATAAACTACCATCGGGGCTACACCTGAGTAGCCTTCACCTATTCTGGGGGTGCACAGCAGCATCAACTGCCACAAATTCCAGCAGGAGCCATGGCTCACAACAGCTGCCCACACAGAAGCCAACATCCAGGTCTGGGCTAAACTGAGAAGGGGGCCGGGCACGGTGGCTCACGCCTGTAATCCCAGCCCTTTGGGAGGCAAAGGCGGGTGGATCACCTAAGGTCAGGAGTTTGAGACCAGCCTGGCCAACATGGTGACAGCCCATCTCTACTAAAAATACAAAAACTGGCTGGGCGCGGTGGCTCACGCCTGTAGTCCTGTCCTGGCACTTTGGGAGGCCAAGGTGGACGGATCACGAGATCAGGAGATCGAGACCACCCTGGCCAACATGGTGAAACCCCGTCTCTACTAAAAATGCAAAAAAAAATTAACCGGGCACGGTGGCGCACGCCTATTGTAATCCCAGCTACTCAGGAGACTGAGGAAGGAGAATCGCTTTAACCTGGGAGGTAGAGGTTGCAGGGAGCTGAGATTGTGCCATTGCACTCCAGCCTGGGTGACAGAGCAAGATTCCATCTCAAAAAACAAACAAAAATTAGCTGAGTGCGGTGGCGGGTGCCTGTAATTCCAGCTACTCAGGGAGCTAAGGCAGCAGAATCACTTGAATCCAGGAGACAGAGGTTGCAGTGAGCCGAGATTGTAACACTGCACTCCAGCCTGAGTGACAGAGTGAGAATAAACAAACAAACAAACAAACTGAGAAGGGGAACCCAAAGCTAAAGGTCAAAGACAGTGGCAAGGGGTCTGACTCCAGAAACCCGGAGTCAGAGCTGCTCTGTCAGACGTGCTCAGGAACCCAGGTAAGGGCGTCTTGGAAACGGCACCTTCCAGAGCAAGCCAGCGACCACGCTAAGGTCAGCTGGTCCGTGTTCCATCCCTGAAATGTTCTGGGTCACACGACAGGGTCATGTGGATTGTTCTGCTAGGTGGTTTTGTGGGTCCCCTGTATTTAACACCAGCACCCTCGCCGTGTACCCATACCTTGGGGGTCCGGGCAGTCCCACTAGTGACAGGCCTGACATCGCAGCTATGGCTGAACGCTGCTGGGGAGTCTCTCACTTACAGGATGTGGAGCATGGCTTCTATGACGGAGCAACCAGAGCTCTCCGAAATGCACATGCTCCCGACCCTGCTCCCTGCAGCAAACAGGTGGAGCAGAGACCACCAGGTGGGCCTCGATGAGGAGCAGCTTTGGAGGAAGTCAGCCCCTCAGGGTTTGTCTGTGGAGGTGGCAAGGCAGGAAGGGCGGGGGGCCAGGTCCTCCCGACCCTAATCAGGTAGGGGGCTGCAGCAGTCACAACCCCATCCCCAGGGCCAGGCCAGCATCAGCTGTTTCTATTGCACACAGAGTTTGCTGGGAAAGACATGGGCCATGGCTGCTGAAAAGCCTTCACCTAGAATGAGGTGGGAAGCTGGCTGGCATTGCAGCGCGGCCTTCACCTAGAACGAGGGGTGGGAAGCCGGCCGGGATTCCAGCGCGGCCTTCACCTAGAACGAGGGGTGGGAAGCCGGCCGGGATTCCAGCGCGGCCTTCACCTAGAACGAGAGGTGGGAAGCCGGCCGGGATTCCAGCGCGGCCTTCACCTAGAACGAGGGATGGGAAGCCGGCCGGGATTCCAGCGCGGCCTTCACCTAGAACGAGGGATGGGAAGCCGGCCGGGATTCCAGTGTGGGTCATTTAGGCTGCATGTCCCCTGAATTCCGAAACAACCCGGGGGAGCTGGGAGGCGGCTTCAGCAGCAGGCGCTTGGGCCGGGCAGGAGGTACGCACTGGGATGCCGTGAGGCTGCCTCTGCACCTCATGGACAATGCTCTCCTGGGGCTTCCGCCATCGCCCCCAGACCCTTCAGGGCAACCTCCTCTCCCTATGAGGTCTCCGGAGCATGCTTTCCTGAGAAACTGGGATTACCCCTGCTCTCACCTGCCGGTGTTTCTCCTTGAAGCACTTACTGAGCCTTTTTCTCTGGTTTACGCTGCTCCTCACCACCACCATGTTCCCTACGGCCAGGGCCTTCTTTGAAAACCACCATGGCCCCAGCAGGCAGAGAGGCAAGCACCTCTGTCTCTCCTGCTCCCCTCCGCCTCAGAAATGGCAAAGAGCTTATTTTATTCCTAACAATGCCTCCCAGAATTTGAACTACAAAAGCACATATCCAGTGATGACCAAGGAAGGGATCTGAGGTACTGCAGAATGTAGAAAAACCTAGGTGCTAAAAAGTGGGGAGCAGAAGGGCCTGGAAGGCTGGGATGCAGAGAGGCCCGAATCCTTGAAAGGGCTGAAGCCAGAGAGCTGCTGGAATCCACAGACACTAAAAGAGAAAGCCAAAACCAAACCGCTAAGGGGTGTCACGGGCTAAAGGCACAGTGACTTTCTTACACAGCCAAATGTAAATAAGAGCAATTCCTATAGGTACATTCTCAGGTCCTGAGATTTAAACAGTGAAGGAAACAACGTTGGTAAGGAAGGGCCAGCTTGGCCTCTACCCCAGGGCTGGGCAAAGCCACGCCCAGCTGTTTCACCTGCTCCCTCCTCTCAAAAGACAACCACCACACCAAAGAGAATGAGACCAGAAGCTAAAGCCAGGCAAAGAAAAAAACGCAAAACAAAGTGAAGGACGGCACTGACCACGGTCACTTCCTGCTCCTCATGCCGCCAGGAGTCCACTCCCCAGGGCTCCTCACCAAGGATCTGAGACACACACACACACACACCTTTCGCTAAAGAAGCTGCTTCTCAGCTCCTCTGCACACACACAGAAGTCAGTCCGCTCCCCTAGTAATTTTTTTAGTCTTTCTGCAAGGTGTTATGGACATACTTTGCACAGCTGAGTTACTCACTGTGTGTGTGGAGGGGGTTGGGGAGGAGGTAACCTTAAAGAGCAGAGGTTTTACATCCAACAACATCAACCACCTTATTCAGGAATTACCTGGACAAGAGTGTGTGTTGGGGGAGACCCTGTAACCACCTGTCAAGTGGACTAAAAGTCTTAGGTTTCTTTCCATATAGATTAACTGTGTCCTCACCTCAAAGACCGGGCCTCTGAAGCTTTTTCAAGATTCACAGAATCTCTCTTAACTTGTGCTAGATCTTTTCTTGAAAAAAAGCCAATCATGACAAGCAGATATAATCCGTTTAAGGACTACGGGAAGTGTGCAGCCTTGTACGGACGTCCCATTGGAAACCCTCGGAGTATGGAATCAAACTCCTGTAAACTTTCCTCTTGCAAAGTAACTTTGTTTAGTAATTGCAATTAATTCATAATCAAAATGTGGCTTATTCATAGCACTTAAAAAAAAATCCCAACCAAATCCTTCCTAGCCTCAATTTTGTCACTATGAATGACATACACAGAAAAAATAAAAAACATTTCTGTGTAAAAAGTCGCAGGATGCCCTTGCTTTACCAAACTGGCCTCACTATGAGGTCTGAATGGATTTCTAAAAACGTAATCTGATCAGAGTTAACTTCAAAATAAATAACTTCCCTTTCGACCAACACGAGAACACCAACAGAAGCTTCTGACGGCTCAGCTTGGCCGGGACGTGTTTCCACAGAGGTGCCCGGGTCTACCAGGGCCACCCGGAATAGAAAGGCGCAGAAGGGAGCCCGAGGGGCTGCGATTCTCTTAGCAACGAAGGCGGTGTGGGCCACACAACGGGACAAAAGAAGAAACAAAACTGACTGCGAGCTCATTTGGGTGTAGGAAAACCACTGCAGTCGAAAAACATTTGAAATTATGGTTCGCAAGGCAAGTTACATTTTTATTCATTAAATGTGAACGGTCATCCCCAGAACCACGTACAATAACCTGCCTCGGGGCGCGTCGCAAGGACCCGTCTGGGCTGAGACATGAAGCAGGGCCCAGGTGGCCCTTCCTGGAGGTGGGACGGGAATGACACGTCCAGAGAAGTCCCAGGGACGGGGCTCGCGGGGTTAACTCGACGTGGCCGGGACAGCGCGCTCCCGGCGGACCCGGGCGGCGCCCCGAGCCCGAGCCCCGTCCCGTCCGCCCGGAAGCAACGGCGCGGGCACGTGGGCCAGGCCGGGCGCCGACCCCCGGCACTCGGCCGCTCAGTCGGCGCCGCCCCCGCGCCAGCTGTCAGGGCCGGGGTCCGCGCGGGGGCGGGTCCGGGGCGGCGCCGGGCGGGGACCCCGAGGCCACGGAACCGCGCCCCCGCCCGCCTGGCCCCGGCCCTGGCCCCGGCGCGGCGCAGACAATGGCGCGGCCCGGCCCGGCCCCGGCGCGGTCCGCGGGGGACGGGGCTCGCGGCAGGCGGCGGGGCGGCGGCGCCCGCGCACTCACCTCGGCCCGGCCTCTGGGGCGGCTCCCGGCCGGCTGCGGACGACGGCGGCGCGGGCGGACGCTCCATTCATTACCGCGGCTTTGTCTGCCCCCGCGCCCCTCCCGCGGCCCCGCCGCCCGCCGCCCGCGACGCCGCCGGACGCTGCGCCCCTCCCAGGGCCCCGCGCGGCGCGGGGCGGGGCTGGCCGGGGGCGGGGCCGATCGGGGGCGGGGCCTACTCTCGCAGGCGCAGTGTCCGCGTACCCGCCCCGCCTCGTCCCTGGCCGGGCGGGAGGACGGAGCGCCGGAGGCCCGGCCGCTGGGGCGGGGTCGGGCGGAAGACGCAGGCGCAATGCGCGCTTCGGCTCCGCCCCCGGGTCCAGGAGGGCAAACTACGCAGGCGCAGTGGGCGCTCCGGCGCTGGCGGGCGACGGGAAGGGCTTAGGCGCTCTGGCTGGGCGGGGCGCGGGCGCCTTGGTTTCGTCCCGTGGCTTGGCAGTTGGCAGCGGCTCGGCGCGCACCCAACGGCCCACCGCGGGTTTCCGGGACGGCTAGCAGCGCGGTTCCCGGTCCCGCCCCGAACCCCCTTACCTGGCGCAGAGGCCGCTCAGTGCGGTGCGGTCAGGCCTCGTGGGCTGGGACCTAAGCCGTTGACCCTAAGGCGATCGGGGCTCCCCGCGCGGCCCCCCCGGGGGACGGGATTAACGCCTAAGCCCCAAGCCGGGTCGGCGGGAGGAGGGCGGCCCTCTGGGCGAGCGCGGGGCCGGGGCTGGCGGTGCGGAGCGCACGGGACTCGCCCGCTTCTCAGGGTCTGAAGGAAATGTGCACTTTTAATGTGTTATTTCCTAACACAAATGTTTGAGCAGACCAAATAAACTCTGCATGCTGAATGTGGCCCCGAGGTCCCCCGTTGGTGACACGGCTTTCGGCATTTTCTCGGCCTGAGTGTGAGAGTGAGAGGAGCCCGCGTGGCGGTCACCGGCTGGAGCGGGAGCGTGGAGTTATCACGGCCGCCTCTGCCCGGAGCCCGCCCCTGCCCCGCGGCTGTGCCCCTTCACCCGCACGCCGACTGTTCCAAAGTCCACGTCCAGCCTGCAGCCGGGTTTTCTATGGTGCCTGAGCTAAGAATGCTTTTCTCGTTTTTAAGAGGTTGGGGGAGAATTAAAACAGTATTTTAGCATATATGAAAAGTATATGACATTCAAATATCGGCCGGGCACGGTGGCTCACGCCTGTAATCCCTGCACTTTGGGAGGCCGAGGCGGGTGGATCACCTGAGATCAGGAGTTCGAGACCAGCCTGGCCAACATGGAGAAACCCCGTCTCTACTGAAAAAAAATAAAAAATTAGCCAGACGTGGTGGTGGGCTCCTGTAATCCCAGATACTCGGGAGACTGAGGCAGAAGAATCGCTTGAACCCGGGAGGCAGAGGTTGCAGTGAGCCGAGATCGCGCCACTGCACTCCAGTCTGGGTGACAGAGCAAGACTCCGTCTCCAAAAAAAAATTAAATTAAAATGTCGGTTTCCTAAGGAGTTCAACTGGAACACCACCATGCTTGTTCATGTAGTTAAAAGGTAAACTGCTTTACCTTCCACCATAGCTATGGAGTTGAGACCAGGCACTGACACCCAAAAAGGGCTCCCTGTTTCTTTCTTTTTCTTTTTTTTTTCTTTCTGAGACAGAGTCTCGCTCTGTCCCCAGGCTGGAGTGCGGTAGCGTGATCTCGGCTCACTGCAACCTCCGCCTCCCGGGTTCAAGCGATTCTCCTGCCTCAGCCTCCAGAGTAGCTGAGACTACAGGCGCTCGCCACCACGCCCAGCTAATTTATGTATTTTTAGTAGAGATGGGGTTTCACCATGTTGACCAGGATGGTCTCGATCTCCTGATCTTGTGATCCGCCCGCCTTGGCCTCCCAAAGTGCTGGGATTACAGGCATGAGCCACCGTGCCCGGCCTGGGGATCCCTGTTTCATTCAGAGTGGAGGCCAGTGTTCTCAGGCCTGCTCTGCCCCTGCCATCCCCTCATCAGATCTGCAGCAGCCCCCAGCCTCCTTGATGCTTGCTTTGGGGTCTTCGCACTGACTTCTTGTCTGCCTGGACTGCTCTTCCCCTCTGCCAGTGTCAAGCTCCCAGACGGCTGCCCATATGTCAGCATAGTGGGAGGCTCTCCGGGGCCATGCTCTAGGAAGTAACACTGCGCTCTCCTCATCCCCTCTCCGGGCTCTGACACATCTGACACACTGTATATGCCTGTGTCATGACTGCCCCCCAACAGCCTCCTGCTAGAATCAGTGGGAGGGGGGACTTCTTTGTTGTATGTGCTGAGGGAGCATGCCCAGTGCCGAGAGCAAGGCCCCCTACGCTTTGTGGAGTAGGTTAATGGGGCCCCACAATTGCCTGGCACTCATGTGCAGAAATAGAAGATTCCTGGGGCCAAAGAGCAACAGCTCTTCCCAAAGGGGCCTGCCGGTGAGTGAGTGAGTGCAGGTTGACAGGTCCCTCCTAGTGCCTTCCAAATTGTGCAGGGCAGCCAGGTGCGGCCTATTCTCTGGCCCCTCACAGGAAGATACTGTTTTGTATGTCGGGTGGCCCTTGGACTAAGTGCCCAAATGGGGCACCCTGGAGCATGGAAGGGCACACTAGACATCATGGGGCCAGGACCCAGCATCAACTGGGACTGTTTCGGCAAGCCAGTACCCCATGCCTCCACCAGCTGCAGTCCATTCATTTAATCTTTGATGGGCACTTTCTGTGTGCCCAAGATACAATATCTTATTTTTTCTTTTTCTTTTTTTTTTTTCAGTCTGCAAGTGCTTGGTACATACACAGATGGTATTTATTTGCTGTTTGTCTTAAATTGCATTCTTATGCATCATAGAGACTGCGATAAGGAGAAGAAAAAATATTTTCTACAGGACCATCCAAACATGTAAGTGGCTTTTCATGGGACAGTTTCCCATCACGGGAAAGACATAAGTCGATTCTTAGTCATCCAGAGTGTCAGTATCTTATTTTTTCATTCATCTGAACCAAAGTGTGACATCCCAGGGCCAGGTGTTTTATCTGAGTTCCATGCACAGACTGTGAGCCCCACCTGTACAGGGCAGTGCGAGTCAGGGATGCTCCGCACTGAGGCAGAAGAGCAGCTGGTGCCCTGGTCCTCTGTCCACTGAGGCTGCAGGTGGACCCACAGCATCTTCCGAAGGCAGGGAGCCCTCCGTGCTTGGAGCACTGTGGCCCTGGAGGGTTCGCCCTCATGTGATGTGACTTTGGTTGAGTTTCTTAGCTGTGAATTAAGATTATGAGCCCAGCTTGGGGGTAGGGCATGGAGCTGATGGTGTCACATGTGGAAGCAGCTGGGTGACCCCGAGCCCGGTGACCACTGGTCACTGGGGAGGCACAGACCTCGCTGTGGCAGGGTCCTGAGGGCCAGGGCCTCAAAGGAGGGTGGCTGTGTCCCTGGGCCCCGCGGGAGTAAGGGTGTACACCTGCCAGTCCCCTGCCTACAGTGGTGGTGGGGTGGAGCCCCATGGTCCCTTCCATCTGGAATCTCAGACCTGGCCCCCCTCTGCCACCCTGTGCCTCCCGTCTGCCTTTCAGGGTAGCAAGAATGCTGTGCGCCCCACTGGGGAGGGAGGTGGGGAGGACTCCAGAGCGTCCAGGTGGGGGCTGCTGCAGAGGAGATGGTTTCTCTCGGGTGCAGAGGAGGGTTGGGCCCTGGGCACCTACTGGTCACTCTTCGCCACGACGGGGACCTCACCACGTTGTCCCTCATCCACGTCACCCGCCCAACCCACGCGGAGGGTCCTGAGGGCTTCACCACGCAGCCCTGAAGGGGCAGAGCTGGGGTCACACAGGTATCGGAAGCCCACGCTGTGGCCCCAGGAGAAGGTTCTGGATGTGGCTCCTATGAGTGAAGGGTGGACTCACAGCGCTGCCGGAATAAAGGGAAACCACAGGCAGGAGGGAAGCGCGTCCAGGATCCGCGGCCACCGGCCTCTCAGACTGTCTTCTGGGGCCAGGTCGCGAGGAGATGGAAAGCGGGGGCATCACAGGCTCGTCTGAACCCGCGCGTTCATTCGGCCACACCGACCCCAAACCCCTGCATGCGGGCAGGACCCCTGGTTCTCCTGCGCCCACCCCAGCCCTGCTGGCCGCCGGGGCATTTGAGGGATGGTTGCGGGGGGTCGGAGGGTGGAAGGGGCGTCGGGCAGCCTCGGTGGGGAGGGGAAGAGGCTTCCCGTGCACTATGGACTCCCGCATTCGGGAAGGGAGGCGCTCGGGGTTGGGGAGGGAGGAAAAGGCGGCTGTGTTCGGGGAGGGGGCAGCGAGACCCCGCCCGGGCTACGGGTTGCAGGATGGAGCGGACGGGAGGAAGGAGCCCTGACGCCGCGGACCCCACGCCTGCCGGCCGTCCCCTCCCTCCCTGCCTTCCTTCCTTCCTCCCTCTCCGCAGAGGCAGCGCGGGGACCCGGCCGGGGTGGGGCTAGGGCGGTGCGCCCCGGAGCCTCCAACCTGGACCCCACCCCGGAGGCGCCGCGACCGCGCTCCCGCCGCCTCCAGGAAGGTGCCCGGATCGCGCCGGCGACCGGAGGACTCTGCGCCCCGCCGCCTCCCACCCTGTCCCGCCCCGCGCCTGTCGGCGACCCCGCGGGGCCGGTCCCCGTCTCCACCTGCAGTCCGGGGCGCGGCGCCCTTGAGGGAAGCGGGGCTCTGGGATCCCCCGGCCTGGGCGTGGGACACCCCACGGTCCGCACGAACCTTGGTGGCCCGGGCCCCTGCTCCCCCAGAACAGCGCCCAGGTCTCGGAGAAACCCCCCGAAGCCGTGGGCCCAGACGCTCCCGGGGGACCTCGGTGGGACGGGCAGGGCGGGCGCCGCGGGCGAGGGGACGCGCACTGTCCCCGGGCGAACCAGAAACACCCCACACCGGGCACCTCCCCAGGAATCGCCCACCCACCCCCATTGTTCTCCACCAGGTTTCACCTTACCACCCTCCCCCCAGGCATCTCCCCCGTTGCATCGCCCCCACGCGGGCATCGCTCCCACCCGGGCATCTCGGCTCTGTCCTGCCCTGGGGTGGCCGCAGCCCGCGGGGAGGAAGCGCGGCGAGGCGCCCACACCG
Organism: Homo sapiens; assembly: GCF_000001405.40. Classification (NCBI taxonomy): domain Eukaryota; kingdom Metazoa; phylum Chordata; class Mammalia; order Primates; family Hominidae; genus Homo; species Homo sapiens. The sequence continues at coordinate 49,848,886 of NC_000022.11, read as the reverse complement.
GGAAAGTGTCTCCGTGACTCTGCGAGGTTACACTCCGGGTGCGTCGCTGCGGGCTCGTGGGCTCGTGGGCTGCAGCCCCCCGCTCCTGTCGGGTGGACGAGCCCCGGGCCCGCGTGGAGCTGCTCGGTCAAGGCCGGCCCGGGAGGGGCGCGGCGCAGGGCGGGCAGGGGCGGGGTCCTAGGTCAACGTCCAGCCCCAGACCCAGCCCCGCCGCCGGATCCACCGTGCCTCTGTTTCCCCATTCCTGAGAAATCGGAACGCCGGCGGCACCCCCTTCTCCGGGCCGGAGCCTGCGCCCTCCGGATTGCGCGCCTCTGTCCAGGCGGCGGCCGGGGGTGGGAGCGCGCAGCGGGCCAACTTCCCTAAAGGGAACTGTCGGGAGGGCGCCCAGAAGGGAAAGACCAGGAAGCGCTGGGTGCTGAGCTGGAGTCTGGCCCCTTCCTGGGGGACCGGGGAGGGGGCTGAAGGTGGGGAGAAGACCGCCGGGGCTGCTAGGGGGGCACTGAGGGAGCGTCCAGGGGGAGAACTCTGGGTGGGCGACGCCGCAGGGGAGCTGCCTGGCAGGGGCGAGGGCCTCGGGGAAGTGGAGCTTCTGGCCGAGAGCTGCATCTGTGGCCGGGGAGGGAAAGGGTCACAAGGGCAGTGCGCGCCGGGAGGGAAGCTCAGGCCGGGGGGAAGGGACTGCGCGGCGGGGACAGGTGCGTCGGGTGCTGGACAGTGAGCAGGAGCCCGCCGGTGCTCAGGTCACGAAGGTGCTGGAGCCGGGGGAGCTGGAACGCAAGGGGGTTAAGGGAACGCGCTGGGAAGGGTGGGGGCGGCAGCTGCTCCAGGCTGCGGTGGCCTTGGTTCTGTCTGAGGGTCCATGGGTGGAAAGGCATTTGGAGCTTGTGTTCATAGCTGGGACTGCCAGATTTGGTGGATAAAAATACAAAATTGCGTGGGACCGGACGGGCGCGGTGGCTCACGCCTGTAATCCCAGCAGTTTGGGAGGCCGAGGTGGGCGGATTACCTGAGGTTGGGAGTTCCAGACCAGCCTAACCAACATGGTGAAACCCCGTCTCTACGAAAAATACAAAATTAGCGGAGCATGGTGGCGTGCTCCTGTAATCCCAGCTACCAGGGAGGCTGAGGCAGGAGAATCGCTCGAACCCGGGAGGCGAAGGTTGCAGTGAGTCAAGATTGGGCCATCCAGGCTGGGCGACAAAAGCGAATCTCTGTCTAAAAAAAAAAAAAAGTGCACAGCACGTACATATACTAAAAAATTATTATCTGGAATTAAAATGTAACTGATTGTACCGTATTTTATCTGCAACCCTAATCATAACAGGCATGTTGTTCTCTGTATATAGTCCAGTCAACAGCAAAAGTATGTAAAAAGGTGAAAAAACTACTTATGACACATCCCTAAAGGAATAACTTTAAGAACAATTAGGTGTATATTGCCCAGGGTTTTTGTTTTTTGTTTGTTACCTTGAGTCGGGGTCTTGCTCTGTTGTCCATGCTGGAATGCGGTGGTGTGATCACAGCTCAGTGCAGCCTCAACTTCCCAGACTCAAGCAGTCCTCCCACCTCAGCCTCCTGAGTAGCTGGGAGTACAGGCACCTGGCTAATTTTTGTATTTTTAGTAGAGACGGGGTTTCATCACGTTGCCCAGGCTGGTCTTGAACTCCTGGGCTCAAACAACCTGCCTGCCTCGGGCTCTCAAAGTCCTGGGATTACAGGCATGAGTCACTGCACCTGGCATTGCCTAGTTTTTTGTTTGTTTGTTTTTTGAGACGGAGTCTTGTTCTGTCACCCAGGCTGGAGTGCGGTGGCACAATCTCGACTCAATGCAACCTCCACCTCCCGGGTTCAAGCGATTCTCCAGCCTCAGCCTCCCGAGTAGCTGGGACTACAGGCGCATGCCACCATGCCTGGCTAATTTTTTGTGTTTTCAGTAGAGATGGGGTTTCACCGTGTTAGCCAGGCTGGTCTCGATCTCCTGACCCCATGATCCACCTGCCTCAGCCTCCCAAAGTGCTGGGATTAGAGGCGTGAGCCACAGCGCCCAGCTGGCATTGCCTAGGTTTTATATATGACCATATATTTAAAAAAGAAGGCCAACATGGTGGCTCACACCTGTACTTCCAACACTGGGAGACCGAGATGGGAAGATCACTTGAACCCAGGAGTTTGAGGCTGCAGTGTTCATGTCGGCTGTAGTGAGCCGAGATCGCACAACTGCACTCCAGCCTGGGCAAAAGAAAAGAGTACATATATATATATAATTTATTATTTTTTTTTTAGAGACAGAGTCTTGCTCTGTCACCCAGGCTGGAATGCAGTGGCTTGATGTCGGCTCACTACAGCCTGAATCTCCTAGGCTCAAGGGGTTCTCCCACCTCAGCCTCTGGAGTAGCTGGGATTACAGGCGCAAGCCACTGTGCCTGGCCTAAATGTGTGCCATCTTTATTTCAAACACTTGTTAAAATGCTGTTGTTATTCTTCAGGACAAGAGCAAAAATCACCCCCTGCAGAACCTAGGAGCTACGTGCAGAACTTTACAGAGTTGAGGCAGCGCCGTAGCTGAGGCCTGACTGCTAACCAGGGAGTGGAGCTCTGAGTGCACTCAAGGAACGCAAGGAAGCCAGGCAGGGAGGAAGGGGCCGGCGGAGTCTAACTTCAGCTGCCATCTTTTTTGGTGGCACATCTCGTGGTCACAGGTTGTAGGCTGTGTTTCTGGAAGGTTCAGGTACAGCGCAAGATTCCACTTGTCTACTTGGCTATCTCTGTGCCTGAGGTGCCATGAGGCCAACGGACGTCACTCAAATTCATGTCCAGCCAAACTCCCACAGCAAAGAATCCCGAACCGAGGATGAAGTTCCTCTAGAAAGCATTCCTATCTGTGGCAAAGCTGCAGACACCCCGAAACCCATCTCCCACCTCGTCTGGAATTTCAGGAGCTTCGTTTGCTGAGCCAGTGCACTCATGGCAACCCTGCAGGAAGCCATGTGGCACCTCTGGGCTTTGCACCGTGTGTGTTCTCTTCTCTAAACTGCTGTTTTTGCTTAGCAAAGAGCCTCGCCTGCCACTGATGATGGCAGTGTGGGGTCATTTTGAATGGCTGCCTGACACTGCATGGCACATTCACGTACACAGTCCTGTGGGATCGTGACATAATAAGAAATAGATATTTCATCTCTGCCCCTGGTTCCTGACACAGAGCTCCTAAAACCATTGAAATTTCCTGGATAATAGGAGCTTCTTCTGTTCCAATGGGGTGACTCTTGGTGGGCTCCTGGATGGGGGCTGGTCACTAGCGAGACCACACCATGATGAGAAACCTGGAGCTTCAGCCCTACCCCCACCTCTGAGCAGGGGAGACGGGCTAGCTAGAGGCGCGGTTCCTAATGCGCCATATGCCTACATGAAGACGTCTCCGTAAAAGTCCCTCAGCAGTGGGGGTTTGGAGAGCTCCCAGGTTGGTGAACACATCTCTTTGTGGGGGGCGTGGAGCACCCCAGCTCCCCAGGGCTGGCAGCTCCTGTGCTGAGAACGCTTCTGGACTTCGCCTTACGCACCCTTCATCTGACTCCTCATCCCTATCCTTTATCGTATCTTTTATAATAAACATGTTTCTCGCCAGGCGCGGTGGCTCACGCCTGTAATCCCAGCACTTCGGGAGGCTGAGGTGGGCAGATCACCTGAGGTTGGGAGTTTGAGACCAGCCTGACCAGCATGGAGAAACGCTGTCTCTACTAAAAATAAAAAATTAGCCAGGTGTGGTGGTGCATGCCTGCAATCCCAGCTACTAGCAAGGCTGAGGCAGGAGAATCGCTCGAACCCAGGAGGCAGAGGTTGTGGTAAGCTGAGATCGTGCCATTGCACCCCAGCCTGGGCGACAAGAGCGAAACTGGGCCTCAATAAACAAACAAACAAACAAACAAACAAACATGTTTCTCTGAGGTCCATAAGCCATTCTATTCGTAGCAAAGTATCCAACCCAAAGAAGGGATTGTAGGAACTCCTGAATCACACTTGCTTGATCAGAAGTACCAGCGACCCAGACCTTCCACTGGCACCTGAAGTGGGGGCAGGCTGTGGGACGGAGCCCCTAACCTGTGGGATCCGCCTCAAACTGGAGGTGGAGAGTGTCAGAGTGAATTGCTGGACTCGCAGTTGGTGTCCAGGGGCTAGGAGAAGTGGCTGATGTGGGAACCCTCTGCCCCCATTTGGTGTCGGAGGCAGAGTGTTCTATGTGACAGAGGAGAGGAAAACAGTTTTTTTTCCTTTCAGCAAGGATCTGAAGTGTGTCCCTTTCCCTATCAAAAACAGTTCCCAGGGGAGCATGATCATTTTTGTTCCTTTGCAGATCCTCTAGGTATTTTCTTAGAAAACATTCCTGGCAGGAAACTTTAAATATTTATTTATTTTAAGTTTTAAAATCTTTATTTTTTTTGAGACAGGGTTTTGCCCTGTCCCCCAGGTTGGAGTGCAGTGGCACCATCCTAGCTCAATGCAGCCTTGAACTCCTGGGCTCAAGTGATCCTCTCTCCTTGGCCTCCTAAATGGCTGGGATTACGAGTTTGAGCTGCAGTGCTTGGCTGCAGTGCAAAATTGTATTGAAATAATTGTAGATTTACATGCCATTGTAAGAAATAATAGCATAGAGAGATCTCTTGTATGGTTTGCTCAGTGTTTCCCAAGGGTACCATTTTACAAAACTAGAGTGGAACGTCACAGCCAGGGTATGGATGTCAATACGACCCACGGATCTTATTCAGAGTACCTCAGTTCTACGTCTACTCATTTTTATGTGTATATTAAATTCTGCATGATTTTATCAGCAGGCAAGGCTTGCACACCCACAGTCATGATGCTGAAGGGCTCCAGTACCACAGGATTGCTCATGTCGTCCATCTATAGTCACACCCGCCTCCCTCCTGTCCCCAGCCTGACATGAATCTCTGGCAAACACAAATCTGTTCTTTTCTAAAACTGTGTCATTTAAAAATCACATAGTAGGCTGAGTGCAGTGGCTCATGCCTGTAATCCCAGCACTTTGGGAGGCCGAGGCGGGTGGATCACCTGAGGTCAGGAGTTCGTGACCAGCCTGGCCAACATGGTGAAACCCCATCTCTACTAAAAATACAAAAAATTAGCCGGGCGTGGTGGTGGGCGCCTGTAATTCCAGCTACTTGGGAGGCTGAGGCAGGAGAATTGCTTGAACCCGGGAGGCGGAGGTTGCAATGAGCCGACTTTACGCCATTGCACTCCAGCCTGGTCAACGAGCAAAACTCTGTCTCAAAAAATAAAAAATAAAAAATAAAAAAATCGCATAGTAAGTAGCATTTTTGGATCGGCTATTTTTGCTCAGCATAATTCCTTGGCGATGCTTCATCCCAGTTGCATGTACCAACGGCCTGCTCCTTTTCCCTGCTGAGTAGAGCTGCGTGGAATGGGAGTACTATGGTGTGTTTAGCCATTCACTGCTGAAGGACATCTGGGCTGATACCAGTTTTGGTCTGTTACAAATATAGCTGCTATGAACACTCGTGTACAAGTTTTGGTGTGAACAAAAGTCTTTATTTTTTGGGCACGGTGGTTCACGTCTGTAATCTCAGCACTGTGGGAGGCCGAGGTGGGCAGATCATGAAGTCAGGAGTTTGAGACCAGCCTGGCCAACATGGTGAAACCCCATCTCTACTAAAAATACAAAAAAATTAGCCGGGTGTGGTGGTGGGCACCTGTAATCCCAGCTACTCCAGAGGCCGAGCCAGAAGAGTCGCCGAAATCCAGGAGGCAGAGGTTGCAGTGAGCTGAGCTCGCACCACTGCACTCCAGCCTGGGCAACAAGAGCGAAACTCCATCTCAAAAAAAAAAAAAAGTCTTTTTTTCTCGGGGATGAATGCCCAGAAGCACAACTGCTGGGTCCCATGGTAGTCAGATGGTTAGTTTTTGAAGAAACTGCCAAGCTGTTTTCCAGAATGGCTGTACCATGTTACATTCCCACCAGCAATGCATGAATGGCCCAGCTTCTCCAGGTCTTTGCCAGTGTTTGGTGGTGTTACTGCTTTTCATATGAGTCATTTGAATAGGTGTGATGTCTTGTTGCACTTTTAGTTTGCACCTCCATAATGGCTAAGGATGATGGACATCATGGTGTGTGTTTATTCTGTATATTCCCTTCATGGAAATGTCTCTTCATATCTTTTGCTGACTTTTCTATTGGATTGCTTATTTTTATTTCTTACTGTTGAGTTTTGAGAGCTTTTCTATATTCTACACGCCAGTCCTTTGTCAGACAGGGGGTGTGCAAATGCTTTTTCTCAGGCTGTAGCTTGTCTTTTCATCCTCTGAACAGGGTCTTTCACAGAGCAAAAGTTTTTAGTTTTAATGAGGTTCCCTTTATCAATATTTTATTTTATGGCTCACGCTTTTGGTATCAAACCTAAGAACTTTTTGCCTAGCCCAAGATCCCAAAGATTTTCTCCTATGTTTTTCCTAAAAGTTTTATAGTTTCACGTTTTAGATCTATGGTCAATTTTGGGTGTTTTTGTTTTCTTTCTTTTTTTTTTTGAGATAGAGTCATGTTCCATCGCCCAGGCTGGAGTGCAGTGGCGCGATCTCGGCCCACTGCAACCTCCGCCTCCTGGGATCAAGCAATTCTCCTGCCTCAGCCTCCTGAATAGCTGAGATTACAGGCACCTGCCACCATGCCTGGCTCATTTTTGTATTTTTAGTAGAGATGGGGTTTCACCATGTTGGCCAGGCTGGTCTTGAACTCCTGACCTCAAGTGATCCGCCCACCTCAGCCTCCCAAAGTGCTGGGATTACAGGTCTGAGCCACCATACTTGGGAAACTGGCACTTTTTCTATTTGAGCTTTCCAATCTGTGAAGATGGTTTATCTCTCCACTTATTTGGATCTTTGATTACTTTCATCAGCATTTCATAGTTTTTAGCATGTTCTATACATGTTTTCTTAAATTTACACCTAGCTGGCCGGGCGCGGTGGCTCATGCCTATAATCCTAGCACTCTGGGAGGCTGAGGTGGGTGGATCATTTGAGGTCAAGAGTTCAAGATCAGCCTGGCCAACATGGTGAAACCCCATCTCTACTAAAAATACAAAAATGAGCCAGGTGAGATATTGGGCACCTGTAATCCCAGCTACTCGGGAGGCTGAGGCAGGAGAATCTCTTCAACCCGGGAGGCGGAGGTTGCGGTGAGCAGAGATCGGGCCATTGCACTCCAGCCTGGGTGATAGAGTGAGACTCTGTCTCAAAAAAGAAGAAGAACAGGTAAAGGAAATTCTCCGAACAGAAAAGAAAAGACAACAGGCGGGGCGTGGTGGCTCACACCTGTAATCCCAGCACTTTGGGAGGCCGAGGTGGGTGGATCACCTGAGGTCAGGAGTTCAAGACCAGCCTTGGGCAACATGGCGAAACCTTGTCTCTACTAAAATACAAAAAATTAGCCGGGCATGGTGGCGTGCGTGTGCTTTTAATCCCAGGTACTTGGGAGGCTGAGGCAGGGAGAATTGTTTGAACCTGGGAGGTGGAGGGAGGTTGCAGTGATCTGAGATTGCACCATTGTACTCCAGCCTGGGCAACAGAGCGAGACTCTGTCTCCAAAAAAAAAAAAAAGAAATGACAACAAACGAATGTTCAGGGAGGAAAGAAGATGGTAGAATGAGTAAGCACCGGTAAAGACACTAGGTTGGCCTTCTCATAAGTTTTTAAAATCATATTGGATGGTTGAAGCAAAATTATAACACTGTCTGATGTGGCACTAAGTATATATAGAAAATAGACAATTCCATTATTTTTTAATTTATTTTTATGTTTATCATTATTCTTTTATTTATTTATTTTTGAGATGGAATCTCGCTGTGTCGCCCAGGCTGGAGTGCAATGGCTTGATCTCAGCTCACTGCAACCTCGCCTCCTAGGTTCAAGCAATTCTCCTGCCTCAGCCTCCCGGGTAGCTGGGATTACAGGCGCCCACCACCACACCTGGCTAATTTTTGTATTTTTAGTAGGGATGGGGTTTCACCATGTTGGCCAGGCTGGTCTCGAACTCCTGGTCTCATGTGATCCGCCTACCTCGGCCTCCCAAAGTGCTGGTATGAAGGCGTGAGCCACAGCGCCCAGCCCCCCTTTAGCTGTTCTTTAAGGGTAGTTCTGCTAGTGAGAAATTCTTTTCATGTGCCTTGGTCTGTGAATTTTTTTTATTTCTCTTTGTTCCCGAAGGACATTTTCACTCCACATAGAATCCGTGGCTGATAGTTCTTTCGGCACGTGAGAAACACCAGACCACTTGTTTCTGGCCTCGGTGGTTTCCAATACAAAGCTATGTTCTTCCCCATAGGCAATGTGTTGTTTCTCTGCCAGCTTTCAAGGGTTTTTTCTTTGTCATTAGTTCCCAGAAGTTTAATCACGATGTGTGCGGCATAGATTTCTTTGGATTTCTCTTATTTGGGTTTTCTGAGTTTCTTGACTTTAGAGGTTTATGTCTTTGGCCAAATTTGGGAAGATTTTGTTGTTCATTCTTCACATATTTTTTTCAGCTCCATGCTCTTTCTCCTCTCCATCTTAAACATCAATGACACAAAATTTAGATTTTTATTTATTTATTTATTTTCGAGACAGAGTCTTGCTCTGTCACCTAGACTGGAGTGCAGTGGTGCAATCTCGGCTCACTGCAACCTCTGCCTCCTGGGTTCAAGTGAGTCTCCTGCCTCAGCCTCCCAAGTAGTTGGGATTACAGGCGCCTGCCACCATGCCTGGCTAATTTTTGTATTTTTAGTAGAGATGGGGTTTTGCCATGTTGATCAGGCTGGTCTCGAACTCCTGACCTCAGGTGATCTGCCCACCTTGGCCTCCCAGAGTGCTGGGATTAGAGGCAAGAGCCACTGTGCCCAGCTAATTTTTGTATTTTTAGTAGAGACAGGGTTTCACCATGTTGGCCAGGCTGGTCTCCAACTCCTGACCTCGGGTGATCTGCCCTCCTCAGCTTCCCAAAGTGCTGGGATTATAGGTGTGAGCCACCACGCCTGGCCTAGATTTTTAAAAATAGTCCCACAGGTCCCTGAGGCTATGTTCCATCAGTTTTTTTCAGTCTATTTTCCATCTTTTTTTCAGATTGGGTTACTTCTATTGTTCTGTCTTCCAGCTCATGGATTCTTTCCTCTGTCATATTCATGCTGCTATTGAGCCCATTCAGTGAGTTTTTTAGTTTGGTTTATTGTACTTTTCGACACTACAATTTCCATCTGGTTCTTTTTTCTTTTCTTTTCTTTCTTTATTTCTGAGACAGAGTCTCTCTCTGTTACCCAGGCTGGGGTACAGCGGTGCGATCATGACTCACTGCAGCCTCAGCCTCCCAGGCTCAAGCGATTCTGTTGCCTCAGCCGCCTACCCTCATTCCCCACACCCCGATTTCATTAAAAAAAAAAAACCAAAAACTTTTTTTCTCTATTTTTCAGTTGTTTCAAGATAGTTTGTAAATGCTTGTTGAAGCATTTTTGTGAGGGCTGCTTTACAATCATTTTCGGATAATCCGATACCTGATTTATCTCGGTGTTGGCATCGTTATTTGTCTTTTCTTAGTCAAGTTATGAGTCTCCCGGCTCCTGGTGTGATGCATGATTGTGGAATCGTCATCTGGACAGTTTGTATATCAGCAGCAGACTCTGAATCCTACTTAAACCTGCTATTTCAGCAGGCAGTCACCCTGTTGAGGTGCAGCACATCCTGGCCTACTTTTGTGGGTTGTGGTTCCTACAAGAATTGAGTTTATCTACTAGATCTGCTATTTAGGCGTCTACGTAATTAGGCTGCTGCTGCCGGTGGGGATAGAGGCGCCTCTCCAGGCTTCTCCGAGCTGTTAGGTGGGGAGTGGGCGGACCTGGTGCCAGCAAGTTCCGGCTCCGCCTCTGCAGATTCCCCTATGGGAGGGCTGTGGGGCTTCCCCCAGCTACTGGGGAGGCGTGGGGAGAGGCGAGGGGAGGAGAGGAGGCCCTAGGCCTGGACCCCCTTGCACCACTTTGGGTCAGGAGATACTGGGCCTGGACTGCCTTCCACTGCCGGGCGGGGATGGGAGGCTCCAGGCGGCCGCGCTTTTTCCAGTCCGCGGTCCCCACCGGCCGGTTCCCCTCTTCCCCCCACTTCGAGGCCTGCAATTGTCTGCTGTACTGGCTCCCAGTGCTGAAAGGTGTGTGTAGCTGGAGGAGCACGGAGAGATGAGTCCGTTCCATCTCCTCTTGAGCTAGAAGTCTCTGGTTTTACTTTTAATTTTTATTTCTGTACTTTTTTTTTTTTTTTTGAGATGGCGTCTCGCTCTGTCGCCCAGGCTGGAGGGCAGTGGCGCGATCTCGGCTCACTGCAAGCTCCGCCTCCCGCGTTCACGCCATTCTCCTGCCTCAGCTTCCCGAGTAGCTGGGACTACAGGCGCCCGCCACCACGCCCGGCTAATTTTTTTCTATTTTTTTTTTAGTAGAGACGGGGTTTCACCGTGTTAGCCAGGATGGTCTCGATCTCCTGACCTCGTGATCCGCCCGCCTCGGCCTCCCAAAGTGCTGGGATTACAGGCGTGAGCCACCGCGCCCGGCCTATTTATGTAATTATTTATTCTATGGATTTTAAAATAGCCTCATTGATAAAGAATTCACAGACATACCATGCAGTTTACTGTATACTTAAAATGGACAGGCCAGGTGCAGTGGCCCCTGCCTATAATCTCAGCACTTTGGGAGGCTGAGGAGAGCGAAGTGCTTGAGTCCAGGAGTTTGAGACCAGCCTGGGCAACAAAGCGAGACCCTGTCTCTACAAAAAAATTAAAAAAAAAAAAAAAAAAACAACTTAGCCGGGTGTGGTGGTGCGCATCCTTAGTCCCAGCTACTCAGGAGGCTGATATGGGAGGATCCCTTGAGCCCAGGAGTTCAAGGTTGCAGTGAGCTGTGATTACAGCAGCTGTGATTTACTCCAGCCTGGGTACCAGAGCAAGTCCCCGTCTCAAAAACAAGTTCAATGAAATGTTTCTAGTGTATTCACAGGGCTGTGCGGTCCTAACCATAGTCAGTTTTAGAACCTGTTCATCATCCCCAAAAGAAACCTCATACCCGTTAGCACTCACTCCGTTTCCCCTCCCTGAGACCCCGGCAACCTATTTGCTTATTCTGGGCATTTCATGTAAACGGAATCATTACAATATGTGATCTTTTGTGGCTGCGTCATGTTTTCAAGGGTTCTTCATGATGCAGCACATGTCAATACTTGGTTTTTACTGCCAAATTATATGCCATCTATGTATATGCCAGATTTATCCATTCATGACCTGTTTTCACTTTTCAGCTATTATGAGAAATACCACTGCGATGAGTCTTCACATACAAGTGTGTATGTGGACACATATTTTCATTTCTTGGGGATATGCCTCAGAGTGGACTTGCTGGGACCTATGGACGCTCTGTGTTCAGCATTTTGAAGCATTGCCCGACCGTTTTCTAAAGCAGGTGCACCATTTGACGGTCCCACCAGCAGCATGAGAGAGTTCCAGTGTCTCCACATCCTCGTCAACACTCACTACCTGACTTTTTGGGTCTAGCTCTCCAGGTGGGTGTGCAGTAGGATGTCATTGTGGTTTTGATTGGCAGTTCCCTGAGAGCTAATGATGATCATCTTTCGATGTGCTTATTGGCTATTTGTAGTTGTCTATTCAAGTCCTTTGTCCATTTTAAAATCAGGTTCTAGCTGAGCGCAGTGGCTCACACCTGTAATACTAGCACTTTGGGAGGCCGAGACGGGCGGATCATCTGAGGTCAGAGGTTCGAGATCAGCCTGGCCAACATGGCGAAACCCCGTCTCTACTAAAAATACAGAAATTAGCCAGGCGTGATGGTGTGCGCCTGTAATCCCAGCTACTTGGGAGGCTGAGGCAGGAGAAACACTTGAAGCCAGGAGGCAGAGGTTGCAGTGAGCCAAGATCGCGCCGCAGCACTCCAGCCTGGGCGACAGAGTGAGACTCCGTCTCAAAAAAAAAAAAAAATCAGGTTCTGTGTTTTTTGTTGTGGAGTTGAGGACTGTGGCTTTTATTCCCAGGGAGATGGGAAGCCAGTGGAAGGTGTTAAACGCAGGAGATGCTGTCACTTGGGCTGCTGTAGAGAGGAAGAGGCAGAGGGGTACAAGGGTGAAGCAGAGAGGTGGGTCAGGCTACTGGGATAATCCAGGTGAGAGGTGTTGAGGGAACAGAGGAGGCGGTGACACAGGGCTGGCTCTGGACTTATTTTGAAAGGGGAGCCGACAGGCTTTGCCAGCGGGTCAGACATGAGCAGTGCAGGAGTGCCTCTCACCTAGGAAGCCCGGAGTTGCCTTAGCTGAGAAAGTGGATTCATGTCCTATGGCTGCTATGACAAAGCGCCACAGCCTGGGGGGCTGAGAATGGCAGCAACTCACTCTCCCACAGCTCTGGAGGTCGGAAGCCCGAAGTCCAGGCATCAGCAGGACTGTGTTCCCTCTGAAACCCATAAAGAGGGGTCTTTCCTGCCTCTTTCGGCTTCTGGTGGCCGTCAATACTTTGCATTCCTTGGCTTGTGGCCACATTACTCTGCTCTGTCTCCATTGTCACATAGCTGTCTTTGCTCTGTGTGTCTGTGTCCCAATTTCTCTTCTTATAAGAATACCAGGTGCTTGCTTCAGCAGCACATACACTAAAATTGGAATGATACAGAGAAGGTTAGCAGATTGTGTAATTTAGAAAGGGATACCAGTCATTAGATTAGGGCCCAACTCAATGACCTCATCCTAACTTAATTATTATTATTATTATTATTTATTCTTTTTTTTCTTATGTCTTTTTTGTTGTTTTTTTTTTTGAGATGGAGTCTTGCTCTGTCGCCCAGGCTGGAGTGCAGTGGCACGATCTCAGCTCACTGCAAGCTCCACCTCCTGGGTTCACGCCATTCTCCTGCCTAAGCCTCCCAAGTATCTGGGACTACAGGCACCCATCACCACGCCTGGCTATATTTGTGTATTTTTAGTACAGACAGGTTTTCACCGTGTTAGCCAGGATGGTCTCCATCTGCTGACCTCGTGATCTGCCTGCCTTGGCCTCCCAAAGTGCTGGGATTACAGGCTTGAGCCACTACACCCGGCCTATTATTTATTCTTATTTATTTATTTATTTTTTGCCACTACACCCGGCCTATTATTTATTCTTATTTATTTATTTATTTTTTGAGATGGAGTCTTACTCTATTGCCCAGGCTGGAGTGCAGTGGCGCAATCTCTGCTCATTGCAACCTCCGCCTCCCAGGTTCAAGTGATACCCCTGCCTCAGCCTTGTGAGTAGCTAGGACTACAGGCATGCGCCACCATGCCCAGCTAATTTTTGTATTTTTAGTAGAGTCGGGGTTTCACCACGTTGGTCAGGCTGGTCTCAAACTCCTGACCTCAGGTGATCCGCCCGCCTCAGCCTCCCAAAGTGCTGGGATTACAGGCGTGAGCCACTGCACCTGGCCTCATCCTAACTTTATATCTGCAAAGACCCTATTTCCAAATTAGCTCATATTCCCAGGTACTGTGCTTAGGACTTCACCATACCTTTTGCAGGGGGGACACAATTCAACCCATAACCGAGGAAGGAGACAGCAGAGAAGTTTGGGGATGAAGACCAAAAGCTGAGTGCCAGATACGTTGAGTTCGAGATGCCTACAGGACATCCTGGAGGAGAGGCTGAGAAGGCAGCTAGATGTTGGAGCTGTCAAAGCATACTTTTTAAAAAGTTAGAAACAGGGCCAGGCGCGGTGGCTCACGCGTGTAATCCCAGCACTTTGGCAGGCCGAGGTGGGCGGATCACGAGGTCAGGAGATCGAGACCATCCTGGCTAACATGGTGAAACCCCTTCTCTACTAAAAATACAAAAAAAAAAAAAAAAATTAGCCGGGCGTGGTGGTGGGTGCCTGTAGTCCCAGCTACTTGGGAGGCTGAGGCAGGAGAATGGCATGAACCTGGGAGGTGGAGTTTGCTGTGAGCTGAGATCGCGCCACTGCACTCCAGCCTGGGTGACAGAGCGAGACTCCGTCTTAAAAAAAAAAAAAGTTAAAAACATGACTCATACAACTCTAAAGTGAAGACGTGTCAAAGATTTATTTTAATCATTAATGAGGAAACCAGCATGATGGTGAGGCTGGTTCAAAAGATTGGAGAGAAGGAAGTATTTGTAGTGACTTAAAAAAGTTTGAGTAATTCTGCTTATTTAGATTTTTAAAAAAACTGGTTAATGTTCTACAGGGCCATAAACCGCAACCTTTTCTTTTTTTCTTTTCTTTTTTTTTTGAGATGGAGTCTTGTTCTGTCGCCCGGGCTGGAGTGCAATAGCTTGATCTCAGCTCACTGCAACCTCCGCCTCCCAGGTTCAAGCAATTCTCCTGCCTCAGCCTCCTGAGTAGCTGGGATTACAGGCGCCCACCACCACGCCCGGCTGATTTTTGTATTTTTAGTAGAGACAAGGGTTCACCATGTTGGCCAGGCTGGTCTCGAACTCCTGACCTCAGGTGATCCTCCCACCTTGGCCTCCCAAAGTGCTGGGATTACAGGCGTGAGCCACTGCGCCCAGTCAAACTGCAACCTTTTTTACTGTAATCTTTTCCACTGGACAGAAATAATTTCTATCACTCACTACTGGGCAAAATTTATTTGCATTGCTGTCAGAGAGGAATAATTTTACTTAGCCATCTATCTTCAACAAATTAAAGTCTACCCTTGCTGAGTTGTAAAATATCGTAATCAATAGTATATAGCAAGTTAAGCAGGCGCACACTCCAGAGGATCCGAAAATCTGCCTGGCAGGCTTGCTCAGGAACATAGCCTGCCACTGAATGGACACACTCATTTTGGGGTGTCTAATCCTTAATCTGGGACATTTTTATTAGCTCCCTCTTGGGATGATAAATAATCTCCGAAGGTTATTCTTGACCACAGAAAGCTAGTCTTGCATTCTGACCTAATTCATCTACACAGGTGCTGCAAGAAGTGGTAATTACCACGCACGAGTGTCCTTGTTAGGTGACACATGTAAACCAGATGGCGTTATGCAATGACCAAGCCGGAAAATCAACTTCTGTCTGGACGTGTCATCATAAGGAATGTAGGACTGAGCCTACATCACACCTGAGATTTTTTGTTTTTTAATTTCTCTTATTTGCTCTTCTGTTCCTAGGCCAGGAAGCCGAACCAAATCCACCTCCCTCAGGTGTGCCCGCGGGACCTGTGTGTGTGCAAGTTTCTATCTTCCAGAAGGTTCCAGTGTCTGCCATGGCTCTTGGCCTGCCAGGAAGTATCCTTCTTACTACTTGTGAGGCTGAGGCTTTGTGTGCCAGAGTACAGGTGCCCGGCCAGTATGGGTCTGAGGGTTGTGTGGGCATTGGTTCAGCACACAAGCCACAACCCTTGTTCCTTAAAGGTGGGCGTGTTGTGGAAGCACAGGAAAGTTATTCTCAAATATGACACCCATGTAAGGCCTGGGCTCCACTATTAATTTGTCTGATTATATCCTGGTGACAAGGAGGACAAATTTCTACTGCAACAATGCAAATTACTACGTTTTTATTAAAAGTAAATGTCAGTAAAACTATTTTTCCTGAATTCTGAAGTGAGAAAAACACCATTTAAAGAACGTTTTAATGTTTGTGAAAGGATAGTCTCCTAAAGTAGATTGTTGCAGATACCGGGTAAAAATAAAAATTAAATAAATTAAAGGTGAGATAGATCAAAGAAGAAGGGTTTTGTCTTATTCCTGCCAGAAACAGAATATCAGAAACAACATGAGCATCCTCCTCCTTGCCTTTTCTTGGGCTGTGCTTTCAGCCTGCAGATATAACCATTCTGGAGAGCAGTGATGCCCCCAGAACCGCATTTTTGGCTGGTGCAAAATGGGGGGCAGTGGTTGTGTCTGGGGCCAAGTTTCTGTCCTGTATAGCCTAGAGATGGTTATGTAGCGGGGGACTGAGCTACTAAGTGAAGGCATAGATAGTTATGTAGAAACAGAGGAGGGTAGAATCAACTCCATGCTAGATTGTAACTGGAGGTACAGGTATCAGTATGAACTCAAGGTTTGCTAAGAGGTATCAGAAAAGATATGGGTGTGTGTGTGTGTGTGTGTGTGTGTGTGTGTGTGTGTGTGTGTGTGTTTGTACATACTTATTTCCTAGCTCTGTCTGCTGAGTGTAAATGGAATCATATTCTGTAATCTTTTGAGATTTCTTTCTTCCATTTAAAATTATGTGTTTGAGATTTGGCCGTGTTGGTGGTGGAATTCATTCATTTCTGTTGCTGTGTGCTATTCCATTGCGTGGATACACCTCACTTTGTCCATTTTACCGTCCTTTGATATTTAAGATTTCTCCCAGTATTTGCTATTAAAAACAGCGTTAAAATAAAAAAAAAAAAACACCAAAAACAGTGTTGCTCTGAACATTCATGCACATGCTTCCTGATGAACAAGTTTCTTTTTTTCTTTTCTTTTTTTTTTTTTTTTTTTAGATGGAGTCTTGCTCTGTTGCCCAGGCTGGAGTGCAGTGGCGCAATCTCTGCTCACTGCAAACTCTGCCTCCTGGGTTCACACCATTCTCCTGCCTCAGCCTCCTGGCTAATTTTTTGTATTTTTAGTAGAGATGGGGTTTCACCGTGTTAGCCAGGATGGTCTCAATCTCCTGACCTCATGATCTGCCTGCCTCAGCCTCCCAAACTGCTGGGATTACAGGCGTGAGCCACGGCGCCCGGCCCTGATGAACAGGTTTCTTAGGCACACACCCAGGCACGGAATGCACCTAGGAATACAAATTGACTTAACCCTACAGCCGGGAATGGGTATGCACACTGGGGGAGCTTGCATCTTCTCAAAGTGGCCACAACAACTTCTCCCATACAGCATGCTTCTCTTAAAATGTGATGATAACACATGTCCCAAGAGGTGGGGTCTGTATTCTCCCTAACTCTTGAATCTGGACAGGCTTGTCCCTATGGCAGAAGTGATGCGTGTGACTTCAGAAGCTAGGATGTGAAAAGTGATACAGGTCCCACCTGCTTCTCTTGAGACCCTTGCTCCTGCAGCATGGCTACTATTCCATGAGGATGTTCCCAAGGCCCTCAGCCCAGAGCCTGGATCAAGGTCCCAGCCACGTGAGTGCACCATCTTGGAAGTGGCTCCTCCAGCCCCTAGTGGAGGTGCCCCAGATAAGGATGCAGGAAGTAGTCTAGTTGTACCTGCTGAATCCTGCCCAAATAGCAGATGTGTGAACAAAAGGAATGACTGCTGTTTTGAGCTACAAAGTTTTGGGGGTGGTTTGTTTTGCAGCAAGAGGTAACTGATAAACATGTCCACTTTCACTGGGTAACGCCTTATGACCAAGATATTTACCAAATAATTGTCCCACTCGACATTCTGGCCAGCAGGGTATTGCTCTGCCATCTTGCCATCGCTGAGTATTGCCACATATGAACGCTGGTGCCTATTTGGTGTGTATTTTGTTTGCATTTCCAAATTTACTAGTAAGATGATTGGCCTTTCCATGTTCTCTGCAAGAAGCCTGATTATGACATGGGTTTCTTTGTTGATTTGGGTTTTGTGCATCATTTTGTTGGCTTGTTTGTCTCTTTCTAATGGATCTGAAGGGGTTCTCTATATATTCTAAATACTAATCATCTGCAAGGTGTACATATCTTTTAGTTTTTCATTCTTCAGTCTCTTTATGGTGCCTTTTGAGGAACAAACATATGATAATTTCCATCCTTTCATTTACGAAATGGAGTCTTGCTCTGTCACTCAGGCTGGAGTGCAGTGGGGCAATCTTGCCTCACTGCAACCTCAGCCTCCTGGGTTCAAGTGATTCTCCTGCCTCAGCCTCCTGAGTAGCTGGGATTACAGGCACGTGCCCCCATGCCTGGCTAATTTTTCTATTTTTAGTAGAGATGGGGTTTCACTATGTTGGTCAGGTCTTGAACTCCTGACCTCAGGTGATGCACCTGCCTCGGTCTCCCAAAGTGTTGGGATTACAGGCATGAGCCACTGTGCCTGGCCCCATCGTTTTATTTTTCATCTGTTATTTTTCAGGTGAATTTCTTGTAAGAATATTTCACCATATTTATATTCCATTCAGAGAGGTTGTCTTTTAATAGATGCATTTAATCCAATCACATTCCTCTGATTACTCAAATGTTTGAACTTAGTTCTGCCAACTCATATTATGTTCTGTATTTATCATGATTTTATCTTTTACTCATTCCTGTTTTTTTTTTGTTGTTGCTGCTGTCGTTTTTCATTTCGCTTTTTCCTCAGCTGTTCTGAAAGTGGTAAATTCTTTTTCCACCATTCTTGTGGAAACTTTCTGATAGTTAAAACTTTTTTTTTTTGTTTTTTTGAGATGGAGTTTTGCTCTTGTTGCCCAGGCTGGAGTGCAATGGCACCATCTCAGCTCACTGTAACCTCCACCTCCCAGTTTCAACCAATTCTCCTGCCTCAGCCTCCCAAGTAGTGGGATTACAGGCATGCGCCGCCACGCCCGGCTAATTTTTTTTTTTTTGTATTTTTAGTAGAGATGGGGTTTCTCCATGTTGATCAGGCTGGTCTTGAACTCCCGACCTCAGGTAGTCTGCCCGCCTCGGCCTCCCAAAGTGCTGGGATTACAGGTGTGAGCCACCATGCCCAGCTAAAATTTTTAACCTTTTTTTCTATCGATTCTAAAATCCTCGAACCAAACAATACAAGAGCTTTCGTGCACTTTCACTTCCTTCTGCGCCCCGCCTTACCATGTGTCATGTTGAGTTCATCCGGGATTTCTCTCAGGTTGATTTTCTTTTAACGGACCAGACTGATTTACTTGCTGGCATCCACGTCTTACTCTTGGGTCCACTTTTCACTTTGTTAAGGTATTTCTTCTAGTACTTTTACAGACTGCGTGTGTGGTAAATGTGGATGTTAACCGGCGGTGAAGACACCTTTATTTTGCTGTCTCACTGGAACGCTAGTTTCACTGTGTATGAGTTACGGTTCAATTCTCTTAGTATTTTGGCAACCCCTCCTCTGTAGGATGAGTCTGAATTCTAAAGAAGATCCTCTCCGAAGGCCTTCCTGAGTATCCCTGTGACATGCCTACGTTCGAGGCTTTGTTCTTCACTCCTCTGAGCATCACCTGCATTGTCTGAGAGGCCACTGTCCCCGTCTCCTCTTCTGTGAAGGGTTTCGTGTCTTTTCATCTTCTCTTTCATGAGACTGTGTCTTACTTTTGCTCTGTGTTGTGGAGAACCTCCAGCTTGGTTTCCATCTGGCTTCCCTGAGGTGGAGGAGAGAAGCGTTCGGGCTCAGCTTGCTTGTTTGGCCACAGGTAAACAGACATCTGTAGAATGGAGGTGACACGAAGCTCCTGGGTCTGGTGCAGAAGAGGTCAGGGCCCCAGTGGCCTGTACCCCCTAAGCTCAAGGGTGTGTCTGCAGGGAGTCCTAGATCAGGACTGACCACTGGGGCCTTGGCTGGGGTCCTACCTGCCCTTGAGTCGTCACGTCACAACCCACACACTGGGTGCCATGGGCATGAGGACTGGCCAGGAAAAGGCCTGTGGGGCCTGGCCCCTATCAGGGACACTTGGGCGAACAAGGCCACCCCACTCCCAATAAGGTGTTTGGTGCAGTGCCCCGAGCAGTGGGGCCGCTCGGCTGCCCCCGTGGGGACGGTCTGTCCCAGGGTGGACAGCTGCTCTTCCTGAGGGGCCTGCCTGGATGCCACAGGCTGTGCTGCTGGAACCCAGGGATTCCACAGCACCATCGTCCTGATCACAAATTCTCAAGGAAACCAAGGAGCTCCTGCCTCACCTTAAAACATTTGGGATTTAATCTTGGAGTGAAAATTGTTATGACCCCACTGAATTTTAGAGTTTACACAAAAGGCCAAAGTGAAGGCAGAGACTCAGGCCTCTCAACTCCCACCCGCAGGGGCCTTTTCTTGCAACCTTAAAGGGCATCTGCTTCACGCCGGCCTCGGCAGGGCCCTCACACTGGCAGGACTACTTGCACACCGGGCCTGACACTCACTAGGGGAGGCTCCCCAGCCCGGCTGCACCACCCACCTCTACCTAGTCGCGTGTCCCGGCCAGTGCCCTTTCCACTCCCACCCAGTGCCCCCGCAGGGCCCCCTCTGTCCTCTTAGGGACCTCCACTCCCGGACCAATAGCCTCCTGCCTCAGGGCCCCCCACTCATGGGCCAATCGCCCCCTGCCTCAGGCCTCCCCCCACTCGTGGGCCAATCGCCCCCTGCCTCAGGCCCCCACCAACTCGTGGGCCAATCGCCCCCTGCCTCAGGGCCCCCCATTCCTGGGCCAATGGCCTTCTGCCTCAGGGACTCCCACTCTCAGCTGGTCCCCCCCGCCTCAGGGACCCCCACTCCTGGCCGTTCCCCCGTCAGGGCCCCCGACTGGCGGCTGCTCCCCCATCCTGCCTCGGGGCCCCCCACTCCCGGGCCAATGTCCTTCTGCCTCAGGTACCCCCACTCCCGGCCCGTCCCCCCGCCTGTGGGCCCCCCACTCCAGGCCGGTGGTAGCCCCTGCCTCAGAGCCGCCCACTCCTGGGCCATCTCCTGCCTCAGCGACCCCACTCCTGGGCCAATGCCCTTCTGCCTCAGGGACCCCCACTCCCAGCCGGTACCCCCCTGCTTCAAAGCCCCCGACTCCCGGCTGCTCCCCACCTGCCTCGGGGCCCCCCACTCCTAGGCCTACGTCCCCCTGCCTCAGGGCCCCTCATTCTCCATCCTCCTGACCCCCTCAGGGACCTTCTGGCCCGGTCCTCCCTAACTCAAGGGCCCCCACTCTCCATCCTCCCGACCCCCCACTCCCAGCCCGGTCCCCGCCGCCTCAGGGCCCCCTTTGGCCCCCGCTCCTCGCGGCGCCCCCTCCCCCGCGCGCGGCCGAGGCAGCGGAGTCCGCGCGTCATGGCGGCGGCGGGCGGGGCGCGTCTCGCACGCAGCGCGCCGGGCGGAGCGCTCGCCGCATTGTTTGCTTCGCTGGGGAGCGAGCGAGCGACCCGGCCCTGGAGTCCGAGCCAGCCCCGCGTCCCGCGCCCGCCGCCCGCCGCCCGCTCCCGCGCCCGCGCCCGCGCCCGCCGGCCGGGCCCCCCGAGCCGGGCCTCCAGCTGGGCCCCGAGCCCGAGCCCGCGCCGCGCGAGCCGCTGCCCGAGAGTCCGCGGCCGCCGCTGCCGGGCCCGGAGCCGCCGCGGCCGAGAGGGGCCCGCGCCCAGGAGCGGCGGCGGGGCCCGGCCTGCGCGGCCGTTGGCGGAGGAGCCGCGGGCGCCATTAGCACCGCCTCGGCCGCGCCGGCCCCCGCGCCCGCCCGCTTGCCGGGCTCCCGCGGCCGCGGCGCCCCGAAGGTGAGTGGGCGGGGGCCTGGCCGGGGAGGCCTCCCCGCCGCCTCGCGGGCCGCCCGGCCGCCGCCGCCGCCTCGGCCCGGCCTCTCGGGGTTGTGGTGCCGACGCCATGTTTGGCGGCGGCGGCGGCGGCGGCGGCTCCGCATTGTCTGCGGGCCGGGAGCCCGGGATGCCGGGGAGGCCGGGCGGGGAGACCGGGGAGGTCGGGCCGGGCGGCCGGGGAGACGGGCGGGAAGACGGGGAGGCCGGGCGGGGAGACCGGGTAGGTCAGGCCGGGGAGTCGAGGGAGGCCGAGTCGGGCTGTGGGTCTCGGCGGCCTGGGCCGCGGGCGCCTGCCCGGAGTCCGCGCTCGAGTCGGGTCGGGCCTCGGGCAGCCGCCGAGCCGGCCGGGCCGCCCCTTATGTAACAGACAGGCCCGCCGAGCTCTGCCAAGACGGGAACTCCCTGTGAGCAGGGACGCGCCCCGAGATCGCCCAGGAGCCGCGCGGCCTGCGGCGGCCGGGCTTGGGAACCGGCACCGCGGCCTCCCCGGGCGTTTGCAGGGAGACGCCTCGCGACGAACGCGAGGCTTCCCCGGGCCTTTTAAAACGAGTGACACGATTGAGGCGCAGTTCACGGGAAACGCGGCTCTTGTGAGCGGACGCGGGAGTTCTGAGAATCCGTAGCAGCGGGACCCCCTGCCCCGCGGGGTGCGGCCCCGTCTCCCCAGAAAGCGCGGCCGCCCGTGTCTGTTTTTGAGGGTCTGTCGCCAGGTGGTTGTGTAGTTAGTGGAATCGGCGGATGTTTTTGTTTGGCCGGCCCAGCGCCGTCCCGAGTGCTGTGTGCTGCACACAACTTCGCACAGCTCAGCGGCCGCGGCCCCTGTGGCCTTGACCGAGAGGCCCGGCGCGTGGCCGGCTTCTCCCTGGGCGGGCGGTGGGAAGATGGAAGCGGCCGTCTTGTGGGCAGCCTTCCCCGCCTGTGGCCCGCAGGGCTCTTCGATGTACTTAAGGGAATTATTCCTTGAGAAGCTACGTGTGTGCCCCCGCGGATCCCTCCCAGTGGAAATGCTTGTCCCAGTGGAAGGGCCAGGGACAGAACCGGCCCAGGGGGGAAGCGGTGAAGCAGAGGAGGTCGTGGGTCGCCCTGCCCTGCTGAGGGCCTACTTTCCCCGGGTCCCAGTTGCATGTTGAGGGTATGGAGCTGCTGTGGCCGTGAAGCCTTCGGTTCAGTTCTCCCCTTGTAGAAAGTGTTGCGATGAAGAGCTTCACGGCTCCCTGGGAGAGAGTGGGTTTCCAGGGGCTGCTTGTCGTTAGGGCGACTCAGGACTTTGCTGTCGAGGGGAAAATGACAGGTTCGTTTCTGATCTGGTGAGTAACCAACTGTTGCTTCTGCCCCACCTCAGTAATGACGCGTGTCGGCGTCCCGGGTGCACTAGGGTCGCTCTCTGCAGGCTGTGGTGTCACCTCTGCAGGGCTCACGGGGCCGGCTGGGGGGTGGCTGTGCTGACAGCTCCCCAGGAATCCAGGGTTGAGTGGGTACCTGGAGGCCCTGGAGATGCAGGGGGTCTGAGGTTTGGCCGACCACATTTTCTCTCCTATTCCTTTCTGTAGGTAATTGCAATCTAGTTTCAACATACAATGAGGATTTCTGTCTGATACAGAGAAAGATACCCAGTGTCTGGAGGGTCTGTCTTAAGAAGTGCTCTTGAAGTCTGCTGGGATTTCCTTTCGGGACTCACAGAGGGAAGCCTGCTCCCTGAGGGCTTTTTCTCAGGCCCAATAGATCAGGGTAAGGCTGCTGTGGGTGCCCCTGATCCCCCTGGGCCCCGAGGCCAGGCGTCCCTGACGTGGCAGGGCTAGATGCAGAGTATGCCTTGGGCTTCAGCTGAGAATATTTGTTTTGCGAGTCAGTCACTGAAAAATCATTTTGCTTCCTGTCAGTGAAGTGTGGCGCTTTGGAGGGAGGCACTGCCCAGCAGGCGGTGGTCTTCACAGGAGGTGTCCACACACCAGGCACCCTGGGGACAGCTAGGAATAGACGCAGTCCGTGGTGTTGGGACAGCAGAGGCCTCTGCCACGAGGAGCTGGAGGTATGGGAGGCAGCTCACTGGTTTTGCCTACCTCTGGAAAAGCAGATTCTCCTAAGCCTCTGTGGCCAAGTCTTCAGGCACCTGAGCCAGCGCTGGCGACCCTCCTGGTGAGGGTCTCTGCAAGCAGCGAGGGGTTCCTGGGGGTCACCCCTCGCTGTGGAGCCTGAGTGGAGCGTCTGCCTTCACGTGTGCCGGGGAGAACAGAGATTCCCTTTGGCGTCATGCATGTGTCTGGATTCTCTCAGAAAGGAGGAGGACGTGGAAGGAGGAGGACGTGGCCAGCACCATGGTCTCAGTGGGGCTTGAGGAGTGCCCCTGAGGGGAAGGGGCAGGTTGGCTCAGCCTGTGGTGGTTTCCATGGTGGTCACTGCCAAGGCTCTGCAGAAGCGGGGTTGGGGCCTCCCAGGGGCCAAGACTGTCCCCTCAGACCAGTACAGGGCTCCCCTGTTGGTCCCCTGTGCCGTGTTGTGCGTGTGGAGGGCCTGTCTATAGAGGATGGACAGGCTGTGATCTGTCTCCTACCCCTGGCCCCAGCAGGAATGCTGCAAGGACTGTGGTGACTCTGGGCTCATGGGAGTGCTCTCCTGGGAGTAGTGGGGAGGGGAAGAGTGGTTTAGGGGGAGCATCCGATAGGACCAGGTAGCCACTGAGCATGCCTGTCTGGTGGGCATAGCCTCTGTGCCTGGTGGGGTCCAGCCCTGTATGTGGACTTCCTGGGGGACCGCCTGCATGCTGGGAAAGTCCTGCAACTGTGGGCTCTGGGCCGGACCCCTCCTCCTTGGGGAGCGTTGCTGTGGTCTCCGCAGCCTGTTGGTGTGGTCTGAGAGGGGACTGGTGTGTGGTGGTAGGGACGCAGGTGCTCAGGAGGGCTCCTCAGGCTGCCTCTCTGCCTGTTACTGCTGCTCCCTCCCTGGTCCTGGGGACTCGCTCAGGCCTGGATGTGTGGTTTTGGACACCTTGGAAAGAGGTTAGCTGTGAGTTTTGCTTTGATTGGGCTTTGAGCTGCTGAGCTAGATCTGTCCAAGCATGCTTTTGTGGTTTTCTCGAGTCTTTGGTCACCCTGCGTAGAATTACCTTTACTTTTGCCTTCATTTTAGGTAATCATTACCAAATGAGGAGGAAAGGACGATGTCATCGAGGCTCTGCAGCGAGGCATCCTTCTTCCCCATGCAGTGTTAAACACTCCCCTACGCGAGAAACGCTGACCTACGCTCAAGCTCAAAGGATGGTAGAGATAGAAATTGAAGGGCGCTTGCACAGGATCAGTATTTTTGATCCCCTGGAGATCATATTGGAAGATGACCTCACTGCTCAAGAGATGAGTGAGTGCAACAGCAACAAGGAAAACAGCGAGCGGCCTCCTGTCTGCTTAAGAACTAAGCGTCACAAAAACAACAGAGTCAAAAAGAAAAACGAGGCCCTCCCCAGCGCCCACGGCACGCCGGCCTCGGCCAGTGCCCTCCCGGAGCCCAAGGTGCGCATCGTGGAGTACAGCCCTCCGTCCGCCCCCAGGAGGCCTCCTGTGTACTACAAGTTCATCGAGAAGTCGGCCGAGGAACTGGACAACGAGGTGGAGTATGACATGGACGAGGAGGACTATGCCTGGCTGGAGATCGTCAATGAGAAGCGCAAGGGCGACTGCGTCCCCGCCGTGTCGCAGAGCATGTTTGAGTTCCTGATGGACCGCTTCGAGAAGGAGTCGCACTGCGAGAACCAGAAGCAGGGCGAGCAGCAGTCTCTGATCGACGAGGACGCCGTGTGCTGCATCTGCATGGACGGGGAGTGTCAGAACAGCAACGTGATCCTCTTCTGCGACATGTGCAACCTGGCCGTGCACCAGGAGTGCTACGGGGTGCCCTACATCCCCGAGGGCCAGTGGCTCTGCCGCCACTGCCTGCAGTCGCGGGCCCGGCCCGCCGACTGTGTGCTGTGCCCCAACAAGGGTGGTGCCTTCAAAAAGACAGATGACGACCGCTGGGGTCACGTGGTGTGTGCCCTGTGGATCCCAGAGGTCGGCTTTGCCAACACGGTGTTCATCGAGCCCATCGATGGGGTGAGGAACATCCCTCCAGCCCGGTGGAAACTGACATGCTACCTCTGTAAGCAGAAGGGCGTGGGTGCCTGCATCCAGTGCCACAAAGCAAACTGCTACACAGCATTCCATGTGACGTGTGCCCAGAAGGCTGGCCTGTACATGAAAATGGAGCCCGTGAAGGAACTGACTGGCGGTGGCACCACCTTCTCCGTCAGAAAGACCGCTTACTGTGATGTCCACACGCCTCCAGGCTGCACCCGGAGGCCTCTGAATATTTACGGGGATGTCGAAATGAAAAATGGCGTCTGTCGAAAAGAGAGCTCGGTTAAAACGGTCAGGTCCACATCCAAGGTCAGGAAGAAGGCAAAAAAGGCTAAGAAAGCTCTGGCTGAGCCCTGCGCGGTCCTGCCGACCGTGTGCGCTCCTTATATTCCCCCGCAGAGGTAAGCGTGTCCAAGCATTGAGTCCACAAGGAGCCTGCAGTGTGGGACCCTGGGAGGACGTGGGCACAGCCTGCAGGGCCCGTGCTGTGTGGTCATTGCGTTTCTAGTTGGCGCAGCTTCCTAATATTCCCCTGAAGTGTGGTTCTGCTTGTTTACCACGTCTTTTTGGGGAATAGATGTTGTAAAAGATTTTAGTCTGTAGGCTTGGAATAATCTGTAGTTTTCTATGTTTTTTTTTTTGGAGACGGAGTTTTACTCTGTCGCCCAGGCTGGAGTATAGTGGCGCAATCTCAGCTCACTGCAACCCCCGCCTCCTGGGTTCAAGCAATTCTCCTGCCTCAGACTCCTGAGTAGCTGGGACTGCAGGCGTGCGCCACCATGCCCGACAAATTTTTGTATTTTTTAAGTAGAGACGGGGTTTCACCATGTTGGCTAGGCTGGTCTCAAACGCCTGACCTCAAGTGATCTGCCCGCCTTGGCTTCCCAAAGTGCTGGAATTACAGCACTTGCTCAGCCTTTTTTTTTTTTAAATAGGGTTTTGCTCTGTTGCCCAGGCTGGAGTGTAGTGGCACGATTTCAGCTCTCTGCAACCTCTGCTGCCAGGTTCCAGCAATTCTTGTGTCTCAGCCTCCTGAGTAGCTGGGACTACAGGCGTGTGCTCCCATGCCCAGCTAATTTTGTATTTTTAGTAGAGGCGGGGTTTCACCATGTTGCCCAGGGTGGTCTGGAACTCCTGAGCTCAGGCAGTCTGCCTGCCTCTGCATCCCAAAGTGCTAGGACTATAGGCGTGAGCCACCATGCCCAGCCGTGCGTGAAGATTTTTAAGAATTTCAGTGACTAAACTTTAAGAAGGAATGAAGCCCACGCAGGAACTCTGTATGACTTTCAACCCGAGGGGCTCTGGCCTGGGCTTCCCAGTGACTGCCGGCATCGGGACATCCACTGCTGTGGCCTTGGCCCCGTTTCCCGTGCTGTGCCCCCCACTTGCTGCAGATGCCCTGAGGAAAGGGTGGCCAAACAAGGGGAGGAGCTGTGAGCACAGATGGGGCCTGCCGGTCAACAGGGCGGGTAGAGCCAGCCTGGTGCTGAGCTTGCAGCTTGGCTGGGGGAGACGCCTAGAGCCCCAGTACCACACAGACCCTCCAGGACTGCCGGGGGTCAGTGAGCAGGACCCTCTGAGGTGTCAGACCTGCCCCACATGTGAGGGGAGGACAGCACAGGTGGGACGCATGCAGGCTGAGCTGCATCGGGCGGTGAGGCTGGGAGGTTGCAGTGAGCTAAGATTGTGCTACTGTACCGCAGCCTGCGTGACAGAGTGAAACTGTGTCTCAAAAAAAAAAAAAGAAGTTTTAAGTGATTTTTGTTAATATTACTCTACTTTACCAAAGTGAAGTCCAGTTTCTTTTCACAGAGCTGTAAATACTCAGATAATTAGTCAATTCAGACAGAATGAACAAAAAATGCTCATAATCCTTCCCATCCAGGGAAAACCCTGTCAAAACCAAGGTGTTTGTCTTTGTAAATTAATCTGACTTTGAAGAGATGGTTTTGCTTGGATTTCTACCTATGAGTCAAAAAGTCTAGGGTTTGTATTAAGAGCTTCTGTATAAGAGGTCTAAAAATTTCAGCTTTACTGAAATTGAAGCAAAATAAACAAAATGTGATCTAACAAAATGAAGAGCCAAAAGTCTGAAGTGCTCCCTTCCCTGGCCAGTACCAGATGATGACCTGCTCTGGGAGAGGCCGGGCCTGGCCGGGCCGCACGCTCTCTGTTCTTTGGCTCCTGATGTTGGGTAGGCAGGACTGAAGGAGGCAGTGTTTGCATGCAGGACATGGGGGCTGAAGTGGCCAGGGCTGATTGAGAAGAAAACTCGACCTAAATATTTGAAAGCATGTATTGGAGCTAAACCGCGTACTGTGTGGTTCTGTTCTTTTCCTAACTTGGGAATAAACTATTATTTCAGCTTCGAGTAGAGAGAGAGAAACAAACCTGGACGAGTGTTCCTGGCCGCGGTCTCTGCAGTCTGGGTTTCCCAGTCTCCAGGAGATGCTGGTGCTTCAGGCCACCTTGCCACCAGTGGAGGAGCTCCCAGTGCGCCTGGCCTGTTGGCACCATGGTGCTGGACCCACCTCTGGGGTGGTTGTGAGGGGCAGGCTCTCAATACAGTACTGACTGCTGCCTGAAACCGGGTTTACTGCCTTGCTGTGGTCTGAGAGGCAGCTGATCTGGCAGCCCTGTTCTTAGGCCCTGGGCACTACCCCTGGGTGCATGTAGGAGGCCTCAGCTGTGCATTTGAATTCTGTGTAGATGAGGGTGAAGCTTCTTATTTTTTATTTTATGTTTAGAGACAGGGTCTTGTTCTGTTGCCCACGTTGGAGTGCAGTGGCGTGATCATGGCTTACAGTAGCCTCAAACTCTTGGACTCAAGCGATCTTCCCGCCTCAGCCTCCTCCCAGCCTCAGCTGGGAATACAGGCACGAGCCACTGTGCCTGGCCCATGGTGAAGCTTCTTGATGTGCAGCCGTGGGCGGGGATGCTGAGTCTAGTTGGTTATGGTGTGCACTAACCAATGGCTCCGGTGTAGGACCCACCTAGAGCATCTGAGGATGTTATGCTTCAGGCCAGCCAGTCACGCTGGAAGGGAGATGAGACCCCATCTGAGCAGCGTTTTAGAGATTTTAGAGAAAGAGGATCTTCCTTATTCCCTGTGGACAGAACAGAATCTGCCTTCAGGGACGGACTGCTTTTATAATTCTAGTGGTTTAAAAAATTAAAATTTCAAGTAAAAAAGATAGTTCTTTTTTTTCCCCCCTTTTTTTTGAGGTGGAGTCTTGCTTTGTTGCCCAGGCTGCAGTGCAGTGCGGTGATCTTGGCTCACTGCAACCTCCACCTCCTGGGTTCAAGTGATTCTCCTGCCTCAGCCTCCTGAGTAGCTAGGATTACAGGCACCTGCCACCACACCCGGCCGATTTTTGTATTTTTAGTAGAGACGGGGTTTCACCATGTTGGCCAGGCTGGTCTTGAACTGCTGACCTCAGGTGATCCACCCGCCTCGAACTCCCAAAGTGCTGGGATTACAGGCGTGAGCCACTGCGCCAGGCTAAAAGAGATAGTTTTAAGGTTATAATCTGTTTTTTTGTAAGTTTGATATACTATGATTAAATAATAACAGCGGTAAATAAACACTTTGAAAAACAGGCAGGGCTGGGTGTGTGGCTCACACCTGTAATGCCAGCACTTTGGGAGGCCGAGGTGGGTAGATCACGAGGTCAGGAGTTCGAGACCAGCCTGGCTAACATGGTGAAAACCCATCTGTACTAAAAATATAAAAATTAGCCAGGCGTGGTGGTGCGCGCCTGTAATCCCAGCTATTCAGGAGGCTGAGGCAGGAGAATCTCCTGAACAGAGTCCTGCTCTTCTGCTCAGACGGGTGCAGTGGCATGGTTATGGCTCACTACAGCCTCGACCTCCTGGGCTCAAGCGACTCCCCCACCTCAGCCTCTTGAGTAGCTGGGACCACAGGCATGTGCCACCATGCCCTGCTAATGTTTTTATTTTTTGGTGAGATGGGGTCAAGCAATCTGCCTGCCTCGGCCTCCCAAAGTGCTGAGATTACAGGCGTGAGCCACCATGCCTGGCCTTACATTGATTTATTGTTATTTTTTCTTTTCTGTTCTTCTTTTTTTTCCTGAGATGAAGCCTCGCTCTGTTGCCCAGGCTGGAGTGCAATGGCATAATCTCGGCTCACTGCAGCCTCCACCTCCCAGGTTCAAGCGATCCTCGTTCCTCAGCCTCCCGAGTAGCTGGGACTACAGGTGTGTGCCACGGTGTCTGGCTAATTTTTGTATTTTTTTTGTAGAGATGGGGTTTCACCATGTTGTCCAGGATGGTCTCAAACTCGTGACTTCAGGTGATCTGCCTGCCTTGGCCTCCCAGAGTGCTGAGATTACAGGCGTGAACCACCGCACCCAGCCCTATTTTTTCTTTTCACTTCCTCTCTCCAGCATACATCAGTTTTTATTAACGGATTGAGTTGCACCTGTATAGAATGACATTTTTTTTTTGAGACGGAGTCTTGCTCTGTCACCTAGGCTGGAGCGCAGTGGCACGATCTCGGCTCACTACAAGCTCCACCTCCCGGGTTCACGCCATTCTCCTGCCTCAGCCTCCTGAGTAGCTGGGACCACAGGCGCCCACCACCACACCTGCTAATTTTTTGTATTTTTAGTAGAGACGGGGTTTCACCATGTTAGCCAGGATGGTCTTGATTTCCTGACCTCGTGATCCATCTGCCTCTGCCTCCCAAAGTGCTAGGATTAGAGGCGTGAGCCACCGAGCCCGGCCAGGAGGACATTTTGTCTTTAGTCTTAAAGGAAAAGGGAAAGTCTTTTCCATTTGCACCAGTTTGAAATTAGGGCTCCCTTAACATGGATTACTGCAGGACTCATTCACATGAGAGTTCATACATGGGGTGAAAAGACAAACAGGGTTTCCTGATAACTCTTTTTGGTTATTGCATGAAATGAGGGATAAATACACGCATAATCTGTTTAACAAAACTCCTAGGTTCATCAGAATGCAAAGTAGAAAGTGTCTTAAAAGAGACTGTGATCAGCAGGCAGACGGCCTGTGTCGGTTTGGTTCCTTTGACTGCTTCAGATCTTCTAGGAGGAGCTCCTCTACTACGAGAGCCTGGACTTCAGCCTCACGGACAAGAACCTCAGATAGGCAAGGCTTTGTGATGGGTGCTCCTCCTACCTTCATTCGAATGAGGTTTTCCTCCCGCCTTCACCCTGATAGGGTGCTCCTCCCGCCTTCACTGGTGTCATTTTATTTTGAGTTTAAAAGGATGAACTGGTCTTGGTCAGCCTTAGGAAGGGAAGCATCACTCAGGTGAAAATACGTGGCGAACTTTAAATACCTAGATATTCTCCTCATGCATTTAAATTAGAGTGACTTGAGCTGTTAGAAAAGTTGACTGGGTGCGGTGGCTCAGGCTAGTAATCCTAACACTGGAAGGCTGAGGTGGGTGGATTGCTTGAGCCCAGGAGGTCGAGGCTGCAGTGAGTTGTGATCGCACCTTTGTATTCCAGCCTGGGTGACAGAGTGAGACCCTGTCTCTAAGGGGTTTTGCATGGTTATCCAGAGCAGTCTCTTGAATTTTGGTTGTCTTTGACGCAGCTGCATCTGGAGATCCTCTATGTGAGGCATGTTTAGAGAAAGAGAAACATTGACCCCTGGAATTGATATTCTTCCAAGAAATCTTTTAGTCTTGTTGGTAAAGGCAGTCCTCAGATGGTACCGGTCCCTTTGTTAGTGGTGAGCCTACAGAGATGGTGCCTGGTGTGCAGAGCGATGTGGTTGGATGGAGGTGAACAGAGCAGTCTAGGGCCCCTGGGCCGCCTGCTGGTCCTAGCCCATCACAGCACAGTCATTCAGCAGACATGCTGCACCAGCTGATTGTTTGAGCTTGGGCTTGGTGCACATGATGGAGTTTGTCTGGATCTCCTGTCTTGGTATTCCATAGGAAGATGAGTTGGTCCAGCCCATGTCCTAATAGATGTTGTTAGCAGGAAGTCTGAACTTGAACTATCTCACATGAAGAAAGTTCCTTCTGCTGCCTCTTTTTATTTCTCTTTGGCTTCATGAACAGTCATGCACCCCCAGTGCCATCCTTTTGAGCTCCCCAAGGCCTCTGCCAGACACATCACCTCCAGGGGTGACTCCTTGACCCACCGTGCCATCACCACTGGCTCTGCACCCCTTCTGAGCCATTCCTGGAGCTTGAGGCACTGTGAGGTCAGGGGAAAAGGGTCAGCGTGGCAAGGAGAGATGGTCACCCAAGCTGGGGTCATAGAGCAGCTTATGGATTTCCTGGAAGTCAGTGGGAACTCATTTGGGAACCCCCAAAATGAGTCCCTGTGGGGTGTCTGAAATGGTGGCAGAAGGGGCAGGAATGGGGTCCGGCAGTTCTCTTCCCTCAGGTCCTGGCGGATGGATAGCAAAGTCCTGTGTAGACAAGGTCACCCACAGGTGGTATATGCCGGCTGCTAAGGGCCTTGGGTGGCGGGCCTTGGCCCCCGCAGTCCAGAGAGTGTCTGTTTACTATTCCCTGCAGGGTAGGCACCTTGGGCCCCAGAATTCGGAAGGCACTTTTTTCCTACCTGGACTCACTTCCTGCAGTGTTGGAGGCCACCTGGCCCTAGTCTATTTTATAGAGACAGGGTCTCACTATGTTGTCCAGGCTGATCTTGAATTCCTGGGCTTAAGCAATCCTCCTGCCTAGGCCTCCCAAAGTGTTGAGATTACAGGTGTGAGCCACCTCGCCCAGCCCCAGCCTTAGTCTGTAGTCTAATGCTGGAGGGTAGTATGTTGACTCTGGAATAAAGATGTCACTATTCTGGAACTTTTTCTGGGGTCACTGTCGGGAGGCGTTGTCTCCCTTGAGCACTTGCTGCAGCCCCAGGCTGTTGACCTGCACAGCCGTCCTCAGAGGGTGGGGAAGCTGTTCTGTCTTGGGGGCGTTGAGTCCACTAGGTAGGCCCTGTGAGGATCCCAGCTGTCACCTAGTGGGTACCTGCAGAGGTTTTGTTTTGTTCTTTTAATTGAGGCGGGGTCTTGCTCTGTTGCCCAGGCAGGAGTGAAGTGGCGCAATCCTAGGTCACTGCATCCTTGAACTCCTGGGCCCAAGTGGTCCTCAGCCTCCCAAAGTGCTAGGGTTACGGATTAGAGCCACCGGCCGCGGCCCCCTTTGGCTTGTGTTTTTAAGTCTTTTTTTCCTCCATGTTTCTGGCTGTTAATTTTTTATAAAAGTTTGTATCTGGCATGGATTGAAGCAGGAGACACTGGCTCAGTGCCCAGTGGGGAGAGCCCTGTGTGGGTACCTCCCGGGCGGTGTGGGTGCATGAGTTGGCTGCTGCGGGTGGCACCGGGAGGCCCTGTGTGGGTGCCTCCCGGGCAGTGTGGGTGCATGAGTTGGCTGCTGCGGGTGGCACTGGGAGGCATGGCAGGGGCCATGAGGCCACAGGTGGCAGCTCCCTGTGCTTGACCTGCATCGGGTCTGGAGTGGCGGGCACTCGGGAAGGAAGCGCCAGGACGACACATTGGAAGGAGGAGCTGCAGGGCAGGTCCAGCCAGTGCCTGGGAGCTCGGGAGGGCACCTGGGTGGACGCAGCCTGCAGGAGCGCCTGCTCTCCTGTATGAGGAACAGACCTGAATGCCGTTTCAGACACTGACTCATTCCTGCCCTCCTGTGACTTTGTTGGTTTTCTGGGTTTTAGTGCAGATTGTAGCTGGCAGCTCACAACAGAGCCCTTCCTGGTGCAGGCTGACAGGCAGGAGGGATTCTCCTCTACAGAAATGGACATTACTATATCTGGAAACAGTTTTTTTTTTTTTCTTCTTTTTGAGATGGAGTCTTGCTGTGTCGCCCAGGCTGGAGTGCAGTGGCGTGATCTACGCTCACTGCAACCTCTGCCCCCTGGGTTCAAGCGATTCTCCTGCCTCAGCCTCCCGAATAGCCGGAATTACAGGTGCACGTCACCACGCCCAACTAATTTTTGTGTTTTTAGTGGAGATGGGGTTTCGTCACGTTGGCCAGGCTGGTCTCGAACTCCTGACTGACCTAAGGTAATCCGCCTGCCTTAGCCTCCCAAAGTGTTGGGATTACAGGCATAAGCCACTGTGCCTGGCCTAGATTTGTTTTAATTGAAAAAGCTGAAGCAAATAAAAATTGTGCTGGGGAAAACTCTGAGTGCTCAGAGCATGGGCTGCGTTTCTCACTGGCCTCACCGCACCTTCCTCTGCACTCAGACTCTCCTAAAGATGCTGGCATTTACTGAACTAAAGGTAGCATTTCGCAGAGCAGGGCCGTGGGCCATGAACCACAGTCATCTGGCCATTTAGACAGCTCTGCCCTGCCCCCGGCGACTTGGGTACCCAACCATGTCATTCCCACCCCTAGCTTTGTGGGGCAACGTTCCTCTAGGCCGGGTTCTCTTCCCTGAAGCACCCCAGGCATGTAGAAGATGTTCTCAGCAGAGGGGAGACACCACAGTGTAGCTGATTTCTGTCTCTCTTCACTTTCACCATATTTACTTACTTTTGGTAGAAGTGGGGTTGAAAATTTATGTGAAGTTTTCTTTACTACTGGGGACAGCGGGGCAGATTACTGCCACACATAATCACCTCTGCTCCAGCCTAGGTGCTACCTGCTGGAGGCGATGGTGGCTTTCCTGAGAGCACCTCCTGGGCTCGGGCTGGTGGGGAGCTTGATTTTACCTTTTTATGTGGAAATAACTTCAAATTTACAAAATATTCACAAAAATAAAGAGAGCAGGGACTACCCAGGTGCTCTACATAGAGTTGCCTGTTGCTGGGGCTGCGTCCTCTTTTGCACACCCTGCCCCGTCGGAGAGGATCCCAGATGTGGCCCTTGCCCATGCACGTCAGGCATGTGAAAAGAGCAGGTGTCCCCTGGCGATGGGCAGCAGGCTTTGTGGTGCCCCAGCCTTGGTGCAGGAGTCCCCTGAGGTGAGATTCAGGGCTCTGGCCGGCTGGTCTCATGTGTTTCCTGAGCGATGGATGTGGGCACGGCGTCCTCCACCTCGCACCACCTGGCATGGGGTCTGCGTGTGTGTCATGCCAGGGTTCTGGGCCTGCACCGGGGGCTCCTGCCCTGCCTGTGCACTGTTTGTCGGGGGCTTGTGCCCGTGGGTGAGTGTATCTTTTCATTTTTAGTGATGTCTTTAAAATATTCTTTTTTAGTTTGGAAATCTTTGGAGAGAGCCCCCTGTTCTTTCACTCAACTTTAGAAGTTATACGCACCTGGCCAGCCTCCCCTCTCCCATTCCTTCCATTCCATTGTTTTGAAGCGAGTCCTGGCCATGGAATTCCGTTCGTGCACCCGTCAGTGTGTAAAGGTTCTGAAAAGCAGCCTGAATTTTCTATTGTCTGATGAACCGAAGTTTGTTCATTTCATCGTACTCCTCAAATTTATCACCCTTTCCCCATGTGGCATGTGCATGCTGGGTCTGCTTGAAGAAACTCGTCCCCACTCTGCAGCCGTAAAGCTGCTCCCTGTATTTCCTCTAGGAGTCTTTACAAATTTTTTTTTTTTTTTTAAATGGAGTCTCACTCTGTCACCCAGGCTGGAGTGCAATGGCACAGTCTTGGCTCACTGCAGCCTCCGCCTCCTGGGCTCAAGCGATTCTGCCTCAGCTTCCCGAGTAACTGGCATTACAGGCGCCTGCCACCACACCTGGCTAATTTTTGTATTTTTAGTAGAGATGGGGTTTCGCCGTGTTGGCCAGGCTGGTCTCGAACTCTTGACCTCAAGTGATCGCCCACCTCGGCCTCTCAAAGTGCTGGGATTATAGGCATGAGCCATTAATGGCTCCTGGCCAAAAATTTTTTTAATAAAAATAAAAGGCTGGGTGTGGTGGCTCACGCCTGTAATCCCAGCACTTTGAGAGGCCAAGGGGGGCGGATCACGAGGTCAAGAGATTGAGATCATCCTGGCCAACATGGTGAAACCCCGTCTCTACTAAAAATACAAAAATTAGCTGGTCGTGGTGGTGGGCACCTGTAGTCCCAGCTACTAGGGAGGCTGAGAGGCAGGAGAATCGCTTGAAGCCAGGAGGCAGAGGTTGCAGTGAGCTGAGATCATGCCACTGCACTCCAGCCTAGCGACAGAGCGAGACTCCATCTCAAAAAAACAAAAAATAGAGATGGCGTCTCACTGTGTTGCCTAGGTTGGTCTTGAACTCCTGAGCTCAAATGATCCACTCACATCAGCCTCCGAAAGTGCTGGGATCATAGGGGTGAGCCATGGTGCCCGGCCACCTCGAGGAGTCTTGAGCCCTCCTGGAATTGCTGTTTGGTGTGAGGTTGGGTCAGGCCTGGTGAGTCATCTGGGTTGTGAGCCAGCCTGCTTGGCCTCCTGGTCTCAGGCCAGCTGTGACCTGGACCTTGGGCCACCCAGCAGCTTTGTGCTGAGCCTCAGTCTGCGGTTGGGAGGGCACCCCTTGTCTCCAGAATGGTCCTGGCGTGTGAGGTCCTTGGTGCGTCCGTGTACAGTGGGCGGCACCTTGTCTCCAGAACGGTCCTGGCGTGTGAGGTCCTTGGTGCGTCTGTGTACATGGGCGGCACCTTGTCTCCAGAATGGTCCTGGCGTGTGAGGTCCTTGGTTCGTCTGTGTACAGTGGGCAGTAGCTTTAAAGTTCCTGCTTCACCTTGTCAGACTTCTGGTTAGAGTCCTCCCGACATTAGTGTTCCTTTAGGAAGCTTGGACTCTTTACACCGTTAATTACACTGTTAATTTCACTTAAACATGGAGGTGGCCCAGTTTGCTGCCCATGTAAGACTACTTTTACTTTTTTGAGACAAGGTCTTGCTCTGTCGCCCAGGCTGGAGTTCAGTGGCATGATCTCAGTTCACTGCAGCCTCCACCTCCAGAGTTCAAGTGAGTCTCATGCCTCAGCCTCCTGAGTAGCTGGGATTATAGGCATGTGCCACGACTCCTGGCTCTCTCTAGGACTTCTTTAATGTCATAATAGAAGCTGATGGTTTTCTCCATAAAAGTCTATTAGATTTATTTCTAGGCACTTGTTAATATAGTACTTCTTAAAATTAGCATTTTTGTTTTTAGCTATGTGTTGTAGATGGATACAACATGTTGTAAGATTCTTTTGGATCGTCTTTGTGGACAGTATCTGTGAAGAATGACTCCTGCCTCAGTCTCCCACTTGAACCCAGGAGGTGGAGCTTGCAGTGAGCCGAGATCGCGCCATTGCACTCCAGCCTGGGTGACAGAGCAAGACTGTCTCAAAAAAAAAAAAAAAAAAAGGAGCAGACTGTGCTCCTTGCCATAGGATTTTATCCATGTTCTTTTATTTCTGCCTCTCAAATACTGTTTAATCTTAACGTATTTTTAAATTTTGTGTGATTTTTCTGTTTTTGAGAGGAATTTTTGATATGTTAATACTATAGATCTTAGTATATTTTAAAAACTGATGATGTTTGATACATGCCAAATCATGTGTGGACCATAAATGTAAATAGCAATGCCCACAAACCCACCCATAGCCTAGGAATTGGGAGACTCAGCACCGCCGGCTGAATTCGCCTGTGCGGTGTGTCCCATTCCATCCCTGTTCTGCCGCCCGTGGGGGAATTTTGTCAGCTTCACTGAGACACTTAGTACCCTCCCCTTACCTGTGGTTTTGCTTTCCATGGTGTCAGTTGCCCATGGTCAGCCATAGTCTGAAAGTATTAAATGGGAAATTCCAGCAGTAAGCAGTTCATAAGTTTTCAGTTGTGCACCATTCTGAGCAGCGTGATCACAGTCTCCCTGTCGTGTCCTGCCTGCCGGGAGCGTGAATCTAACCTTTGTCCAGTGCACCCACGCCGTGCAGCTGCCTGCACCTTAACCCGCTTAGTAGCAGGTACCAACATCCAGGCTGGCGCTCGGTCCTGTTCCAAGTTTCAGGCAGCCGCTGGAGGTCTTGGAACCATCCCCCTTGGTTAAGGGGGGACTCTTGTCATTCACACACCATGAAATTTACCCATGTGAAGTGTACAGTTGAGTGGATTTTAGTTCACAGAGTTGTGCATTTATCACCACCACCAATTTTAGAAATTTTTATCACCTCCAAAGGAAACCCTGTGCCTCTTAGCCATTACCCCAACTTCCCACCTTCTCATCCTCCCCCAGCCCTGGCAGCCACCCATCTGCATCCTGTCTCCGTGTATTTGCCTGTTGTGGGCATTTCATAGAAATGTGTTTTTTTGTTCTTTTATGAAATGTGTTTTTTTTGTTCTTTCACTGAGCATGTTTCCAAGGTCCATCCATCGTGCCCCCTGGGTCGGTGTGCCATTCCTTTTCACGGCTGCGTAATGTTCATTGTATGGATAGGCCACGTTTAAAAAAATCTGTTCATCTTTTGATGGATGTTTGTTTTTTTCCTACTTTGGAGCTATTATGAACAATGCTGCTCTGAACATTTGTGTAACAGTTTTTAGGTAGTGTGTTTTTATTTCTCTTGGGTATATTCTAGGAGTGGAGTTGCTGGGTCATGTGGTAATGCTGTTTAGTATTTTGAGGAAGTGCCAGATTGTTTTCCAAGGCAGCTGTACCCCTGTATATTCTCAGGCGCTGTCCTTTTGATGATACCCATTCCATGGTGCAGGGGCAGCGATCGCTCGGGGGTTTTGCTTTGCAGTTCCACAGTGGCTGAAGATGTTGCCTGGCCATTTGCATATTTTCTTTGGAGAAATGTCTGTTCAGATCTTTGCCATGTTTTCATTGGTTAGCTGACTTCTTACTGTTGTCATAAGAGTTCTCTGTTCTGGGTACTAGACTCCCTATTAGATACATGACTTGCAAATACTTTCTCTTCATTCTGTGGGTCATCTTATTGTTTTATTCAGTGTTCTTTGAAGCACAAACATTTACAAGTTGGATGGAGTCCAGTTTATCTGCTTTCTCTTCGGTTGCTTGTGCTTTTGGTGTCACATGTAAGAAGCCTTTGCCTAACCAAGGGTCTTTTAATAGGAGTTTTATTTATTTTTATATGTGCACATATATATATATTTTAAGAGCTGGGGTCTCACTGTGTTGCCCAGGCTGTTCTGAAACTCCTGGGCTCAAGCAATTTTCTCGCCTTGGCATCCCAAAGTGCTGGGATTACAAGTGTGAGTCACCGCGTCTGGCCACTGTTTTCCTATATATGATAATTTCTACCTTTACCTGATAGCAGTCTAGAAGCATGTGGGGCTTGCTTGCTTGCTCGCTCGCTTTCTTTCTTTCTCTTTCTTTCTTTTTTAACCAAATTAATTTTTTAAACTCTTGATATCCATTGCTTGTGCTGTGGGCAAAGGACGTGACCTGCATGGTACGCATTCATTCTTTGATGCTTGTTGAGACTTTATGGCCCAATAGGTTATACATTTTTTATAAATAGTCCATCTGTGCTTGTGAATATGTGTGTTCTTTCTTTCTTTGATGCAATATTCTCTATGAGCTTGTTGGGTCAAATGTATAAGTCATGCTTACATTTTTAATATCCTTAATTTATTTTTGCGTGAATTGGTTTCATTAGGCTTGTAGGTTTAACAGTTCTCATTGTAGCTCCTGGAGGTTTTGCATTTGATATTTTCAAGATGTCCCGTTAGGCAGTGTGTACGCATTTGGAATTTGGTCACTTCCTTCGATCATGGTCCAGTAGCCCTCATAGCCCTCTTCACTCCAGTCATGGTGTTTCTCTGGCCTCAGTTCAGCTGATCGGTCAGCAGTACCCACTTTCTGCTCCTTAATGTACACCTGAACATTTTCCTTATGTCCAGCTTCAGCCTTGCTGTGGTATTTTAAAACTGGAATTACATATATATATATATATATATTTTTTTTGGAGACGAAGTCTCATTCCGTCACCCAGGCTGGAGTGCAGTGGCGCGATCTCGGCTCACTACAACCTCCGCCTCCCGTGTTCAAGCGATTCTCCTGCCTCAAGCCTTCCAAGTAGCTGGGATTACAGGCACCTGTCACCACGCCTGGCTAATTTTTGTATTTTTAGTAGAGACGAGGTTTCACCATCTTGGCTAGGCTGGTCTTGAACTCCTGACCTCATGATCCACCTGCTTCGGCCTCCCAAAGTGCTGGGATTACAGGCGTGAGCCACTGCACCTGGCCTAAAACTGGAATTTTAAATTTTTAACCAGATTGACAACCTCTTCATTAGCAACTTTAGACTGTTGACTTATGTTGGATTACTGATCTATTTTGGATTTGTTTCCATGATCCTTTTTTTCCCTTTTTCTTTATTTTTCCTCTGAGACTGAGTCTTGCTATGTTGCCCAGGCTGGAGTGCAGTGGTGTGATCTCGGCTCACTGTAATGTCTTCCTCCCGGGTTCAAGCAGTTCTCCTGCCTCAGTCTCCTGAATAGCTAGGATTACGGGCGTGTGCCATCATGCCTGGCTAATTTTTTTGTATTTTTAGTAGAGATGGGGTTTCACCATGTTGGCCAGGCTGGTCTTGAACTCCTGACCTCATGATCTGCCTGCCTCGGCTTCCAAAAGTGCTGGGATTACAGGCGGAAGCCACTGCGCCCGGCTCACTTTTTCTTCTGATGTATTGACTCAGATGGTTTTGCTGTTTTGGAGTCGGGGGCATTTTTCCTCCTCTACTCATTTGGAAGGTGCACATTCCATTTAACTCTCTGTATTCAAGTTTTTTCAGTATTTTACTGTGGTCACGTACACATAACATAAAATGTACCATCTTAATCATTGTAAGTGTATAGCTCAGGGGCATGAAGCACTTTGATATTGCTGTTGCTGTGCAGCCATCACCACCATCTATCTTCAGAGCCTTTTTGTCTTCCCAGTCTGAAACTCTGTCCCAGTTAAACAGGAACTCCCCATTCCTCCCTCCCTGGCTGCGGGCGTTCACCGTTCTACTCCCTGTCTCCATGAATTTGACTCCTCTTCAGTCCCTCACATAAGCGCAATCAGGCAGTATTTGTCTTTTTGTGTCTGGCTTATTGCACTGAGCACATTTTCAAGGCTTTTCCATGTCATTGCATGCATTGGAACTTCCTTGCCTTTTAAGGCTGAATAACCCTCTGTATGTGGAGATAAGCTTTTGCTTACCCATTCCTTCCTCCATGGGCTCTTGGGTTGCTTCCATGTTTTAGCCATCGTGAATAATGCTGTGAAGAACATGGGTGATAAGTATCTGAGCCTGTTTTCAGTTCTTTTGGGTGTATACCCGGAAGTGGGATTGCCAGGTCACACGGCATTTCTGTCTTTAAGTGTTTGAGGAGCCACAACACTGTTTTCCACAGCGGCTACACCTTTTTACGTTCTTGCCGGCGGTGCGCAAGGGTTCAGGGTTTCCACATCCTTACCAACATTTTTTTTTTGTTTTTTGTTAGTATTTTTTGATAGCCATTCTAATAGGTGTGAAGGTGACATCATAGTTTGGATTTGCATTTCTGTGTTTATTGAGCATTTGCACTTTTGAAGAATTGTCTATTTGAGTATTTTAACCAGTTTTGAATTGGATTATTTTTTGTCAAGTTTTAGGAGTTTCTGGATATTAATCCCATTTCAGATACGTGATTTGAAAATATTTCCTCCCATTCACTCTGCTGTGTGTCTTTTAATGCACACATTTTAACATTTTTCATGAAGCCCAGTTTATTTTTTCTTTTTGTTTCCTGTGCCTTTGGTGTCTTATTCAAGAAATCATTGCCAAATCCAGTGTCATGAAGCTTTTCCCTTCTGTTTTAAGAGATTTATAGTTTTAGGTCTTATGTCTAGGTCTTCGATTTTGAGTTAATTTTTGTGTGTGAAATGAGGCAAGGTCCAACTTCACATTCTTTTGCATGGCCATATCCACTTGTCCTGGTGCCATCTGCTGAAAAGACTGTCTTTTCCCCTCTGAATGGTCTTGGCACCCTTGTCAACAGTCTCTGCTGGATACGGGAGGGTTCGCTTCAGGGTTCTCTGCTATTCCCATGGTCTATATGTGTGTCCTTTCGTCAGCACCGCACTGTTTTGATGACCGTAGCTTTGTGGTAAGTTCTGAAGTCAGGAAGCGTGACTTTTACAGCTTTTTCAAGGTGATTTGGCTGTTGGGTGTTCCTTGAGTTTCCATATGAATTTTAGGGTGGATTTTCCTATTTCTGCAAAAGACATCATTGGTATTTTGATAGGAATTGCATTGGATCTGTAGATCACTTTCGGTGGTATTGACATCTTAACAATATTGGTCTTCCTATCCATACGTTCCCTAGTGCATTTAGTGGGTCCCATGGTAAAGTATTTATGTGTCAGCATGTAGACTGGGCTTAACAAAAATCCAAGGAATACTTGATGTTGGAACTCTGGTGACCTCCCTCATTTCCGGGGTTCTTTTCCCTGGTGTGGGTTCTTTTTTTTTTTTTTTTGAGACAAAGTCTCGCTCTTGTTCCTCAGGCTGGAGTGCAATGGTGCGATCTTGGCTCATTGCAACGTCCGCTTCCCGGGCTCAAGCGATTCTCCCACCTCAGCCTCCCGAGTAGCTGGGATTGTAGGCACGCACCACCACACCCGGCTAATTTTTGTATTTTTAGTAGCGACGGGGTTTCACCATGTTGGCCAGGCTGGTCACGAACTGCTGACCTCAGGTGATCCGCCCGCCTCGGCCTCCCAAAGTGCTGGGATTATAGGCGTGAGCTACCGCGCCCGGCTCCTAGTGTGGGTTCTGACTTGTCTGCAGTCATCCCTGAGGTGGGCATTGCGGCTGCTGCCCCCAGGCCTCCTTCATCTTGCCCGTATTGCCGGCATCTCAGTCCACCCAGCCCTCAGGGACTGCTTTCTGTGGTTGTCATATGTATGTCTTTGCTTAGTTTTCTTATCTGAGGTCTGTTTCCCCTTAACTCTTCTGT
Organism: Homo sapiens; assembly: GCF_000001405.40. Lineage (NCBI taxonomy): Eukaryota > Metazoa > Chordata > Mammalia > Primates > Hominidae > Homo > Homo sapiens. Next base: position 49,806,518 of record NC_000022.11, on the reverse strand, counting down.
CCGAGTTGAGTGGGGGTGCTCATCGCCTCAGCTGGGAAGCTGCTCTTCCATGCTCTTCCTCACTCTAATTTTGGGGTTTTCAGCCTCTTGCTCACATGAGCTCCCTCAGCCTCCCAAGTAGTTGGGGTCACAGACGCACACCTCTGCATCTGGCTCTTAAGTTTTTAAAGCATTTTCATCAAAGCCTTTTTGCTCACAACTTGTGGGCTGTTGACATTTCCAGAAGCCCTGACTCTGGAGAAGATGGTGGCTTGTTGTGATGAGGTCAGAATTTTTTCTCACATCTCATGGGTCAGAAGAAATAAAAACAAACAGAATCTTTCTTTCTTTCTTTTTTAAGAGATAGGGCTGGCTGGGTGTGGTGGCTCATGTCTGTAATCCCAGTACTTCGGGAGGCTGAGGCCAGGAGTTCGAGACCAGCCTGGCCAACATAGCAAAACCCCATCTTCACTGAAAACATAAAAATTAGCTGGGTGTGGGCCGGGAGCGGTGGCTTATGCCTGTCATCCCAGCACTTGGGACGCCGAGGTGGACAGAAACCTGAGGTCAGGAGTTTTGAGACCAGCCTGGCCAGCACGGTGAAACCTTGTCTCTGCTAAAAATACAAAAATTAGCTGGGTGTGGCAACGGGCGCCTGTAGTCCCAGCTACTAGGGAGGCTGAGGCAGGAGAATCGCTTGAACCCGGGAGGCGGAGGTTGCAGTGAGCTGAAATTGCGTCACTGCACTCCAGCCTGGGCAATAGAGTGAGACTCCATCTCAAAAAAAAAAAAAAAAAAGACTCACTGAACCAGAAGAGTTAAGTGTTGTGCTATTGACTGCACATGGTTTGCCTCAGTCCCAAGTGGTAAAAACAGACTGCTCCCAAAACAGCAGGCCATGAGGTGACCAGGTCCAGCCCAGCCCAGCCTGCAGAGGAGGAGCCCTGTGGGGCTGTGATCAGAGCCCAGCGTCCCAGTGCACCTGCCGATGCCCTCTCCAGCCTCTGGCTTCCTTCCGTTGGCTGTCCTTGGAGGGCTGTGCTTCGTGGGCAGGCGTTTGGTGTCCTGAGCATGCAGACTGCCCTTGGAGTGGTGGGCAGGATTGTTTTAGCCTAAAGGGGTTCCACATCTGCACGGGAGCTCTTGCTGATGGGTCACTCTGGCAAAGTTCCCCCGGCGGGTTCCCTGTGAGAAGGCACCTCACGGTCAGTTCTGGGTCTGGTGAGTGTTCTCCTGCAGGCTCCACGCTTGAGCCAGGTTCTGCCGGAAGAGGCGGCGTTGGGTTCCCTTGGTGGATGAGAGGCGCCGAGGGTCTTGGTGGCTCCATGTGCCCCCAAGGGCAGCACTTTGCATTTCTTGGGAGACTTGAAGATGACTGATGTCATTTTAGTGAGCACGGTAAAACAGCACCTGTTAGCGGCTTATACCTTGAGCTCTGTCTCTCTTCTTGGAGGTGACATGGGGACCAGTGCCCACCTCTCCCATGGCGTCTGAGTGGACAGTGTCTAAGGTTTTGGGCCCGCTGACACAGATGTGGTTGAAGTCAGCTTGTGTGCAGATGGGGTCACATAGAAAGAATGAAAACTGTTGAAGGCTTTGCTCAGCATGTTTTCTTTTTGGATATTCAATCTGATAAATGTTGTAGTGAATGAGAAGTGGATGAAATCTTTTTTTTTTAATTTTATTTTTGAGTCAGAATCTCGCTCTGTCACCCAGGCTGGAGTGCAGTGGTGCGATTTCGGCTCACACCAACCTCCACCTCCCAGGTTTAAGCGATTCTCCTGCCTCAGCCTCCCAAGTAGCCGGGACTACACGCATGTACCTCCACATTCAGCTAATATTTTTGTATTTTTGGTAGAGACGGGGTTTCACCATGTTGGCCAGGCTGGTCTCAAACTCCTGGCCTCAAGGGATCCCCCCACCTCGGCCTCCCAAAGTGCTGGGATTACAGGCAGGAGCCACTGTGCCCAACCTAAAAAGTGGATGAAATCTTCAAATGGTTGGAGATCGTGAATTTTGTTTTAGCAGCACTAGGGATAGTAGAAATACAGGTGTCATGGCTTAGGGAGAAAAAGTATGAACACATGGTTTTGTTAGCAGTAGTACTGTCATTTCTAGTTTATGTGATGAAACATCTTAATGTACTGCTTCAAAGATACACTGAGTGTTTGTGTTTTAGGTTAAATAGGATTGCGAATCAGGTGGCCATTCAGCGGAAGAAGCAGTTTGTGGAGCGAGCCCACAGCTACTGGCTGCTCAAGCGGCTGTCCAGGAACGGGGCCCCCCTGCTGCGGCGGCTGCAGTCCAGCCTGCAGTCTCAGCGAAGCTCACAGCAGGTACGTGGCTCGTGGCCCCCACAGCCTTTCTGCGTCTCTCACCCCCACCCTCCAGGGAGAGGGCACCTGGTTCAGGCTGGTCACGGTGCTGCCCCCTGGGCTCAGGCTCCCCGTTGGGAAGCCTCCGTCTCGTCCAGCCCTGGAGCTGTAGGAGGAGTCGGGTGCACTGGGCTCTGGATCTGCGACTCGGGGGGTGATTCTCATCCATGCCTGTCACTGGGTGTTTCTTCCGTTTTGAGTTGCGCTCCCCCGCCCTGCCCTGCCCGCACACACGCTGATGGGCAGTGGCCAGCTCTGGGGACTGGGGATGCTCAGGGATGTGTTATGCTGTGGCTGCATGAGCGTCCGGGCTGGGGACAGCAGGAGTGGGACCCGGTGAGCACACCCGGGCCATGTGGGTGGGGGTCTGTGTGCTGGGCCTGGAGGGTGGGTTTTGGAAATATGTGAGGAGTGGTTTATTTCGAGGGCCTTGCTCTGAAGGTTGGTTTAGCTGGGACTGTGGTGGGGTGGGGAGGGCTCGAGAGAGCTGAGAGAGTGGGAGGGAAGGAGCAGGACTTTTCCTTTTTAAAAGAACAAACCCAAACTCTTACATTTTGATAGTAGGTTTGAGTTTATAGACTCATCTGATACTGTGAAACAGTTCTGAAAAAATGGGTTTACAGAGTGAAGTAGCTTCTGTGAGATGCACAAAAGTAATTGAAAACACAAGCAGCTCTGCACACGGCCCAGGACCTGCGGCCAGCGCCCTCTGCCCACGCTGCCTAGTGAGGAGCCGCTGGTCTTTTGGAAGAGCTGTCTGCTGCTGGCGTCGCGTGGCCTGAGTGCCTCTTGGAATTTCCTCATGGTGCTTTTCACTGCCATCCTGGGCACGAAGCGAAACCATCCTGCTCTGCTGTGAGGTGGTGACTTGCTCACAGGAAGCTTGAGTCTACAGGGTTCACGGTTGGGTCCCCGTGCGGTGGTGCGGTGGCCGGTGCTGTCTCTGCCTCGCAGACTCTGCCTCTGCAGCGTGAGCCCTGTTCAGTCACCTGCCGTGGCTGCCTTGTGCTCCAGGGAACTACAGAGTCTGGTGCTCTGGTCTGGCAGGTGGTGGTTTGTGGGTCTGATTTGGTGTGGTGGGGTCCAAAGTTTTCTGACGGCCTTGGTGCGTCTTGGCTGTGGAATATTCCAGGTCTCCCGTGCCGTCCACCTGGGTTGCCCCACTGTGTGTCTGTCCATGGAACTTGGGGCTCCCCGGGCAGGTCTGTGAGCCAGCCCCTCTCCAAGTGAGATCCTCACGTGTCCACAGAGTTGAGGCTTCAGTGAATGTCTTTTGGCTGTTGAATGAGTTAACCGCATCTTCCGTTCCATGATGTGACTTGGCTTTCCATCTCTCCTCTGTCCTCACCTCGTAGCCTCCAGGGCTCCTGGAAAGGACAGCACGGTTTGGGGGGCTCTTAAGAGGCCAGAGTCAGGAAGTGGCTGAGCGGCGGGAAGCTCTGGGGGCTGGAGGCATTGGTCTCGGCCCCCGCGATGTTGGGGAAAGGAAGAGAGTGGAGGCATTGGTCTCGGCCCCCGCGATGTTGGGGAAAGGAAGAGAGTGGAGGCATTGGTCTCGGCCCCCGCGATGTTGGGGAAAGGAAGAGAGTGGAGGCATTGGTCTCGGCCCCCGCGATGTTGGGGAAAGGAAGAGAGTGGAGGCATTGGTCTCGGCCCCTGCGATGTTGGGGAATGGAAGAGAGTGGAGGCATTGGTCTCGGCCCCCGCGATGTTGGGGAAAGGAAGAGAGTGGAGGCATTGGTCTCGGCCCCCGCGATGTTGGGGAAAGGAAGAGAGTGGAGGCATTGGTCTCGGCCCCCGCGATGTTGGGGAAAGGAAGAGAGTGGAGGCATTGGTCTCGGCCCCCGCGATGTTGGGGAATGGAAGAGAGTGGAGGCATTGGTCTCGGCCCCCGCGATGTTGGGGAAAGGAAGAGAGTGGAGGCATTGGTCTCGGCCCCCGCGATGTTGGGGAAAGGAAGAGAGTGGAGGCATTGGTCTCGGCCCCCGCGATGTTGGGGAAAGGAAGAGAGTGGAGGCATTGGTCTCCGCCCCTGCGATGTTGGGGAATGGAAGAGAGGCTTTTTTGGGAGGAAGTTGAGGGTTCAGATCTTGGGTCTTATCTCGGGGCTGGACAGAACTCCAGGTAAGTCACAGAGGAGCTGTTGAAGGGCAGATTCCATGGAAAGTGGGCATGGATGTGGCCAAACGGGACGTCCAGCGGTGGGAATCATCATTTCTACTCTCATAAGCTGGGACACGAGGGCCAGAATCCCTGCAGTAGCAGGACACGTGGGCCAGTGGGCAGGGGCCACGGGGACCCAGGCAGCTGGGGGTGGCCTGGGGCGTGGTGGAGCCAGGCAAGGGAAGGGGGAGGGTTGCAAAGAAGAGGTGACCCGCTGGAACCTGCCAGCTGGGCCCCCTCTGCTTCATCGCTGCCTGTTAGGCCTCACGTCCTGTTGTGTGCAGAATACGTTTGTAAGGAGAGAACATCCCCACAGCCCGGCCAGAGCAGCTCTTCTGGCAGAGGGGGCAGCTTCTCGAAGTCACCTGGGAAGGAGCAGAAGGAGCTGCCTGGACTTGAGCCGCAGCAGAGCAGTCGGCGTGGAGAGCCTGGAAACCTGCCTCTGTGTGAACGGGCTATTGGGAGAGACTGTGCTTCTGCCTTCTCCTGGCCAGGGATGGCCACGGCTTGGTGTGGTTTCATGGTTTTGAAGCTTTGGAAGTACCTGATGCATTTGATTCCTCTGTGTCTCTGTGTACCTGCCCCAGCCTGACCCTGTGGTGGGGGCAGGTGGATGAACTGGACGGGGTCTCTTGAGAGGCCAGCAGGCGCCGAGGGTGCTGCAGCGATGGCGGGTCTGTGCTGGCTGCGCATATAGGCCCTGGTTTTTGTTCTGGTGTGTGTGGCCGTTGAAGGCCGCAGGGAGAACGGGGGCGGCAGCTTAGCTTTATAAAGGGTGAGCAGCGATTTGTGTGTATGCTGGTGGCGTCCCACTGTCTCCTGCTCCCGTGGCCCACCCTTCCTGTCCTGGGAGCGCATCCTGCAGCTTTCCCAGTGTCTGTCCTGTGGCATGCTGGGCGCTGCTGCCCACATCGTCCTTGCTGTGCTGCGTGTGTGGCCTCTGCCAGTCCCACGCACCTGCTGGCGGCATTGGGCCCAGTGGCAGGAGCTGGGTGCTGTTGCCAGGAGGCCTGGGGTCGGCCACTCTGTAACACTGTGGGCCCTCACCCCAGGAGCTGGCCTGTCCTCCCAGCAGAGGCGATTTTAACCTGACCGTCGCCTAGCCCTGCCCTGTGTCTCCCCCATGTGTCTGGAATGGACGCGGAGGCGCTCAGCTTCTTCCCGGCAGTGGGGATGCCTGAGTGCTTCTTCACTTCTGTCCTTTCTCGTGGAGCCTCCCACTGTTGATTTTTACATGGGAAATATCGAGCCCTTGAGAGCCGAGTAAGGAACCTTGATCCTTCTGAGTGGATGAGGCTGCATGTGTCATGGGACCTTGGGCCCAGGTGCTGTCAACGGGGCCCCTGCCACTGCCGATGGCGTTTGTTAAACCAGGTTGGGGAGCAGACTAGTAAGTTTGCTTAGCAGCCAGTGCGTGATAAAGGGCTTCCTGGTGATGAGGAGATTTCTTCCGCTTCGTAACAGATTCCCAGGCCAAATGTCCTTTTGGCCGAGGTTTTCAGAAGTGTCGATTGCAAGCTGAGGGACAGGCAATACTCAGATGCTCCGGGGAGCTTGGTTTTTGGAGCCCACATTTTCCTGCCTTTGCTTGAGTTGATGTGGATCTTGTTACTCTTAGCCCCGATTTCCTGCCTGAGGGTGTTCAGCAGCATTGAGGAAAACCCAGAGATCCTCACTTCAGGGGACATCAGCGCAGCAACGCTCTGCCTCGCCATGGAGAGGCCTGGCCTTGGGGGTGGGGGTGCGGGGCTCGGCCTCCCTCCTTGAGCCTCCTTTTCTGAGCAGTTTGGAGTCCGGGGTCCTTGCATCTTGTAGTCCAGCAGTCTTTGCCTTCACACCCTCGGTCCTTTGAAAAGCTATGACAGTACCCTGAGGTGGGCAGGTGGGAACCCGGGGACAGAGGCGTTGGGGGAGAGGAGGGTCTCAGGGCTGTGAAGCATGTGCCAGAAACTGATGGCCACGGCTGTCCTGAGGCTGGCAGGGCGCGCGTGTCCTGCAGCTGTGGAGGATGACAGGTGTTGGGGGCCCACTCAGGCCAACTCCCTCGTTGACTTCCTCTCCCCTTTGAGGTAGGGTCAGGGTGCCCCGGCACTGTGACGAGCAGGCCTCATGCGGCCAGGCCTGGGGGACATGGTGAGGACAGGGCTGAGGGCAGACCCAGGTGGCCTACTCTCCTGCGACCATCTGTGTCATGGCCTTTGCAGGGCTCTGATTTTCTTCTGATCACCCTGGTGTGGATGTTGGCTGGGTTGAGGCTGGCGGCCTGTGCTGTCTGGCGCACTCTTCTGTCCACTGAGAAGGGAGCAGGTGCTATCAATGGAAATGGGACCCTGGCTGTGGGGAAACGTGTGTCGGGATGGAGGCGCTGTGCAGGGCAGGGCAGCAGGTCGGCTGTGTGCCAGGCCCCCGTCATGCTCTGTCCAAGCCAGGATGGGCCCAGCATGTGGTTTTCTGTGCACCTGGTTTCTTTCCAGCCGCTCCCTCCATTCCCAGCTGTCCTGGAGGTGGGTCCTCAAGGGTCCCCCATTCTGTCCTGGCCCCGCCTTTGTGGGCCTTTCTGGTTCTGTGAAGGCCCCCCCCGCCGCCAGCTTGCGGAGGCCTCTGTCCTCTCTGGAGGGTGGAACCTGTGCACCGGGGCCAGCCCCCTGCTCACCTTGGCCTGGCGGTCCCCTCTGTCCCCTCCATCCCCTCTGTCTCCTCTGTCCCCTCTGTCCCGGTGCTGTCCTGGGGCTCTCTAGTGAGGGTGGTCTGTTGTCCTCCCCAGGATGGGCCTGCAGGACCCCTGACGTGGATGCCTCTTGGGGTCTCACCTGCATGGTATCTGAGGCCTTTTGCAGAAGGAGCCTCTGGGTTTGACTGACGGAAGTGTTCACTGTTCTCAGAGAGAAAATGATGAGGAGATGAAGGCTGCCAAAGAGAAGCTGAAGTACTGGCAGCGGCTGCGGCACGACCTGGAGCGCGCTCGCCTGCTGATCGAGCTGCTGCGCAAGCGGGAGAAGCTCAAGCGTGAGCAGGTGGGGCTGGGCCTGTCCCGCGTGGAGTGCACCACTGGCCACGGGGCGTGGGTGGGACGCTGGCAGCTCCTGCAGAGGGTGGGCTGCACCCGGTGGGTCCTGGCCCACAGCAGTGCCTTGCTCAGCCCAGGCTGGGTGCCTGGCTGCCATGGGTTGCAGAGCCCTAAGTGGAGGCTGCGTTGTCCTATGCCTGGACGGAAGCACAGGAGCCTGTGGGGGCTGCTTGTGGCTGTGGGGCGCGTGGTGGGGCTGAGACGCATGTGCGGCTCCCTAAAGCTGAGGCTCTGCTGGGCCCCCCCAGGTGAAGGTGGAGCAGGTCGCCATGGAGCTGCGGCTGACCCCGCTGACGGTGCTGCTGCGCTCAGTGCTGGACCAGCTGCAAGACAAGGACCCCGCCAGGATATTTGCGCAGCCCGTGAGTCTGAAGGAGGTGGGTGTTTGCGGCGCTCGTCTGTCCTGCCGCATGTGTGACTGTGGATTTGTGCTGCCGTTTGACCGGGAAACGTGTGATTGGCTAGAGTACATCCCTTGTGTTCTTAATTCTCGTTTTTATTTAACGTATTTGTTTTTAAATTATAAAAGTGATACATTTCATTGTAAAATACTGAAAGTGCAGTGGGCAAGAGGCCCTGTGCAGACAGTACCCTGGGCTGTGGCAGCATCCGCCCGGCACCCTCCAGCGTGCTTTAGCTGAAGGAGCTGGGGTCGGGAAGGTCCCTGCAGTACTTGGGTCTTATGTCTGTACCGTCTGCGTGTCTGTGTGTGGCTCTCAGATAGGATGGGCTTGTGGGTTATATGGAATAATAAATATAGAGTCAACTAATATCCTGTTTTAGTTTGTAAATGATTCTTTTTCCTCCCTAAAATTAGGTACCAGATTATTTGGATCACATTAAACATCCCATGGACTTTGCCACAATGAGGAAACGGTTAGAAGCTCAAGGGTATAAAAACCTCCATGAGTTTGAGGAGGATTTTGATCTCATTATAGATAACTGCATGAAGTACAATGCCAGGGACACCGTGTTCTATAGAGCCGCGGTGAGGCTGCGCGATCAGGGAGGTGTTGTTCTGAGGCAGGCCCGGCGCGAGGTGGACAGCATCGGCTTGGAAGAGGCCTCGGGGATGCACCTGCCTGAGCGGCCTGCTGCGGCACCGCGGCGGCCTTTCTCCTGGGAAGACGGTAAGAACTGGCGCCGTGTCCGGAGGAGGTGGAAGACGCTCTTTCTAGCAGACTCTGTCCTGCTCTGTGTTGCCAGCTCCCTATCAGCATGGTCCGGGAGCCACTAGCATGCAACCGCATACATCATTTACATTTTCTAGTAGCCTCACTGAAAAATGGAAAAGAAGCAGGTGGAATTTACTTTAATAATATGTCTTATTTTACTCAGTGTATGGAAGAGTTGATTTCAACATGGGATCGGTAAACGTTACTGAGGATATATAAGCTTTTCACCTTCTTTGCCATCTGATGTGTATTTTACGCTCAGCACCTGTCACTTCAGACTGGCTGCGTTTTGGGTGCCCACCAAGAGGACTGTGTGGCTGTGGCTCCCTATGGGGTGGCCGGTCTCGACGATGCAGACCCAGAAAGCAGCTTAGTTGGGGGTTTTCATCCAGAGTGGGCCTCGGCTAACTTCTGAGGGTGGCGTGAAGCCGGAGGATCTCTGGCTTTGCCTCCAGCCCTTTAACTTCGTGGTTTGCGCATGTTGTAGAAAGGGCTCTGGGAGTGTGTCCACGGCCCACCTGGACTCCAGCCTGGGCTTGTGCTTCTTGGTTGCCCAGGCACGTGTTGCAGCCATGTGTAGTCACCTGCACCCTTCTCTAGACTGGTCCTCGGAAACCGGGGCTGTCCCCTGCACCCTGCTTGTTAGTCGCACCTCTGGGATTGTCTGTCGAAGGGTGTGTCCTGCCCACATGGGTTGTCAAAGCACATAGAGCTCCAGCACCTCAGCTCCAGCTCTGAGCCACAAACTGAGCAGAAATCACGGTGTGTTTGGCTTATTTGTCTAAAGGTCCCATATCCCTGATTTCTTGGCCTACCCTTTCTCTTGATGAATCACTGACCCGTGCTAGGTCGCTTCTTCTGGGATGAGGCCTGGCCCTCTTCCTCTCTTCCACGTTCCCGCCATCGCGGGGTCCACGTTCCCGCCATCGTGGGGTCCGCTTCCCGCCATCATGGGATTCAACCAAGCTGGGCCATCGTTGCTTCGCCCTCTGTTCCCCTCATGGCAGCAGTGCTGGGCTCCCTGCTTCCCGTGGGGTCCCGCAGCACTCGGCACCTGTGAGGATTGGAGGATGGGCTGTACTCTTTTAAAGACTGGGGATAGGGCCAGGTTCTGTGGCTCATGCCTGTAATCCCAGCACTTTGGGATACCGAGGCGGGTGGATCACTTGAGGTCGGGAGATTGAGACCGGCCTGGCCAACATGCAGAAACCCCGTTTCTACTGCAAACACAAAAAATTAGCCGGGCATGGTGGCGCATGCCTGTAATCCCAGCTATTTCGGAGGCTGAGGCAGGAGAATCGCTTGAACCTGGGAGGTGGAGGCTGCAGTGAGCGGAGATTGTGCCATTGCACTGAAGCCTGGGTGACAGAGTGAGACCCTATCTCCAAAAAAAAAAAGAAAAAAGAGAGAGGCCGAGGCGGGTGGATCACGAAGTCAGGAGGTCGAGACCATCCTGGCTAATGTGGTGAAACCCTGTCTGTACTAAAAATACAAAAACAAAATTAGCCAGGCATGGTGGCGGGCACCTGTAGTCCTAGCTACTCGGGAGGCTGAGGCAGGAGAATGGCGTGAATCCGGGAGGCGGTGCTCTCAGTGAGCCGAGATTACGCCACTACACTCCAGCCTGGGCGACAGAGCAAGACTGTCTCAAAAAAAAAAAAAAGAAAACACAATGGAAATATATTTTTATTCTTTGTCTCTGATTTTCTGATTTTAAGAGTAACACGTTTTTCTTGGAGAAATTTAGAAAATAAACACAGGCTCCAAACAGTGCTGCTGGCTCTTGGTGAACCCGGGTGGAGCTTTAACCCCTCTCTGAAGCTGCGCTCTCCAGGCTGATCAGACCAGCTATCCTTTTCCGAAACATTCCCTTGGGGACCTGAGAGGAGCCAGGGCTGAGCCGCCTCAGAGTGAGCCCAGGGCTCCATGGGCTCATGCTTGTCCTGGAAGGTCCTTCTCTAGCCTCTGGTGACCGTGGGAAAGCTTCCCCCGCCTCCCACAGCCATCACGCTCTGGCTTGGATGCCTTGCCTGCCATCAGCTCTCAGACGCCCACCTGGTGCCCGCTGCTGGCTGCTCAGGACGTACGCTGGTTGCCTGCCCTTCAAAGCAGGAAGATGCATCACTCTTGGACTCCCTGTCTTCTTAGCAGCCCGGAGCCTCCTTTGCCCCTAGGGCCCTGCTCCTGTGCTCCCCCACATCATGCTCCCAGCACCATGCCACCTCCCTCGAACAGAGCAGGTGTGGAGGCCTCTGAGTGTCAGCGCCTTTCAGATCATGGTCATGCAAGTTGTTAAGTGAATTTCTACACCCGGGTTTTTTTGCTAAGGAGAAAATGAAGGATGAGAAGTCCTGGTTTCTTTCTTTCTCAGTATTTGGGAGTGCACAGGTGAGCCAGTGGCCATGGTGTGCCTTGAGGGTGCACCTGCTGCTCTTCTCAGCACGGCCGACACCTCCCATTGCCTGGAGCCTGAGCCACAGACCTGGAGGCCGTGGGTCTCTGTTTTGAAAGAAACAGACGTTTCGAGGCTTTCTTCTTGGGGTTTCAAAGGATATGTTTTTTTGTATGAACATTTTTGAGTATTATCTATGACATTTGTTCAGAGTGATGTTATGGATACGAGTCTTGAAGGACTGATTTGTTTCTCTCTACTACTTTATTTATTCAGCCAAAGAGACAGATGCTTTCAGTAAAACACCTGTTTCTAGATGAAGAGAGTTCATGTGTTTTTGGGCAGTCTTACTTTTTTTTTTGTCTTCTCTCTCCTTCTTGCTCTGGTTTTATCTTCAGATAGCTCTGAGGAGCAGTTTCTTTTCTTGGCCATCTCTTACTTATTTAAGGTAATTTGTGCTTTATAAATTTTGGTGTTTTTGAAAGCGAAGTTTCTAGGGACTTTGTAGTAAATACGTCTGAAATTCAGAATGATCTGTGAATTTTACAACCCGTTTACTAAAGCCACACAATGATCAGCATCTGAAGACTTCAGCTAAGACACCACTTAGGACGTGCAATGGCCCTAACTTAACACATTTGCCAGTCGTCACCTCTGTTTGCAGAGCCAGCGCAGGTCCAGCTGAGTTGTGCTGGGTTGGTGGAGCGTGCGCCTCTCTCTGGGGTCTGTGTGCTGTGCCCTCACCCAGGCAGCCAGGCTGTCTGCACAGGCAGCCTCAGTGGGTCCTGGTCCAGGAGAGGTTGCGATCTTACCTGGACGCTGCCCCTTCTGTGCTGACAGTGTCATGGGAGTAGAAATTCTCCATCAGGAGCATCCCAGTGTGTTCCTGTAGCAGCAGCTACTCGTGGGTTCAGAGTGCAGGGGAGGGGCCTCTGGTGAGCAGGGCCTGGGCCTCGTTGCTAACAGCCACTCTCAGGGCCTTGGCCGAAGGTGATTTGAAAGACGGGACCGGTGATGTGTTCCCAGAAGGTGCGTGGGACCTGATGACTGACAGCATGTGTCCTTTGGTTCAGTGGACAGGTTGCTGGACCCCGCCAACAGAGCCCACCTGGGCCTGGAGGAGCAGCTGAGAGAGCTGCTGGACATGCTCGACCTCACCTGCGCTATGAAGTCCAGCGGCTCCCGGAGCAAGCGGGCAAAGCTGCTCAAAAAGGAAATTGCCCTTCTCCGAAACAAGCTGAGCCAGCAGCACAGCCAGCCCCTGCCCACGGGGCCAGGCTTGGAAGGCTTCGAAGAGGACGGAGCTGCGCTGGGGCCGGAGGCGGGCGAGGAAGGTAAGCCACGGTGAGGGCTGCCCCGCTTTCTTGCCGTCACGGCTCAGGCTCAGGCACAGGCACAGGCACAGACCCAGACACGGGCAGCAGCGTTGGTGTGCACGGAGGCTCAGGTTAGCGCCAGTTCCGTAAAATTCACAAATCCCGGAACACTTGATTTTCCCACTGGGCTGTTGTTTCCTTTTAAGGAGACGTTATCATTTGTGCTGTCTGTGTTTTCTCACATAATCAGTTGATAAAATTTAAGGCACAGAATAAAATTTTTCTCTTTAACTTGGGCCTGAGAAACTATTTGAAAAGAATGGTTTAGATCTTACACTGTGTTGAAGAGTAAAGGTAGCCTGAATGATGAGAGTGAGAAATGTTTTTGTTGCATTTTGTAAATTGGCGGGGAGCCATTTAATTGTGCGCTAGGCCATCAAATGCAGCATTTTGAAAGGGCTGTTTTAGATTATTGGCACTTAAACACTCCTCCCTGATGTTGTGAAGGGAGGGACGGTACCTGCAGAGGCCTTGTCTGCCCCGAGGGTCCCCGGCCAGCTCCTCTGCAGAGTTGGTAGGTAGCAGCCGTGATCGTTGCCAAAGAATGTCTGGGGAAAGGTCCAGGCAGCAAAGATGTTTTTATGACTAAGAAATAAATGTAGGAGAAGAAATCCGCCTATCTAGAAGGAGAACTAGCAAAACCCAGGGCAAATGCAGGCTTGGCATGGTGAGGAGGGAGTTTACGAGCGATGGTCTGTGTACATCTAGGTTGGCAGGGTGAGGAAGTAGAGCTGGTGTGTCCCATATTTGGTGAAAGAGGAATTTTAAAACTAAATCGGATTTGGAGACGTTGATAGAAAGTCATTGCCACTGTGTTTTGCCGTGTGTCTCTGCAGTTGACCTTGACACGCTCCGGTTACACGAAGCAGACAGTAGGGTCAGACCCTCTTGCCACAACATTGGCAGCTGGTTCTCAGCCTTCTTGCCCTTCCCCTGCACATCCAAGTCAGAACAGCAGACAGTTGAAATAAGACACAGAATTGTTGTACAATTTTCTTTTAAAACAAAGACGTTCATCTCTTATGGACGTCTGTGCTCGGAGTGACGCAGTGTCTTCATGATGCCACACAGGTCAGCGGGTCCCCATGGTCTCAGGGCCCTTTTCATCCCCTGAACTTCTTGTGGCTCCTGTCTGCAGAGCTTCGCCCCTTTTATCCTGTTTTACATTTGGGCAACTTGAATGAGAGCCATTAAGCTTTTCTTTCTCTTAGAAACTTACTCCTGTGCACACAGCTGAGAATTTCTTATGCATCCTTTTGCTCATTTTGTGCCTGTTTGTTGTTCTGTTCTGGGATTCTTCTGTTTAGTTCACCATAGTATAGTACCCAGACTCTAGAATGTCTCTTTTGGGGCTGGCGTCAATTACGTTAGGTCCATAGAATAAAGGCTTTTCTATTTCAAGGTGAGCGCTTGGTTTTCTCTTCTCCCAAAGGCTGTTATTGTTGGCACGTGATCCCTCCTCTGCTTTGGGGGCCTCGTGTTTTTTCTGAGGAACGTTTGCCTACAGGACCCTCTGGCAGCCATACCTGTCCGGGCCCTGGGCCGCCCCATTGTGCCCAGGAGTCCAGGCTGGTGCCTGGTCCCGCAGCCTTTGCTTCCGTGCAGCCCACCGAGGCATCCTCTGGCTGTGTGGGCCTCCCTCTAGGTGGACTGCCCTTCTGTCCTTGTCTTCTGTGCCCTGAGGACTGAGCTGTGAGGAGGTTGCCAGCAGGTCCACTCACCATTCTCAAAATAGCTTCCAGCGCTTCTCTTCGCACACAGTTGTACCATTTTCACTGTAGAGCAGTAAGTTACCTTTTTAGCTTTTTTTTTTTATCAGTGGCTTCCTCCATTGCCATTGGGTCACAGGGCTGAGGACCCCGCACGGTTATTGGGTCACAGGACTGAGGACCTCGCATGGTTGAGGACCTCGCATGGTTGGAGCTGCTTGGCCCTCCGCTGTGGTGAGCGTGGCTCCTCATAACACCCAACGCTTAGCAGGAGCCTTTGGAGACCATTTTTGTTGCTTTGTAGCTCTGGAATCATTTTATTTTTATTTTTTTTCTGGGGCCATTGTAAGGAAAACACAATGTGACTGAGACACAGGTGGCCTCGAATCACCTGTTACACCCAATGTTCACAATGACTCAATTGATGAAAAGGGCGTTTCCTGTGAGCTGATGGGAAGGTGGGTGGAGAAGCAAGTGGCCTGAAAGTCCACTCCGAGGTGAGGCGGGTGGGGTCCTGCCCCTCAGAGAAGTTGGGGGTCTCTGGAGAGGTGGGGCGGGCGGGGTCCTGCCCCTCAGAGAAGATGGGGGTCTGTGGAGAGGCGAGTGCCAGACTGGAATGGGGAAGTCATTAGGGAAGACAGCCACAAGCAAGCTTGTTGGTTGGTATAGAAATGTGACTTACGATACTTATAATAGGATGAAAACCAAGAATCAGACATTTAAAAACCCAGCATGAACGTTCTCATCAGTAAAGCCTCTCCATCATTTTTCTTAAATATAACCACAATATTTTCACACCTGAAAAGAGTAATTCCTCAATGGCAAATACACAGTCTCACTTAAACTGTAATTTAACAGTCTGTGTGTTGTGTTTATATTTTGCTTCCACTTGAAGCAGCTTGAACAAGGCTGTAGCCGTTGAGTGCCAGGCCCCTGAGACTTTAGTGTCTGAAGGAAGGAGATGCCTCCTGGGCTGCACTGTTGGCCCCGGTCTGCCCCTTGTACAGGCCCTCCCGCAGGCTCTGCCGTAGCCGCGACTCAGTCTGCCGAGTGCAGAGGTTCGGGCTGTTGCTGTGAGCTGGCCCTGCCAGGGCTGACTTCCCCGGGGCTGCGTGTCAGCTGGGTGGGGGCCACGCCACAGCTGGGATTCCAGCCTGTCTGATGAGCCTGTGGGACGGATCTGCAGCTGGCAGAGGGCTTGTCTCCACCCTGTGCTGAGGTTGGTGTCTGCTGACATGGTGAGGCAGGTCAGTGCAGTCAGGAGGAGCAGGGTCCGCACCGTGAGCTGGTGAAAGGGGCTTGCATTTCGAGTCCTTGGGATTTCCAGTCACAGTGATGCCCTTGCCAGAGGCTCCGGGGCGTCCCCTTTAGTCCAGGGCAGCTGTGGTCCCTTGAAGTGCACGTGTGGAAGTCCCCCTGCCGTGCACGGGCGCTGAGCACGTGGAGAACTGTGGCCCTCAGGAAAGGAAGGATGCATGTTCCTCGGGGTAGAAGGTGCGGAGTACGCAGCTTTGTCCCTTCAGGATTGCAGAGGACGGAGGCTTGAGGCAGGGTTGTTGGAGGGACAGTGTGGTTGCTGCTCGTGAGCTGAAATGTCTGCCTGTGTTACGCTGTGATTTTCCAAAGCGTCTTGTGGCTTCGATACAGAAACCTTTGATTGACATAGCAGGTGGCCAGGTGGGCAAAATATTGCGGAATTGTTCTTGCAGACTTAACTAGGTTTTAGTTTCTTAGAGTAGCTGGTTTGGATTAGATAACCATTTTGCCATTTGGAATATGTGACAAGTTCCAGGGACTGGAATTCTAGGATCCTGACTGATACATTGACGGGGTCTGAGAGGCTTATGCCCGAGTTGTATCGAGCATGTTCTGAGCTTTTCCCATGTGCAGTTCAGTGACAGCCTGAGATGGCCCAGAGTCAGTGAGCTTTGAGAGGAGTCTTCCTTCTTGTATGTCAACTTCCAGTCACATTTCCACTCGAGGGACGGGTTGGGCTTGCCTGTTGTGTCGTGGAGCCTGGAGGCTCAGGTCCTGTTTTTTTCTGATTTTATGGATGAGGAACTGAGGCACTGAACGGTCCGGGGGCCTCTGTGGTCCCGGCTGGGGGAGGGGCCTGTGTGGTCCCGGCTGGGCAGGTGGCTGAGCACCCAGACGACAGCGACCTCTGTTCCTGACCACGGCCTCCTTTGTGCCTCTGGTCAGTGCTGCAGGAACGCATCCTTTAGCCTGCGTGCTGGCGGCTGGAGCCCGGCCTGCATGTGGAGCTGCCGCAGAGAGGCCAGGGGCGTGTGGGGTGCATGCATGGCTGAGACAGGGCCACAGGGGCCCGCTTTGGGATAGACCAGGGGTTAGGGAAGTCCCTGCAGCGTGGAGATGGTTATGAGTCCCACATGGGGCATCCTAGCTGGGCCGAGAGCTGGAGGTGTGGAGGAGGGGTTGTGGACCATGGTTGGGGAGGGCCTGCTGCAAGGCAGGGACGTCTGCACGTCTCAGGGCTCCTGCCAGACAGGAGTGGTGGTTCTGAGGGTTGCACCAGAAGCAGGAGATGGGGGTTTACGGTGCCCGTTAGATAGCTGTGGAGAAGGTGGGCTGTAGGTGGTTGGGGGAAGGGGGGTCTCCCGGAGGTGCTGGGAGGAGACTCCTTCAGGCTCCATCTCTGCTGGCCGGGTGCTGTTGCACCCATAGAGGCCAAGACTGGGGTTGACCACTGGCCTTGGCCCTGCAGAGGCCATTGGGATTGCAGTGAGCAGTTGAATGTCGTAATCAGGGCGAGAGCTCGGGGCGGGGGGGGGAGGCTAGGAGGTGGAAGAGGAGGCAGGAAGTGAAGTGAGGCCCCAGGCCCTGTGCCCCAGACACCAGCTGCGTCAGGACGCTGCAGGCTCAGTGCTGAATCCCCTCCTGCTGCTGTACAGGCACCAGGGATGCTCATGAGCAGCCTTTCAGCAGCCCTTCTCCGCATTGCCCAGTTCCCTCCGGCCAGTGTTCCCAGGTGTTTCACAAACACCTTTTCCTTAAGCCTGTTGGCGACATTGAACAGGAGGGAGGGAGTTTTGTCACCTCGCATGTGCCCCTGCCTTGGGATCCAGCATTCCCACATGACAGCTGTGCTCCCTGCGGCTGACACGGGAGGCTTTTTGTTGAGGTGAGGCTTCCCCCTTGTATTTGAATTGGCTGTGAGGTGCTCTAAGGCGCCGAGTGTCATTTAAAATCAGAGGCACCTCGCAGCCGAAAGCACTGCTGCCCGGCGTCATGGCCCAGCCTTGGGAGAACTTTCTTCAGCCTCAAAACATTGCTCTGAGTCCTGTTAAGTTGTGTAGTTTTGTATTTTCAAAACAACTTTTTGAATGACAATAGTAACCATACATACTTCAAACGGTTTTAGGAAAGTTTGCAGGTTTAATGAAATGAAAACTGTACCCAGTGATAATATATACTAAGGATTATTTAAAGTGTTTTATGTCACTTTAAATAATCACAAAATCCTTGGTTTTATGTCACACTTCCTGTTGTCAGTACCGGTCCTGCTTGGAAGGAAGCCTCAGTGGCTGGGCTTGGCTTGTTGTGGCGTCGCCTCGCCCTGTTAGCCTCGTGCCAGAGCCTGTCCGGCCCCCTGGACTCGGGACAGTGCACAGAGCCCCACAGACCAGCCCCAGGCCGTCCTCCTGACCTCGGGCTTTTTACCATTTCACACTTCCGGTTTTTATAATGTCAAAAAGACTTTAAAAAGAGGTTAAAGCCGTCTTTTTCCAAAGACTTCTTATTTTTAAAAGTCAGATTTTTTTTTCCTGAAAGCTCCCATCACAATATTTGGGAACGTGGCACGGACTTCTGTGCTGTGGGGAGCGGGGCTTTTTTCCCTGCCTTTCTTGAAAATCATCCACAGCCACTCACCACTCCCTGTTTTTTTTGTTTGTTTGTTTGTTTTTGCATTTTTGACTTAAGACCTTGACCAGAGATCAGATTTAATGTTGCCTTCCTTTTATTTGCTAACTTCGTGGCCCAGTAGAGCTCTGTGGGAATGCCCGTTTAAGGCCCCTTTAGTTATGTGAGATACCTTTTCTTCCTCAAGGTAAGTGAATTATTCATTGCAGAAACTGTCATGAACTCGAGTGACGTGTTTAATATTGGCGCATGTGAAATAATCTTTCACAGTTTTTTTCAGAGAGTAACTGTGTGCCTGGGCACTGCACCCAGGGCCGCAGCCTTTGGCGTTAGGGAAGCACACACAGTGTGGCCCGAGCCCACGGGGCCCACACTGCCGAGCAGACAGTACATGCGATGCCTTGTTTCCTTAACTGAATTAGTATTTTGGTGGACTTCACATTTATAGTAAGTTTTATAATAGATTTTATAATCTTCAGTTTTCAAAAATCACTTTATTTATAATTTTTTCAGGAGATAAATCTCCCCCTAAACTTGAACCATCAGATGCATTACCTCTTCCTTCAAACTCGGAGACTAATTCAGAACCACCAACCCTCAAACCAGTAGAACTCAACCCAGAGCAGAGTAAACTTTTCAAAAGAGTCACATTTGATAATGAATCACATAGCGCTTGCACTCAGAGCGCACTGGTAAGCGGACGCCCTCCAGAGCCCACCCGCGCCAGTAGTGGCGATGTGCCGGCGGCGGCGGCCTCCGCGGTGGCGGAGCCAGCAAGCGATGTAAACAGACGCACTTCTGTTCTCTTCTGCAAATCGAAAAGTGTAAGCCCCCCAAAGTCTGCCAAGAACACTGAAACCCAGCCAACTTCTCCTCAGCTAGGGACCAAAACCTTTTTGTCTGTAGTCCTTCCGAGGTTGGAGACTCTTCTGCAGCCAAGGAAAAGGTCGCGGAGCACATGCGGAGACTCCGAGGTGGAGGAGGAGTCCCCAGGAAAGCGCCTGGACGCAGGTAAATGCCGCGGGCGGCCCTGAGAGGCGCCCTTGCCGACCAGTGCCTGGAGCGTCCTTCAGGATCATTGGTGTGACGGGGGGGGGGGGGTGTCCAGCTTCTGTTTTTGCAGCATTCTCTTAATTTCCAGAGAAGACAACAGTGCAGTGTTTTCTTTGAAAAGCCTTGAGTTGCGGGTCTGAGGCCGGCGCCTTCGTGGGGGGCCTGTTTGCCACGAGAGATTGTGCAACCTTGCTGGGCTGCCCTGGGCCAGGGGTCGATGGTCCTTGGTCCTGTCTTCTGCCACATACTTCCTCTCTGATTTTTTTTTAAGAGAGTCTTGCTTTGTCACCCAGGCTGGAGTGAGTGGCTCACTGCAGCCTCCAACTCCTGGGCTCAGGTGATCCTCCTGCCTCAGCCTCTTGTGTAGCTGGGACTACAGGTGCACACCACCACTCCCAGCTAATTTGAAAATTTTTGGTAGAGATGGGGGTCTCGCTGTGTTGTCCCGGCTGGTCTTGAACTCCTGGCCTCTGACTCCCAAAGTGTTGGGATTAGATGTGTGAGCCGCTGCACCTGGCCCCTTCTGATCTTTAAAAAAGTACTGAGAATGAATTCAGGTGTAGTTTTAATTGGTCATCTTGACTTTGCTGTGCACATCTGGATAAGCTGGTGACTGGCCGCTCCCAGCACTTGTGGGAGCTCGACTCTGCAACCCTCAGTCAGGTCTCCTTGCAGCCCCACAGACCTAGGACCTGGGGTTGAGCCTGGCCCTTCCCTGGACCTCTGAGAGGACCTGCCCCTGTGGTAAATGCAGTACTTTGCAGTTGATTTCAGCAACATTTACTCATTGTTTTATGTGGCCCTCTTAGCCACATATGTGATGAGGTATTAGGACCTGCTGAAATAGCACTGGAAAGCGCTTCTCATCTCTTGCTGCGCTTTTGTAACTGAACTCTGTTGAATTCCTCGGTGAGGGTGTTGCCGTGTGTGTGCTGTGCTGGGAGCACTTTGAGGAGGCCGCTGTGTTCCTGCAGCCTCTGCTCCCCGCCCCTCAGAGGAAGCTGAGGAGTTTGTCCTTTAAAGAGGAGCAGCTGTCATCGGTTTGCTTCTTCGGTACTGGCTGCGCTTCTGGAGGTGCCGGCTCAGGTTGCCAGCGACTCTTTTCTGGAAGCGTGTCTGGAGCATGTTTGTCATTTTGGTTTTTGTCCCGAGTCAAGGCTTGGTTCCCGTCTGTCCTGTCTGCCTGTTATACCTAGATAAGGAGATGCGCATTTTCTCCTGGCTGTGCTGGTGTGCCGTGGTGCCTCGTGCACTTGAGCAGTGAGAGAGGGTGGGGCTGGGTGGGTGTTGCTTATTTCCCAGAGTGGCAGCAAGTGAGTCCTGTGTCATGGAGCCTCACCAGGCCGGGTGCAGATGGAAGGCTGTGGTGGGCAAGACCTGCCCAGGCCACTCCCTCACATCTTGTCCCTGTTCCTTCTGCTGGTCTCTGGCCTGAAGCGTCCGGGGAGGGGAGTGAGACCAGGCACTGTCAAAGGTCTTTGTGCAGAAGGAGGCTCACTTCCTACCCTTGCCAGCAAGCAGGTCATGCGTCTTGTTGCCAAAGTAATTTCTGGTAAATTTCATTTTGATTTGTATGAAAATTTTGCACGTAACTGAATGTGTAGAAATTTTCTACCCATGTCCTTTTACTTTGATGGATTGATGTTAAATTGGCATTTTAAAATAATTTGAAAAAGCTTTTTTGCTTTCTAAGTAATAGGAAGCTATTGAAATGTTTCACAAGATACCAATAAGAATAGATGTCCTTGACTCAGGACTGGGGGATGTGTCTTAACCACGTTGGTCTTTCTTAGCCACCTTTGGTGAAAGACTCTGACCTGGTTTTCCAAGCACCCCGGAAATTCTGTGATGAATCGGGTCAGGGTGCTGTGCACTGGGTACTAGAGGTTGGGTCAGTGTAATTGTGGGCGTCCCCTCTGCATGCAGAACTTGGAGTTCGGCTGACGCTCCACTTCCTCGGGGTTTCACGTCTGTCGGCGGCAGAGGTATGGGGCTGCGTGCGTGGAGGCCCTGCCGGCCGTGGGGCTGGGGTTTGAGGCGGCCTCCCGTCGACACTCAGCAGGATGCTCACGTGGTGGTTTCCACCAGGTGGCCCCACCTGACCGGGCCCTGCCCCAGCTGTGGGCTCCCACTGTGGACAGTTTTGCCGGCTGGCGGCCACGTCCTCAGCAACCTCTCAGGCTCGTTCATCAGATGTCCCTTGTAGAAGAGCACGTGTCCCCTCCGGGCCACTGTCTTACATTGGAGTGGAGTGTTTTGCGGGCTTCCCGTGGTGACGGTGGTGTAGAGCAGTCTTACTGCAGACCTTCAGTGAGCGTGGCCCATGGTGGCTTTTGAGAATCATGGTGCCCTCTGATCCTGACTGAAGTGGAGATTTCTGCTCTCTCATTTCCGAGTGACAGTGGATTTCCGTGGAGGTGCGGTGAGTTCCTGAGCTCTCTCCTGAGCAGCCGGGAGCCTCAGCAGCATTAAGACCAGGCCCTCGGGAGTGGGAGGCATTCCACTGCTGTGGCCGAGGCGCCCGGGGAAGGGCTGGGCGTGCTCTGAATGGTGCCAGTCCCGCCATCCGCCCTCGCTTTGGTTTCACCGGAACCTTCTGGTGCTCTGCACATGGGGGATTTCTTGCCCAGAGCTGCAGTTCTTCGCAGTCTTAGGACAGGAATTATCCGGAACCTTCTGATGTTTTCCATACATGCATCTGTGTGCTCTGAACTTTAGGGAGTTATCTGGCATTTTCCAGCACACGCACAATTCTGAGTTAGGCTGAACAGGGTCGCTGGTCCTGAGGCGACGCACTCACTGTGGGCCTCCTGCCCGTGTCGCCCGCGGGCCGGCTGTGCTGTGCGCCAGGCTTCTGTTCCTGCGATGGCCCAGCCCCAGAGTCTGGCCCTGACTCGTGGCTTCCTTCCTCCGTGACTGCACGCTCACCAGCAGTGAACCGTCACCTGAAGCGGCCTTCCACTCGCCGCCGTTGCGGAGACCCCTGCTGCGAGTCTCTGTGTGCACGTGCTGGGGCGTGTGAGAGCGTGGGGGTGTCTTTGTCTACTCGCCGCCGTTGCGGAGACCCCTGCCGCGAGTCTCCCTGTGCACGTGCTGGGGCGTGAGAGCGCGGGGGTGTCTTTGTCCACTCACCGCCGTTGCGGAGACCCCTGCTGCGAGTCTCTGTGTGCATGTGCTGGGGCTTGAGAGTGTGGGGATGTCTTTGTCCACTCGCTGCCGTTGCGGAGACCCCTGTTGCGAGTCTCCATGTGCACGTGCTGGGGCGTGAGAGCGCGGGGGTGTCTTCAGTGTCCTTCGGCTGTTCAGGGAGGAGGCTGAGCTGTCCTGCCCTTTCATTCAGACTAAATGGCTTTTTCACTGTTTTCCAGGTTCTCACTTTAACCACTAATGTGCTGGGTAGTTCACTCTTTGGACCCTAATCATTTTCTCTTACCTCAACTTGGACTGGAGTTCTGCTAAGCGGCCGTTTTGGAATGCACAAAGATCACTGCATCTTGCCTTTCACTTAATTCTTGCGGATCACATTGGAATCATCAGCTCAAACATCCTCTAGACAAAATCACAAACAGCAGCCCTGGAGGAGCTCTCCCCCACCCCAGCCCACCCCCTCTGTAAGTCAGAGCCCGGCAGTGGGAATGGTGCTGGCGCCCGGTGCACGCCTGGAGCTGGCGGGATGTCGTGGCACCTCAGCCTTCCCTCTGGACAGTCACGAAGGACGCAGAGGAGAGCCCGGCACCGACTGGGAGCCTGCTGCAGCTGACGACACAGTGGACAGCATTCTGAGGCTGTCCTGAGCATGTGCGGAGCCGTCCCATAGTGACTGGTGGTTTGGGTGTGACGGCCATGCCCAGGCGCGTTGTGCTGTGTCTGTGCCATGGGGTATGGAGGAACTTGGCTCGGCACTGTCTGAGGATGTGGCATGGACAGTGCGTGCTCACTCACTCGCTAGCATCTTCTGTATTTCTGGGTTTTCTACCTGATTTCCTTCTCCCCTTACTTCCCCTTCCTCTGTTTTTTCCCCACAATGCCCAGTGGATTCTTGAGCAGTGCTGCTGTTTGTCTCTTGCTGGTCACCACGCTGAGTGCCCCTGCGGCCAACTGAGAAGTCCTGCTCGTGGGGTGGGGCATCTGTGCGTGGGATCTTGTGCAGGCGTCTGTCCTGGGCCTTGGGTCTGTCTCTGACCATCCCAGCTGCATTGTCATGGAGCTGGGTCCCAGCAAGAGCAGGTCTCGTGCAGGCGTCTGGCCTGGGCCTTGGTTCTGTCTCTGACCATCCCAGCTGCATTGTCACGGAGCGAGTCCCAGCACGATGGGCCTTGGGTCTGTCTCTGACCGTCCCAGCTGCATTGTCATGGAGCAGGTCCCAGCAAGATGGGCTTTGGGTCTGTCTCTGACTGTCCCCAGCGGCATTGTCACAGAGCAAGTCTTGTGCAGGCATCTGGCCTGGGCCTTGGGTCTGTCTCTGACCATCCCAGCTGCATTGTCGCGGAGCGGGTCCCAGCACGATGGGCCTTGGGTCTGTCTCTGACCGTCCCAGCTGCATTGTCATGGAGCAGGTCCCAGCAAGATGGGCTTTGGGTCTGTCTCTGACTGTCCCCAGCGGCATTGTCACAGAGCAAGTCTTGTGCAGGCATCTGGCCTGGGCCTTGGGTCTGTCTCTGACCATCCCAGCTGCATTGTCGCGGAGTGGGTCCCAGCAAGAGCAGGTCTCGTGCAGGCGTCTGGCCTGGGCCTTGGTTCTGTCTCTGACCATCCCAGCTGCATTGTCACGGAGCGAGTCCCAGCACGATGGGCCTTGGGTCTGTCTCTGACCGTCCCAGCTGCATTGTCATGGAGCAGGTCCCAGCAAGATGGGCCTTGGGTCTGTCTCTGACTGTCCCCAGCGGCATTGTCACAGAGCAAGTCTTGTGCAGGCATCTGGCCTGGGCCTTGGGTCTGTCTCTGACCATCCCAGCTGCATTGTCGCGGAGTGGGTCCCAGCAAGATGGGCCTTGGGTCTGTTTCTGACCATCCCCGGCTGCATTGTCACGGAGCAGGTCCCAGCAAGAGCAGGTCTCGTGCAGGCGTCTGGCCTGGGCCTTGGTTCTGTCTCTGACCATCCCAGCTGCATTGTCACGGAGCGGGTCCCAGCAACATGGGCCTTGGGTCTGTCTCTGACCGTCCCCGGCTGCATTGTCACGGAGCAGGTCCCAGCAAGAGCAGGTCTCGTGCAGGCGTCTGGCCTGGGCCTTGGGTCTGTCTCTGACCGTCCCAGCTGCATTGTCACGGAGCGGGTCCCAGCAACATAGGCCTTGGGTCTGTCTCTGACCGTCCCCGGCTGCATTGTCACGGAGCAAGTCTTGTGCAGGCATCTGGCCTGGGCCTTGGGTCTGTCTCGGACCGTCCCGGCTGCATTGTCACGGAGCAGGTCCCAGCAACATGGGCCTTGGGTCGGTCTCTGACCGTCCCCGGCTGCATTGTCACGGAGCAGGTCCCAGCAAGAGCAGGGTGCTGTTGGAATCTTCTTCCGTGTGTGTTTTTGTTGAGAGGTTGAAAAATGCACCAAAACTGCTCTTCTTTTAACGATGGTAAAAGTGAAACTGAAAACAGGAGATAGTGGGCTCTCCTTTGTCACTGCGTGGGGCCCTCAGGGCTCTGGTCTTCAGGGTGCAGGCTCAGCCCACCTGCTTCATACGGCCAAGCTTCCCATGAGCCGGAGAAGCCGAGGTGGCAGCTTGGGTGCCAGCGGCAGGGGCGGGCAGGGGCGGGCTTGTATCCCGTGTTGTGGGGTTGCGTTCCCATGGCTCCGTGCCCTCAGGTGTCTCGGCAGCCACTGATCAGGGCCTGGTGTTCTTACACCTGTGGCCTGGAGGATTTGTGGTGTCCACATGGGTTGGGGGCTGGGAGCCTGAGACCAGAGGAGACTACGGCCCATCAGTCAGACCTGCAGGCCTCCGCCTCCCCAGGTGGGCCCTGGGGCTTCTCTTCCCTGTGGGGAGGGGCGGTGTCTCAGCCGCTGTGGCCTTCAGTCTCTCAGAAGACCCTTTGGGGACCTCCCGGGACAGTTTCAGGTGTGCTGTGGACGTACCTGGTGACGGGCAGGCTTCCGGGGACTGCGCTTGGCTGGGCTGTGGGACACCTTTGCGCCATCTCCTTTGGGGGCAGAGAGGGACATTTCTGTGTTCAGTCTTTGGCCTCCTAGGAGGTCACTGGGAAGGCCCTTGAGGGTGGGTGGACCCTGGCCGCTGTGGGAATTCCGTGCAGCTCCTGTGTTGATGGGGCAGCGGCTCTTTCCTGGCAGCCGCCGCCTCTTTTAACGTATTTCTCACAGTCACCAGCTTTACTTTCAGCGTTAAAAAAAAACCTCGTGCTGAAAAAGTTGCTGAAAGTTGCCCCTTGCTATTTACATGATTTAGAGGCTTGGGCTCGGCCTCAGTGCCTGCTGTTTGCAAATGCCTCATGGACCGGGCACCCATCTCTGCAGACCTTAGGCCCTGGGTTCCCCACGTTGGGCCCCACCTCAAGGCTGGCCTGGGCTTCAGAATGTTCTGGGCTGAGGTCCTTGCAGGGGTGCTGAGGTGCGGGTCATGGTGGACATCTCCCAGCTGGCTGGAAGAGCCTCCCAGGGCGGGAGTTGGCAGGGCCGAGATTGAGAGATCTCAGAACCATAGCTGTCTTAGATTATTTTCTGGTGGTCCAGGTGGAGGCTGGGAGGGTCCGGGCAGCGCAGGCCACCTTGCAGCTCCCCCGAGGTTCTGGGGACTCCAGGCGGTGGCTGCAGAGCCTCCCGGGATGTGTCTGTGTCCTGGTCTGGCTTCTTGGCTTCCTGGGTGACCCCGCACTGCCGCAGCCCCCAGACCGCCTGTTAGCAAGCCTTGCAGCTGTCCCACCCCCGCCAGGCCTCCTGCTGGGTGGTGTCTCGGTTGGGCTGGGTTTGTCTGTGCTGCCCACGTCTTCCCGGGTGCTGTCACATTTTCATGGGTGACACGCAGAACCTCTGTGTGTTCTTGCGTCATACGCGCACTCACTGAATGCTTAGGAAAATTAAGAGGGGCATTTTATCATTCTCCTCTTTCTGAGAATTAAGGACTTGCCTTGTGTTTTAATCCCCTTCCTGGCCCCACTCCATGCACACGGAGCCGGGGCCGTCGTGGCTGCTGAGTGGTCTGTGCATGGCTTGGCTGTGTTGGTGCTGGCACAGCTGCGGGTGATCTCGTGCTAGGGCCCTCAGGCTGGCACCTCTGGGCAGTCTTGTGAAGGCCGCACTGGTCATCGTCTTCCCCCAAGTGGCCGTTGCTCGGCCAACCAGTAACTACTAAAAGCCTCCCCACCCAGGCCCTGGGCTGCGTCTGTTCAGCCTGGAGCAGGCTCACCCTGCACCTGGGGTCTGGAGTGTGCTGGGGGCCGGGCTGTGGGGTGTGGGTCGCCAGGCTCGTGGCTGCTCTCTGGAGACGGGTCACACGCGTTGGCAGACCCCTCTCCGGGCCTGTGGGCTGAATGCTGGCAGGGGTGCTGGGCTCCGTCCGTCCACTGCTGATGCGAGCTGGGTGGGCTTCCCTTGCCTTCACCCACTCAGGTTGGAGTAGGGATGGAGTCGCTGCTCCTGAGGGGTTCTCGGGGGCCAGGACGGGACTTTTAATTCCCTCTTGAGACATCTTCGGGGCCTGAGTGTGCAGGGTCTGAGCCCACTCTGTGATGAGTATGGGGAGCATGTGGAGCCCCAGGGCAGCTCAGCGTGTGGCTCAAGGCCTTCTCCTGTAGGTTTTTAAATTTATTTGTTCCCTTGCCAGAAATGAGTATGACACCCCCAACTGGCCACAGTTCCTGCCTTAAAATGACCGAGGTTAAAATGAGAAACACAGAGCTTCCCTTGGAGGTCACGGTACATTCCAGTCCAGGAGAGACGGAGCCGGTGTCTGACTTGAGTCTGTGGAGGGCAGCAGTGCACCCGCCCAATCTGTGCATTCCCTTCTGAGCTTGATTTAGCCCCTCTGTTTCAGTCAGTCATGCTCATTGAGAACAGACAGCAAGTGTATGAAGCGGGTGGAGGCTGATTCAGCCCCTGTATTGAAAAGTCGGTCGTGCTCATTGAGAACAGACGGGAAGCGTACGAAGCGGGTGGAAAATCCCGCAGTCCAGCCATTCCCTTCAAAACATGCCTCCCAGCCACTCAGGAGGCTGAGGCAGGAGGATCACTTGAGCCCAGGAGGTCAAGGTTGCAGTGAGCCATGGAGTCCATTGCACTCCATCCTTGGTGACAGAGTGAGACATCGTTTCCAAAAAAATTCTACAGAAATGCTCTATTTACAAATTTACATAATTTCCTTTGGAAATAGATTTAAAAATTTTTTAAGGATGAGGTAGGTAGGCAGGAAAACGGGGTTCTTTTTGGATAAAAAAATTCACATGGCCGGGTGTCATGGCTCATGCCTGTAATCCCAGCACTTTGGGAGGCCGAGGCAGGCGGATCACGAGGTCAGGAGATTGAGACCATCCTGGCTAACACGGTGAAACTCCGTCTCTACTAAAAATACAAAAAATTAGCCAGGCATGGTGGCGGGCGCCTGTAGTCCCAGCTACTCGGGAGGCTGAGGCAGGAGAATGGCGTGAACCCGGGAGGTGGAGCTTGCAGTGAGCCAAGATCGTGCCACTGCACTCCAGCCTGGGCGACAGAGTGAGACTCCGCCTCAAAAAAGAAAAAAAAAATCACACACCCCTTTAGCTCTGACACCCAGAGGGCCCCCAGCAGGAACATCATCCCCCCGTTGTGACTCCCATGGGGGACCTCATCGGGGGGCCTTGGGCAGATGTGTTGTTTCCCGTTGACTGACAAAGTCAGGATTTTTAGGGGGAAAATACTGAGATTTGCCTTATTTTTTAAACATTGAGATGATGGAATTGTGAGTGGTGTTTTGTTTAGCTGTGTACAGTACTTGCAGCTTCATGGTGAGTGAGGCCAGACACACTCAGACACGGCGATGGCCCCGGATTTTGTGTTTTAAAGTGTTTCGTCAGCATTTTTGACTTCATGTTAACACTTGTCTTTTGAACCAAGGTTTTTTCTTTTTAAAACCTGATTTCCTATTCCCTGGAGCTCTGCTCCTGTGAACATGTTTTTGTGTCTTTGGTGGCCCCTTCGGCCTGGTGAAGTTTCCGTTCAAACGCGGCCGGTGCCCACGTGGACAGGCCGCCCCCGTGTTTGCACTCACAGGTTGCACATCTGCCCCCATGGCAGGCTCACGGCATCCTTTCTTTGCCTTCACAGAGCCTGTCTAAAGACCCGGGCTTGTCAAGAGGAGCATCTTCATGGTGCTCAGCAAACTACTACGATCGGAGCCGACTGCAGTTTGTTAAGTTGATTTCATTTAACGAGTAACTTTGGTGTCTGCTTACTGTAAGGACTATGCTCGGGAACTTGGGAGTGAAAAGGAAGATGCTGTCTTACCTGTCTGTGAAACGTGCTTTGTAAGATGTGTTCCAAGTGTAACGTCGTTGAGTCATGCTTCAGTGTGCCCTGGTTGTGCTGAGCTCAGGGCCTGCCCGCCTGTGTTCCAGGTCTCACCAACGGCTTTGGGGGTGCGAGGAGCGAGCAGGAGCCGGGCGGCGGCCTGGGGAGGAAGGCCACACCCCGACGACGCTGTGCCTCCGAGTCCAGCATCTCCTCCAGCAACAGCCCGCTCTGCGACTCGAGGTGGGCACCGCGGCCCTGCGCTTCCCACCACGCAGCTCCCAGCACCGCCCGCCCCGCCTGGCTGTCCTGGAAGCCGGGACATTCCAGCTCCCATCTTAGTGTTCTCTGAAAAATTCTGGCCTGGGATTCATGTGTGCTCTGCCCTTGTGGACAGTTTCCCATGCTGCATATTAATCTGCTTTATAGAATTCAAGCAGAAGTAGGAAAAACACTGCGTGAAATAGGAACACAATTTTAGAATCTGCAATGAAGTTTTACACTTGATCTTTACCTCCCAGAATCTGGCAATGAGCACAGCCCTGCCTGTCTGCCCTGTGAAGGCCACTTTGGCCTCCTGAGTCCCCCCTGCCACAGGTTCACTCCCTCCAGACCTGCGCACCCACAGGCCCGTCTGGCCGCGGGGGTGTCAGGCAGGATGCGTGGCCAGCTTGGTGGCGGACAGCTCACGGGACGAAGCCCGAGTGAGGCTGAAGGCAGGGGCGGGGCGCCTGACTCCCTCTGCTCTTCCTCCCGAAGCTTTAATGCGCCCAAATGTGGGCGGGGCAAACCGGCTCTTGTGCGACGGCACACGCTGGAGGACCGCAGTGAGCTGATCTCCTGCATCGAGAATGGGAACTACGCCAAGGCGGCCAGGATCGCAGCCGGTGAGTCGCCCGGACCTGCCTCCATGGCTCTCCACACCTCCTGGTTAGCGTCTTAGGGCTCGACTGCTGGGGACTGGACTCCGGCTCAGGGAGCATGGTGCCCTGTGTGGAGCCCCACCCTGGCCAACCTCCCGGGGAAGGGTTCATCACACACCGAGGGGCTCTGGGCTGTGGCCCTGCCGGGGTGCCTGCGGAGGTGGCGCCTCCTCCATCCTGCCTTCGTTTCCCTGTGGAACGTCCAGCTCTGTGTGGCTGCTGGTTGCCAGGCACTGTCAAGGCTGTCTGGGGTTGTTTAGGTTCAGTGGTCATTTGCAGCTGCACAGGGGACTGACTGCAGGGTGGGTGCCCTCAACTTCAGGCCCCTGGGGGAGGGGGAGGCCCCAGGGTTTGGGGTCGCACAGCCCTCACTGTGGAAGGCAGCCATGCTGTGAGGGGGCATCAGGACGGAGATCCCCCAGGTGGGAGGGACAGCAGGGAGCTGGTCTGGCGGAGGGGGAGCCAGGACTTTGGTTTCCCATTTGGGGTGTCAGTTGTGTAAATGAGGCAGGAGCATGCTGGGAGCCCCGTCCTTGCGGCAAGGAGGGCTCAGAAGGGACTGTGCTGGGCACCTGGAGTTGGAGCCTTGTAGCCTGGAGGGCAGGAGCTTCCCTGGGTCCGTGGGAGGCTGGTGGCCCCAGGTGGGCTGCAGGGACAGTGGGGATGCAAGGGCCTGGACCCCACAGGGGAGGCAGTGGTGCTGCCGGGGTGGCTGAGAAAGGCCTGGGAGCTGGGCTGTGCTCGGGGGACCCACCCTGTTGCTGCACCTTTTGTGGGGGGGCGGGGCGTGCCCCGTGTCCTGCTGACGCCTGTGTCCTGCTGACGCCCCTCTCCGCAGAAGTCGGCCAGAGCAGCATGTGGATCTCCACTGATGCCGCCGCCTCGGTGCTGGAGCCTCTGAAGGTGGTGTGGGCCAAGTGCAGCGGCTACCCCTCCTACCCGGCACTGGTGAGTACGGCTCTCGTGGCGCCTGCGGGTCCAGAGGAGGCTCACACAGCTGCGGGGCGGGGGTGGTCCGAGGAGGCTCACGGCGGTGGTCCAAGGAGGTTCCACAGCTGGCGGGGGGGCGGGGTTGGTCAGAGGAGGTTCACACAGCTGGAAGGGGCAGGGGTGGTTCGGCGAGGGGGGCGTGGGGGTGGTCTGAGGAGGCTCACACAGCTGGGGTGGGGAGGCGGGGGGGGGTGCCAGTGACAGGTGGGGTTGTTTATGGGTGTGAGCCTCACAATGACCTCAGCGGGTCCTTCTCGTGCAGATCATCGACCCCAAGATGCCCCGTGTGCCTGGCCACCACAACGGCGTCACCATCCCGGCCCCACCCCTGGACGTGCTGAAGATTGGGGAGCACATGCAGACCAAGTCTGATGAGAAGCTGTTCCTCGTTCTCTTTTTTGATAA
This sequence comes from Homo sapiens, assembly GCF_000001405.40. Lineage (NCBI taxonomy): Eukaryota > Metazoa > Chordata > Mammalia > Primates > Hominidae > Homo > Homo sapiens. The sequence goes on along the minus strand of NC_000022.11, from coordinate 49,775,602 downwards.
TAAGAGAAGTTGGTGAGTTGAGAGGCCTTAGACTCCGGGGACCGGCTGGGGTGGTTGGGGGCCGTGGGCTCGGTGACCTGAGTGTCCCTGTGGTGAGCAGCGTCTTTGTCTGCTGGGCCCTGGCACAGCTAAAGTCGGAGGTGAGTGCTCCGCTGTTTGCCTGGTGGAGAAGGGCACTGCCCAGCCCCCTCGCCGGGACTGTGGGACGGGCACTGAGCACCGGGTCTGTCTCTGCCCGATGGCTTCCTCTCCCTCTCGCCTGAGCCCCATTGGTCTGGACTGTCTCTTCCCTACTCCTTACCCATGTGTCCGCTCCAGTGTTGGGGGTCCCTCTGCTGTGCTCCCGGACCCCTGTACTGCAGGACATGGCCCCTGCCCGGGCCTGGCCTCTGGCCCTGTTCTTAGAGCCTTCTGTCCCAGCATCATCCAGCTCTGCTCAGACATCCACCCCATCACAGGAGGCTCCCCCTGTGCCCTGAGCTGCTTTTCCCCAGAGCGTCTGGGACCCTCATGTGCCAGGGTTTAGACCCCAAGATCCCTCTGTGCAGGACACGCTGGCAGCACATGCCTCTGGGAGGAGCTGTGGCCCCGGCTGTGCCCTGCGCACGTGGCCCGGGCAGGTGCTTCCTGGTTCCCCGTGGAGCTGGCTGCACTTGGGACCTGGCGCAGGGGCTCGGGGCCACCTGCCTATGGTGTGCCTGGAGCAGGACTGGCAGCACAGGCATCCCTACCGTCTTTCTCTTCCTTGCCTCGACCTCTGCCTCTTTGGCCACGTGGCCACTGCTTCTTGTCAGGCCTTGAGCGAGGCCCACACCTTGTCCATCCGAGGGCCCCTTTGATGGGGTCTCCCCAACCACCGGCCTCTGCTCCAGGGCCCACCCTGACTCTGGGCTTGGTGTGTGCATGTCTTGTCACTAAGCAGGCACTGGGAAACGTTTTGGAGGTGGAGGAGGAGGTGATGGTTTTTATGCCTTACTTAGCTCCCCGTATCCCCAAGTCGGGGAGGGGAAGGGAGGGGTGCACTCCTGGCCTCGGGCCTGTCCCTGCACGGGGCCCAGCTGTCTTGGTGGTGCTGAGCAGGGCCCCTTTCTATCGGAGGGCAGTGAATTTGTTAGATGATTACATGGAGCCTGCTGAAATACCATGTGCAAGCAATGATTTTCCGCTTGTTTTTCCTTTTAAAAAGGCAGTGGCTTCCTAAGTCCAAAATGGTTCCCCTTGGTATTGACGAAACTATAGACAAGTTAAAGATGATGGAAGGGAGGAATTCCAGCATCCGGAAGGCCGTGCGGATCGCTTTTGACCGCGCCATGAACCACCTGAGCCGCGTCCACGGGGAGCCGACCAGCGACCTCAGTGACATTGACTGACGGCCCGGCCGCCAGCGCGGGTCTTGTCCATAGTGTTGATAAGCTGTACATGTTTGTATATTGTTCAAAACTTAACTTATTCTGATTTTTAGTTATAGCTCTTTAATTCTTTTTCCCCGGGGAGGGGGGAGGTTTTATTTCCAAGTTTTCTAGGAACCCATCTCCGTCTGGGCGCTGTGAGTGGGGTGGGCACGTCCGGGCAGCCCAGTGCGTCTGTCGCACGTCCCCAGGCCGTGCTGCTGGCGTCACTTTCTTTGATATGTAGCTTTTTCTTAAAGACTTTTGAATGTTTAATAATTTTGTAAATCATGCTCTTTACACAGAGTACCACTTATTTAATAAGACGGGATGTAAATTTACAATGACAAATGTGTATTTTAAGAAAGAAAATGACATTATTTTGAATGGTACTTTGTGGAAAGAGGGGAGAATAAAGTTATGCTGTGTACATCACTTGCAGATCACCAAAAACACTCCGCTGCCCGTGACCGCCGGTGGGTGTGTCCCCGCTCCCGTCGTCCCGCCCACCTCAAACCCCGCAGGTGTGCCTCCCAGCGGATTATTTATTGTAGAAAGTGTATTCATTTGCTTTATAATGAAAAATACATTTGCAAAGGTATATTGATATGCATTTTTATACAGGCACATAAAAATTCAACTTGGCTTGGGAGCAGAATGCATTGCATTGTATAAATGACTCTGGCCTGTGTGTACTTTGATTTTATAACTTGTAATCTTTTGTTTACAATGAGGGGCTTTCTGTAACTTGTTTTAATTTAGAACACTTTGGTAGCAATAGAAACTTTGGATACATTTTTGTATGGTACCTGTGATGTATATAGAATTAGTACTTTATTTTTATTTTTAAGAGGTAAAGCATTATGTTGGGGAAAGTAGGGTGGGTTTCCAAATTTGCATTTTTTATATTAAAAATAAAGTCAAGATTTGGACGGTGTGGCCATTTTATTCCTACAGCCCTAGACGGCTAGGTGAGCCCCAAGGACGGGTGGGGTGCTGGCTGCAGGGGGCGGGGACACGCCTTTATCTTGAAAACTGTCATGGGATGGCATTATTTGTTATTTCACCTGATCATATTTTTATTTTAAAACTTCAGTTACATAAAAGTTTTAAATGCTTTTTTTAAGCCTACACCGTTTGTAACATCTCCATAGAAACTTGGAAATCAAGTCTTCCTTAGATAGTTGCTGTCCTGCATCTGGCAGGTGCTTCCTATCTGTCGTGGCTCTCCTTCCCACAGCCAGCCCCGCCCGGCAGGCCCCTCCCCACCACGAGCAGCTGGTGGCCCCCAGGATCACTCACCGCCCACGCAGAAAGGAAGCCCACGCAGAAAGGAAGCGGGTGCAGGAGCCAGGTGGGGACAGGCCGTGGAGCACTCAGGGCTACCACCGAGAAGCCCAGCTAATGGCGGGTGCAGTTTGCACCCCTTCTCTGCCACCCACAGCCTGATCGTGCTGTCGATGAGAGGAATCTGCTCTAAGGGTCTGAGCGGAGGGAGATGCCGAAGCTTTGAGCTTTTTGTTTCTGGCTTAACCTTGGTGGATTTTCACCCTCTGGGCATTACCTCTTGTCCAGGGGAGGGGCTGGGGGAGTGCCTGGAGCTGTAGGGACAGAGGGCTGAGTGGGGGGGACTGCTTGGGCTGACCACATAATATTCTGCTGCGTATTAATTTTTTTTTGAGACAGTCTTTCTCTGTTGCCCAGGCTGGAGTGTAATGGCTTGATAGCTCACTGCCACCTCCGCCTCCTGGGTTCAAGTGATTCTCCTGCTTCAGCTTCCGGAGTAGCTGGGACTGCAGGTGCCCGCCACCATGGCTGGCTAATTTTTGTATTTTTATTAGCAATGGGGTTTTGCTATGTTGCCCAGGCCGGTCCCGAACTCCTGCCCTCAAGTGATACACCTGCCTCGGCCTCCCAAAGTGCTGGGATTAGAGGCTTGAGCCACTGCGCCTGGCCAGCTGCATATTGTTAATTAGACATAAAATGCAAAATAAGATGATATAAACACAAAGGTGTGAAATAAGATGGACACCTGCTGAGCGCGCCTGTCCTGAAGCATCGCCCCTCTGCAAAAGCAGGGGTCAGCATGTGTTCTCCGGTCCTTGCTCTTACAGAGGAGTGAGCTGCCTATGCGTCTTCCAGCCACTTCCTGGGCTGCTCAGAGGCCTCTCACGGGTGTTCTGGGTTGCTGCCACTTGCAGGGGTGCTGAGGCGGGGCTCCTCCCGTGCGGGGCATGTCCAGGCCGCCCTCTCTGAAGGCTTGGCAGGTACAGGTGGGAGTGGGGGTCTCTGGGCTGCTGTGGGGACTGGGCAGGCTCCTGGAAGACCTCCCTGTGTTTGGGCTGAAAGCGCAGCCCGAGGGGAGGTCCCCAGGGAGGCCGCTGTCGGGGGTGGGGGCTTGGAGGAGGGAGGGGCCGAGGAGCCGGCGACACTCCGTGACGGCCCAGGAACGTCCCTAAACAAGGCGCCGCGTTCTCGATGGGGTGGGGTCCGCTTTCTTTTCTCAAAAGCTGCAGTTACTCCATGCTCGGAGGACTGGCGTCCGCGCCCTGTTCCAATGCTGCCCCGGGGCCCTGGCCTTGGGGAATCGGGGCCTTGGACTGGACCCTGGGGGCTTCGCGGAGCCGGGCCTGGCGGGGCGAGCGGAGCAGAGGCTGGGCAGCCCCGGGGAAGCGCTCGCCAAAGCCGGGCGCTGCTCCCAGAGCGCGAGGTGCAGAACCAGAGGCTGGTCCCGCGGCGCTAACGAGAGAAGAGGAAGCGCGCTGTGTAGAGGGCGCCCACCCCGTGGGGCGAACCCCCTTCCTCAACTCCATGGACGGGGCTCATGGGTTCCCAGCGGCTCAGACGCGGATCCTGGCCTCGCCCGCCGTCCAGGTCGTGCGCTCTCCAGGGTTCTGTCTCCCAGGGCGCGCCCTCGCCGCGGTCCTCCTTACTCCAGGGCGGTGCGCTCGGCTTGAGCGTGGGGAGGGTGGGCGTGTTGGTTCGGGGAGTTGGTGCGTCTTGGCTTTTCAGAACCAGGAGGGAGCAAGAGGTTCCCTACCTTTTCCCCCAAAACCAGAGCCTTTGACATCTCCCTGAGCCCACGGGGCTGGTGCCCACCTCATGAGCAGATCCGTTCTGGCCCAAGGCCACCGGGACCGGAGCCGGCTGGGGATGGGGAGGTGTCCACACCACCCGCACCCCACTGACTTCCCCGCAGCCTCCCTACCTTGCTAGGACCCCGGGCCCTCCCAGCCCCCGGAGGAGCGCCTCGGCGTCGGCAGCTGAGACCCAGAGCACTCAGGGCAGGAAGCCGCCAGGGTTTCATGTTTGGGAACCAAGTTCACAGTGTGGCCTCCTGTTCTGACTGACACCACTCCGCCCTGTCTTGGCTGAAAAACCTGTGGCAGTTGGGTTAAAAAGAATGAGGAGGAACTTAGTACGCCGATGTGAAAAGGTCTTCAAAATAGAGTGCAGAGCAATCCAATTTCCCTCGGTTCCAGGCTGTGCCCTAGCGAAGCCCACCCACTGTGGGGGCGCCCACTGAGTCATGCTCACCTCCCTGGGTTGACTGGCTGGTGGGGGGTCTGGAGTCTACACGATGACTGGCTGGTGGGGTTCAGGCAGGGGGTTCAGGCAGGGGGCTCCGTATCCAGCGTGGGATCCTAGCTTCCCGCTCAGGTGTGTCCAGCTGGCCTCGTCCCCTGCACCCACTCCTCCTGGGTGCAGCTGCCCACCCAGCTGTGCAGGGTTGTTGCATGGAGTCCGGCTCGTCCTTCCCTAAAACCAGCACTGTTTGCTTGTGAAATTGGCTCAAAGTTGAGCTGCTCCTTCCTAGCTTGGGGCGTGAGCAGTTTGGGAAAGCCGATCTGTCTTTCCCATTTCTGAGGCTGTGGTGGGCCTTGTATGCAGGAGGACGGGCTGCTCGGAGAGGCTGGGATGATTCCAAAGTGTCCGTCAGTGTGTAATGCTGTGGACATTTTTGGGGGGTCCTCCTGGATAGTGTCGGAGTCCATTTTTCCGGGTCTCAAGCCCCTGCCAAGCTGCCGCCGAGCCCTGGGCTGGCCCCCGGACCACTCCTGTCCCTGGCCGGTTCTGTCACCGGCCGGGGAGTCCCTCTGGTTTGGGGAGGTTATTCCTGCCTGACTTCAGGGGAGGAGGAAACAGTCATGTGTCTGGCAGTGCGGGCAAGAAAGGGAGGGCAGAAACGTGAGGCTTAGGGAGCTGGGGGTTCAGCCAGGTGGGGAGAGCCCCTTAGTCACACGGGGAGAGGACAGGGGCTGCAGGGAGAATGCAGTGAGGAGCTGAGCCCCAGGTCCCCTTCGCTGTGGGTGGGCCCTGCCTTGGGCCACATGGGGGTGGCAGGAACCAGGGGCAGCAGGTAGGGAGTGAAGACCCTCAGTCAGACCCCCAGGAGGTCCAGCCCAAATCTGTGTTGCTCACTCCATCCCCTAGAGACCCACTCGGGCTCCAAATCCTTTGGGCCCAGGCTCTGAGCACCCAGGTTGTGCTTGGACTGCGAGCACAGGGGGTGGGAGGCCCTGCAGCCCCTTCCTACAGATGCGCCCCTCCCCTGAGGCTCTCTCAGGGTGGGGGTCCCCTCGGGTCTCGTCCCTGACCCCCCGGCCTGTCCCCATGCCCGGTCAGTGCTACCTCTGAGCCTCCTCTGTGCGCCATCACCATCTCCATCCCCACAGAGCCTCGGTCCAGCCCTGCGGTCTTGTGGACAGTGACCCCTGGCCTCACAGGCCCTGTCCTCTGGGTGCCCACTGCACTGAAGAAGTTGCTGGGGAGGAGCGAGGGGTGAGGGGCCCCACCTGATGGCCGAGCGCTCACCCCCAGGCTGGGCCGTGGCACTGAGTCCTGTGAGCATCTGGAGGAAGGGAGGTCGGTGGAGTACCACGGTGGCCCTCAGGGGCCTCCTCCCCCCTCCCCCAGTGCTCCCCCTTCTGAGGGATGGCTCTGAGAGGGACTCAGAGTGTCTTCCTGTCTACCTGGAGATGAGAGCCGGTCAGGCGGTGTCTGTGGCCGGAGCTGGAGGCTGTCAGAGTGTCTTCCTGTCCACCTGGAGATGACAGCCGGTCAGGCGGTGTCTGTGGCCAGAGCTGGAGGCTGTCATCCTGTTCCCTCTGCTGGGCTCACTTCAGGGCAGCAAGGCTTGGCTGGGCCGAAGGCCAGGCGCCGGGCAGCACAGCTGTTCCATCTCTGTGAGCTTCGAGGGCCTGTGGATGCCGGGGAGTGGGGGCTGGGAGCAATGTGCAAAGGCTGGAGGATCCCAAAAATGACCCCCACACCACAAGTAGGAGAGAAGGCCTCTGCTAGTTTACAAAAATCACATTGTTCTCATGGAAAGCAGAAGATTACGGCCAAATTCTATGCATATTTCAGTATAATGAGTGTCCAAAGTGAAGTGCCCAGAGGTCCCCCTGCCCCCCCACTCTCGGGACCTAGCCAAAGTCCCCCCTCCAGGGGGCATGGTGGGGTGCGTACTCCACTGTGTGAGTGGGGGCTTCTGGGAGCCCTGGGGCTGGGGCAGCCAGACTCAGCGACGCAGTAAGAAGCCTGGACTCCCTGGAGGGGGCCTGCACGTGAGCTTGGCCCTTGACCAGGCCGGCAACGGCTCTGCGGAGCTAGGACCCCTCCTGCGTGGATATTTCATGACATTAGCATTCACTTACAATGTCTGCTCACTGACTCTTAGTGCAGCTCTACCTCATCTCATTACAGTTTCTCCCGTTGCAAATGAAGCACATCTCTTGTTGATCTCTCGCCCCAGAGTTTTAACATCAGCTCAGCTGTGGGGACTCCCAGTCTGAAGCACCAAGACCCTCTACTTCCTCCCTGCCTCCTCTGACTCCCCACCCCATCCTGTCCTACAGGTGAGGACAGCCAGGTTCTGGGGCTCAGCAACCGGCCTCCCATGGCGCCCCCACGGGCGAGCCAGGTGGGGGGTGGGGAGTAGAGCCCAGGGTGGGTTAGCCAACCCCCACCTTGGAGGATCAATATGTGGCAAATGCACCCACACGTGGCGCCTGCTGGTTTATGGAGTTCACTTGTTATTATCACCTATAATTAAAAGCAAATGAAAAAAGAATTGAGGAGATGGCTAGTTCCAAGATGGCAGCATAGAAGCAAGCTGGCTTCACTCTTTGCCACAGAAAATCCAAAACAAATATTCAGCACCAAGATTATCTCCAGCAACATCCCAGAACTCAAATACGAGGATGAGACAGTCCCCAGGGCCACAGAGAAGTGAATAAACTCTGAGCAAGCAGTAAGAGAACTGGAATTCTATATCTATGATGTCCCTTCCCCCAGTCTACCTGCACCAAGTGTGGGCAAATCTCCCCTGACTCATGGCTTCTGCACTGGAAAAATGAGATCAAGGTGGACTACCAGCTTCCCAGTATCTTGGGCTCCCTGGCAGGAGACTTGTTCTGCTTCAACCCAAGGGAAGCATTCAGAATGCTTAAAGGAGAAATATCCCTGAGGCCAGCCAGAGACAAAGGGAAGAGGTGGGACTAGCATCTCCAGCTCTAAAAACTGCCCTGTAATGCAGCCAAAGGAGGCACCAAGTCAGGCTGTTCAGCTACATGGTAGGAGGCACAGTCCATAGGTTCCCTGGGCATGGACCGCCAGCCAGTCTTCCCACACTGCCGGGCTATCCCCTGTGGGACCTTCCCCATTTGGGACGGGAAGCCCCACTCTGATCCTTTATTGGAGCTGAGGAAAACCTGGACTTATGTTGCCCTCTAGTGCCGAAGAAGGAGGCAGCAACCTAGCAGAAAAAAAATTCAACAGGTACATGGCAAAGAGTCTCTAAGCAAACATACCCAGTAAAAACCAAAACAAGCCAGACAGAGAAGACTGGAATAAATAACTAATCCTTCAATGCAAAGACGCAGATGTGCATTCACAAGAAACAAGCAAACGGGGAACTGTGAACCACTCAAAGGGACAAAGCAAGGAACCAGTGACTAATGAGATGGCCACATGTGAGCCTCTGATCAAGAATCCAAAATAGCAGTTGTAGGGAAACTCAGCGATCTCCAAGATAACCCAGAAAATCAATTCAGAAACTTATCAGAGAATTTTAACAAAGATATTGAAATTAAAAAATCAAACAGAAATATTGGAAGTGAGAAAAACATCTGCTGAACTGGAAAATTGATAGAGGCTCTTAACAGCAGAATGGGTCAAGCAGAGGAAGGAATCAATGAGCTCAAAGACAGGCTATTGGAAAAGACACAGTCAGGGCCGGGCACGGTGGCTCATGCCTGTAATCCCAGCAGTTTGGGAGGCCGAGGTGGGTGGATCACGAGGTCAGGAGTTCAAGACCAGCCTGGCCAACATAATGAAACTCCATCTATATTAAAAATACAAAAATTAGCTGGGTGTGGTGGTGTGTGTCTGTGGTCCTGGCTATTTGGGAGGCTAAGTGGGGAGGAGCACCTGAGCCCAGGAGGTCGAGGCTGCAGGTAGCCACGATTGTACCGCTGCACTCCAGCCTGTGTGACAGAGCAAGTCCCTGTCTCTTTGTATCTATCTATCTATCTACATAGATAGATAGATAAAGAGATACACTTTACATATATAAAGATAGAAAGACTTCAAGTAAACAACCTAACAGTGCACCTCGAAGAAACTGAAAAGCAAGAATGAGCCAAACCCCAAATTAATAGAAGGAAGGAAATAATAAAGATCAGAATAGAACTAAACAAAATAGAGACTAGAAAACAATACAAAGAATCAACAAAACAAAAGGTTAGTTTTTTGAAAAGATAAACAAAATTGACCAATCTTTAATTAGACTAAAAAAAAAAAATGCATGACCTTGTAGAGGTCGGGGCCACCTGCCCACACCTGCCCGAGGAGGCTGTGCCAGCCTCCCACTCTGGCTCCTGGGGGATGCGCGGCACTCTTGCTTTGACGTCCGTTTGGCCACAGGGCTGGTCAGCGGGGCTGGAAGGCACCTGTCCAGCAGCCCGGTTGGTTTGGTTCCCGTGCCCGCTATGGACTCAGGTCCAGCTCTCTCCTGAGGGCCTGGGGTCCCCATGCACCCTGCCCTGGGTGTGCTGCTGTGGGGGTGGCTGCAGGCCCCAGGCCCACTGGGCTCCTCCCCATCCCGCTCCCATCTGACTTGGCTGACCCGGGTGGCCATTTCCTCCCAACCCTGCCTCAGGTGCAGCTGCTACAGGCCCACCTGCAGTGGGGCGGCCTCCCTCCCCACAGGGGCCACCAGCCCGGGCTCAGGTGCAGCTGCTACAGGCCCACCTGCAGTGGGGCGGCCACACTCCCCACAGGAGCCGCCAGCCCTGCCTCAGGTGCAGCTGCTACAGGCCCACCTGCAGTGGGGCGGCCTCCCTCCCCACAGGGGCTGCCAGCCCTGCCTCAGGTGCAGCTGCTACAGGCCCACCTGCAGTGGGGCGGCCTCCCTCCCCACAGGGGCTGCCAGCCCTGCCTCAGGTGCAGCTGCTACAGGCCCACCTGCAGTGGGGCGGCCTCACTCCCCGCAGGGGCTGTAAGGGAAGCCCCTGGGCGGGGCACTGTCCTTTTCTGTTTGCAGATACTGGAGGTTGGAAACGGGCCTGGGGACAGGAGGGTCAGGGCAGGCCAGGGCCAAGGGCTCGGATGATGCAGTCAGGCTGTGAGGCTGAGCCAGGGGCTCGTGGGGAGCTGGCTTCCCGGGCTTCTCCCCACCCTGGCACGAGTAGCTGGAGCCAGAACGAGGTGAGTGGTGGCTGACGGATGCTGCTGGGCCATGATAGCAGGGTCCTGGTAATTCTTGGCCCTGCGTGGGAAACACTGACATGGATAACGTGGAACCTGCACCAGGCCTGTGTCTGGCACCCGCGGTGGGGAGGTGGGGGCTTTGGGGTTCATTGCCAGGGAGGGTGACAGCAGCTGGAGAGTCGTTGTGGCCCCCAGCCCTGCAGCCCCCCAGCTCCTGCCTCTGAGAACCCAGGCATGGCCAGGAGGCAAGGTCAGAGTGGCCGAGGTGGTCCTCTCTGTCTTCCTCCCTCTCCTCCTCCTTCACTCATCCTGCAAGTGTCCTGAGCCCCAGCAGTGCCCCAGTGACTCCCGCCTGGTGGCCTGTCCCCACCTGGGTGGGGGCCTGCCAGGTAGACACAGGTCTGAGGCTGCCAGCTGGAGGCGGCTTCTCCCAGCCCCTCCATTCAGCAGGAAAAGCCAACAGTTGGGTTTGGTGTCAACCCAGGGACTGAATTTCTGGCAGGTAAGCCATTGGTTTCATGAATAAATAAGCATCATAAGAATCGGCATTCATGTCTCTACATATATATATATATATATATATATATATTTTTTTTTTTTTTTTTTTTTTTTTGAGGCGGAGTCTCGCTCCGTCGCCCAGGCTGGAGTGCAGTGGTGTGATCTTGGCTCACTGCAACCTCCGCCTCCCGGGTTCACGCCATTCTCCTGCCTCAGCCTCCCGAGTAGCTGGGACTACAGGCGCCCCCACCACGCCTGGCTAATTTTTTGGTATTTTTAGTAGAGACGGGGTTTCACCGTGTTAGCCAGGATGGTCTCGATCTCCTGACCTCGTGACCCGCCCGCCTCGGCCTCCCAAAGTGCTGGGATTACAGGCGTGAGCCACCGCGCCCGGCCATCTCTGCTTATATTTTTAATCCATGGAGAGCATTTACTCGACAACTACGTTGTAGCGAGGACGTGAGTTTAGTGAGCAAGTGCGGCTTGGCATCTGCACGTCTGCCTTGGCATCTGCACGTCTGCCTGCTCTGGCGGGGCTGTGGTGGGTGACCCGGGAGCTGGGCGGAGCTGGTGAAGGCAGAAGGCAGAGCCCGTCTCCACCCACTGCCTGGGCTGACGGCTCCTCCCAGGGCTCCCTCGGGCACCACCCATGGAGCAGCTCCGGCATCCGGCCTGTGACCCCCGAAGCTCGGCCTTCCTCGAGCTTTCCGTCGGGTTCTGTGGAGCAGCAGGTCCCCTGGGGGTTACAAATGCTTCCACACCCGGTGTGAGCAGTGGCTTCCTGCGCAGAAATCACACCATGGGACCTGTTGGCTGCGGCCTATTACAGCGGCTGTCCTTAGAGGAAGAGTAAATTCATTTTGATTTATAGATAGCAGATGCTTCAACTTTCTTCCCTGCCTCGCGTTCAGGGTTCAGCAGCTCTCTGCTGCCTGTGTGAATATTAATCAGTGCCCCGGACTCTGGGAGCCGGGTTCCTTGGGTGGGGTGCCCAGGCTGGGGGCTGGTGGGGATGCCAGCAGGCCCCGGGGCTGGAGACTGCGGCCGGCTGCCCCCACGTTGCTCACAGCCCTGCACGGAGAGCCCCTTGCATACCTGGGAGATGCCCAGCCCTCAGGCCCAGGGGTGCGCACGGCAGCGCTCACTGAGAAGTGGATCCCGGAAGAGGCCTGCAAGGGTCCTTGGGGTGTTGGGGTCCAGGTGCTTTGACCTTCCTCTGGCAAAGGTGATGCTCAGCCCAGAGAGGAGCAGGCCTGGGGCCCCGGCTGGGGAGAGGGGGCAGCTTGTGGGGTGCGGCAGAAGAAGCCAGGCCCCAGGGCTGCACAGAGAGGCTGGGGCTGAGCCAATGGACCCCACAGACTCTGCCCACTTTAGCAAGGCCCAGGCCCTCCTCGCTGACCAGGTCTGTGTCCTTCCAGCCTTACTGAGATATCATTGGCACGAGAAAATTCACCCATCTAAGGCACACAATTCACTGGTTTTTAGTACATTCTCAGAGCTGTGTAACCATCATCACAGTCAATTTTGGAATCTTTCAATCACCTCCAAAGGACACCCGTTCCCATCAGCAGTCCCTCCTCCTTCCTCTTCCCCCAGCCCCTGGCAACACTGATTGGCTTTGAGTGTGTGGAGCTGCCCGTTCTGGACATTTCCTGTGAGTGGAATCATACCGTACCGGTCCTCTTGTACCTGACTTCCCACACCTGGTGCAATGGTTTACAGCGCGTTGGCTGTATCAGGTGTCAGAGCTTCACGTCTCCCCGTGGCTGAACGACACTGCGTTGCATGGGGCTTCCACAGTTTGCTTGTCCATTCATCAGCGTACGAGCACTTGGGCTGTTTATACTTTGGGGATTGTGAATAGCGCTGCTGTGAAGATTTATGTACAAGTCTGTTTTTTCCCCACACTGTTTAATTTTTTTATTCACCTGTATAGCTTGGCACTTTCACGTTATCACAGATAGAGTGACCTCACTGTTTTTATTTTTTTATTTTTAGAATTAAATTAATTATTATTATTTTTGAGACAGAGTCTTATTCTGTTGCCCAGGCTGGAGTGCAATGGCGCGATCTCAGTTCACTGCAACCTCTGCCTCCTGGGTGCAAGTGATTCCTCTGCCTCAGCCTCCCAAGTAGCTGGGATTACAGGCGCCCACCACCACACCCGGGTAATTATTGCATTTTAATAGGGACGGGGTTTCACTGTGTTGGCCAGGCTGGTCTCGAATCCCTGACATCAAGTGATCCACCTGCCTTGGCCTTCCAAAGTGCTGGGATTACAGGTGTGAGCCACCACGCCCAGCCACCTCACTGTTTTTAAATGTGGCATGGTTTTCCATTGCTTGGACATAACCTAGTCTGTTTAGCCAAGCTCTTTCTGATGGACATTTGGGTTAGTTCCCATCTGAAGTTGTCATAAACAGTGTTACCATAAATAAACTCTATATTCTGGAGGGCAGAATATAAAGTCTACTCCCTGACAAGAAAGAATAAAAACATTTTTAAAAGGCCTAGCTAGTTTTTCTTAACTAGATTGTAAGATAGACTTATTCAACCTGAAGGTGTGGGCTGATGTCACTTCACACTTGAAACCAAGGGGAGCTTCAGGGCCCAGACAAGCTTAGACTACCAGCCATTCAGAATCTACATTTTAAAAGAAAATTGAAGTGATAAAGCTGTGGTTAAACGTGAAATTGAGTTTATAAAATTTGGGCAGTTACTGAGATCTCCTTAAAGATTTGACTGGAAAGTGTAGACAATGTTTGGATCCCTATTTGATCCAATATATGAGATGACTGGGGAAATTTGACCATTGACAAGATATTCGATGACAGGAACGATTGTTTAATAAAAATGTTAGGTTTGCTAGCGATATCATGGTTATCTTTATTTAGAATCCTTTTATTTTAGAGATACATGCTAAAATATGGGAGGGTAACATCATACGCAGTCTGGGGCTGGCTGTTGAATCATTCACCTGGGAGAACAAAATTGTGTGTGGGTGTGTACAAATGTGAGGGGGTGTGGGTACAGATGATTTTTTTTTTTTTTGAGATGGAATTTTGCTCTTGTTGCCCAGGCTGGAGTGCGGTGGCGCAATCTCGGCTCACTGCAACCTCCATCTCCTGGGTTCAAGCAATGCTCCTACCTCAGCCTCCCAAGTAGCTGGGATTACAGGCATGTGCCACCATAACCTAATTTTGTATTTTTAGTAGAGATGGGGTTTCACCATGTTGGCCAGGCTGTTCTTGAACTCCTGACCTCAGGTGATCCGCCTGCCTTGGCCTCCTAAAGTGCTGGGATTATGGGCGTGAGCCACCGCGCCCGGCCCAGGTGATTTTTTTTTAAATTTTAAAGTTTTAAATATATTTAGGGGATACAAGTGCAGGTTTCTTACATGTATACATGACATAGTGCTGAAGTCAGAGCTTTTAGTGTACCCATCACCAGAACAGTGAACACTGTACCCAATAGGTAATATTTCAACCCTCACCTAAACCACATCCTGGGCCCACTGCTCCCACTACTAGCTTCTAAGCAAGCCACCTGGAGGCCCAAGAATCAGCCCCAGGACCCACCAACGCTGCAGCCAGTGTAAGCTGCTCTAGAGCCTAAAAATAAGCACATTCACCCCATCGCTACCAACGGGGCAGCTGCTGTGGTTTGGGTGATGGCGGCAGTGGTGGTGAAGCAACCCACTGGGATCCAAACAGTCTGTGTTCTTGTTGCTGGAAGCTGCGATGGGTTGGGTAGGGGAAGTCCCCAGTCCTGCAGCTGCCCATAGCAGGGCAGTGGGTCTTGTCTTGAGTATGTGTAGGAGAGCCTAGCTTCCCCGTCCTTCCTTGACTGGGCAGCAGCTGCAGCCATGTCAAGTCAAACTTGGCCTGAGGGCAGGGCACAGCTTTGCGTTAAACTCTAAAATTGGTGCCTCGGGCCTGAGACCAGGGAGGGCGGGGCTCCTCCCAGGCAAACAGCATGGGCAGGACGCTGCAGGAAGTGTGGTCTGGTTGGATCTCAGTCTCACGGCAACCTATTGCAGGGCAGTGGGTCTTGTCCTAGACATACATAAGGTAGCCTAGTTTCCCTGTCTTTTCTTGGTTGAGTAACAGCTGCAGTGGTTTCAGCCCAAGCTCAGGCCGAGGTCAGGGTGCAGTTCAGTGCTCAACTCTCCAATTGGTGCCTTGGGCCTGAGACCAGAGTGGGTGGGGTTTCTCCTAGGCAAGCAGCTTGGGTAAGAAGTTGTGTGGAGTGTGGTCTGCTCATGCATCGGTCCCAACAGCAGACCACAGCAAGGTGACAGGGCACCTCCCAGGAGTGTGTGGTAGTGCCCAGTCTCCCCTGTCTCCTTGGAGCAGTGCAGTGGCTACAGCCATGTTGTTAGATCCCTGGTAGTGAGGCTCTCAAAACGGCCTCAGCTGAGGCTGCTCCAGGTTTCAATGCCTGTGAGGTTCTTTGTGGGTTCCCTTTTCTGGAGTGACGTCTCTGTGTAATGTTCAGGCAGCTCCATATGTCGGGCCCGAGGCATGTTTAGGCATGTCCAGGAGACTCCCACCTGGAGGCTGTCAGTTCCTGGCTGGGCAAGCTGCCGTGAGCCCTCTCCTTACTTCCTTCTGGTGCTTCCTGTCTCATCTCTGGTGAATCCTAGCATTCTCTCTGGGATGGTCTGTTCAAAATGTGCACATCTATTTACTATTTTGTTCCTCTCCATGGAAGAGGTACATACTATCTGTGCCTGTCAGCCATCATGATCTCTCCATGGAGGAGGTACATACTATCTGTGCCTGTCAGCCATCATTATCTCTCTGCATATATGTTTTTTTAGATGTATGTTTTTATTTCCCTTGGGCATATGCCTAGGAGTGAATTGCATGGTTATACATTAACTCTCTGTTTAACATTTTTATTTTTTGAGACAGAGTCTCATTTTGTTACCCAGGCTGGGGTGCAGCGATGCAATCTCAGCTCACTGCAACCTCTACCTCCTGGGTTCAAATGATTCTCCTGCCTCAGCCTCCGGAGTAGCTGGGATTACAGGCGTGCACTACCACACCAGGCTAATTTTTGTATTTATAGTAGAGATGGGGTTTCACCATGTTGGCCAGGCTGTTCTCAAACTCTTGACCTCTGGTGATCTGCCAGTCTTGGCCTCCCAAAGTGCTGGGATTACAGGTGTGAGCCACTGTGCCCAGCCCTGTTTAACATTTTAAGGAGCCGCTGGATTGATTTCCAAAGCAATTGCATCATTTTACTTTCCCACCAGCAGTTTACGAGGTTCCAATTTCCCCACATCGCCACCAACACTTGCAATTTTCTATTTTTTCCTGTGTCTTTTGAGATGATCATGTGGTTTGTCCCTTTATTCTATTAATGTATTGCATTAATTGGTTTTTGGATGTTAAGCCAAGCTTGCATTCCTGGGATAAATTCTTTTTTGGTTTTAGGATATAATCCTTTTTATACATTGCTGAATTCTGTATTTTGTTAAGGATATTTGTATCTGTATTCAGAAGGGATATTCTTTCTTGTGATATCTTTGGTTTTGGTTTCAGGGTAATACTGGCCTCAGAATTAGTTGGGAAGCATGTTACTCCAGTTTGCACTGCCATAAAGAATTACTTGAGGCTGGGTAATTTATAATGAAGAGAGGTTTGTTTGGTTTATGGTTCTGCAGGCTATACAGGAAGCATAATGCTGGTATCTGCTTCTGGTGAAGGCCTCAGGAATAATGAGTGAATTCTCCTCACTCATTTCTGCAAGCCATTCTTGAGGCATCCAGCCCTGTGACCCAAATGCCTCCCACTAGGCCTACCTCCAGCATTGGAGATCTCATTTCAACATGAGATTTGGAGGGGACAAGACATCCAAACCATATCTAGAAGTCTTACCTTCTCTTCCGTTATGTTGAAAAAATGTTTGAAGGATTAGCGTTTCTTATTTAAATGCTTGGTAAAGCCCTTCCCTGCCCTGCGCTGCTGGGCCCGTAGGTCTCTGTTGAGCCACAGACGTGGGTCTCTGTTCCATAGGATGGGGTTTGTTAAAATTAAGAATAAGGCCTGCTTTAAGAGATACCAAGTGAAATTTAGACGATGAGGCGAGGGTAAAACTGATCACTATGCTCAGAAACATTTGGTGATACAGGATAAAAATAAACACCACATATCCAAATACAGGATGATAGTTTGTGTAACAAACAGAGATATCATTTGTTAGATTGCTTATGCCCGTATAGAGGGGGATATGATAGTCTGTGTAGCATATGCACACGAACTGCCAAAATATAGTGTGAAGGTTGGCCTGACAAATGACACTGCAGTGTATTGTCCTGGCCTGCTGCTGGCCCGCAGGCTTCTCAATAGGTTTGGCCTGGACAAGATCTAAGAAGGCCAAGTGGAGGTGACTGGCGATGAATACAGTGTGGAGAGCATAGATGGTCAGCTGGGTGCCTTTGTCTACTCTTTGGATGCAGAGCTTGCCAGAACTGCCGCTGGCAATAAAGTTTTTGGTGCCCTAAAGGGAGCTGTGGATGGAGGCTGGTCTGTCCCTCACGGTACCAAACAATTCCCTGGTCATGATTCTGAAAGCAAAGAATTTAATGCAGAAGTACACTGGAAGCACATCATAGGCCAGAATGTTGCAGATTACATGCGTTACTTAATGGAGGAAGATGAAGATGCTTACAAGAAACTCTCTCAATACATAAAGAACAGGGTAGGCCAGGCGCAGGGGCTCACATCTGTAATCTCAGCACTTATGGAGGTCGGGGTAGGGCAATCACTTGAGGTCAGGAGTTCACAATCAGCTGGTCAACATGGTAAAACCTCGTCTCTACTAAAAATACAAATATTAGCTGGATGTGGTGGTGGGTGCCTGTGATCCCAGCTACTTGGGAGGCTGAGGCAGGAGAATCACTTGAACCTGGGAGGTAGAGGTTGCAGTGAGCTGAGATCGCGCCACTGCACTCCAGCCTGAATGACAGAGTGAGACTCCACCAAAAAAAAAAAAGCTTAACTCCAGACATGATGGAGGAGATGTATAAGACAGCTCATGCTGTGGCCGGGCTTGGTGGCTCATGCCTGTAATCCCAGCAGCTCGAGAGGCTGAGGCAGGAGAATCGCTTGAACCTGGGAGGTGGAGGTTGCAGTGAGCCAAGATTGCGCCACGGCACTCCAGCCTGGGTGACAGAGCGAGACTCCATCTCAAAAAAAAAAAAAAAAAAAAAAGAAAGCTCATGCTGCTATACAAGATAATCCAGTCTATGAAAAGAAGCCTAAGAAACAAGTTAAAAAGAAGAGGTGAAAACGTCCCTTGCTCAGAAGAAAGACTGGGTAGTTCAAAAGAAGGCAAGCTTCCTCAGAGCTCAGGAGCAGGCTGCTGAAAGCTAAACCAAACAATTTCTATGAGGATTTTCCAGATAAAGACAATAAGCTTGTTGACAGCAACTAAAAAAAGAGTGTGGTAGAATTCACAAGTGAAGTCGTCCGTCCTTGTGCTTTTCAGTGTGGAAATTTCAAAAATTACTATTTCAATCTGTTTACTTGTTGAGTAAGTCTTTGTAGTTTCCTTCAGTAATTTGTCCATTTAATCGGTTATGTAATTTGTTGGCATAAAATTGTTCATAGCATTCTCTTATCATCCTTTTTATTTCTGTCGGATCTGTAGTGATATCCCATCTTTCATTTTTGATTTTGATAATTTTTTTTTTTTGAGACAGGGTCTTGCTCTGTCACCCAGGCTGGAGTGCATTGGTGCAGTCATAGCTCACTGTAGCCTTAACCTGCAGCCTGGCCCTGAGAAAAGGCCAGCAGGGCAGGAGGGTCACCCAGACAGGTGGACGGGCTGCTGTGCTGGCCTGGTCAGTCGTGCATCTGAAGGGATTTAAGCTGAGGCCATGACATGGCTGGAGGTGAGTTGTAGAAGAGGCCAGCCCAAAGCACTGGCATCCGCACCAAAGCCCCTGTGGACACTGATGTCTGAAATTGGAACTGACTACAGTGGTCAACAGATGCTCTGGGACCCCTACCATAGCCTGGGGGACACACCAGGGACTGGGGCTTCAGCAACAGGAAGAGACCTTCAACCACGGGCTTGTGGTTCATGGGGACTCGGACAGAAGCACACAGTCACTGTGGGGTGAAGGTGGAGGGACACAGCAGGGGCTGGAGAGGGCGGGGCTGTCATTGTGTGGGCATCAGGGCAGGCAACTCTGAGGAGGGGGGCACTGTGCAGGGTCCCCATCATTCACCTGCAGGAAGAGGGGCAGAGCTGGCAGGATTCCAGCCACATGCTGGGCGAGCACGCGTGGGAGGACCTGCTCTGCTGCTACCATCTTGATTTTCTTTATTTTTGCTTTTATTTCCTTAGAGACAAGGTTTTGCTGTGTTGCCCAGGCTGGTCTGTAACTCCTGGGCTCGAGAGAATCCTTCTGCCTCAGCCTCCCAAAGTGGTGGGATTACAGGTATGAACCATGGTGCCTGCATGGGGCCCACAGGTCTGGAGCTGTGCTTTGCTGGGGGCCCCTGTGGGGGACGTGGGAGTCAGGACCCTCCAGCTGTAACAGGAAGGGGCCGGGGGCTGGGGTCATGGCTGGACAGCCCAGTGGAGGTGAAAGTCAAAAGCTGTGGGGAGGGGAGTTAGGACAGCCAGGCCGAGACTCAGAATTCTCTGGAAAGAGGGAAGGTCCCGTGAGTGGGTGGTGTCTGGGTTCTGGGCACTGCACTTGGAGGGGGAACAAGGAAGGGGCAGTGAAGTGGCAGAGGGAGGGCCCCCTGTTACTGGACAGGCAAGACCCCAAACTAGGGCTTAGCCTGGGAGGGTTCTTGGCTTCCCCAAGGGGAATTCAAGGGTGAGCTAGTGGCGTTGGACAGCAGTCTTTCATTGAACGGTACTGCTTCTTGAGGACAGGGCTAACTCCTAGGCAGTGCACCCACAGCCAACAGTGTATGGGTGCTTGGCAGCTATACTTATACCCATGAGAACCCACTTTCAATTACATGCAAATTAAGGATGGGCCAATGCAAATTGAGGGGCAAGTCATTTTAGAATTTTCTAGGAAAAGGGCAGTAGCCTCTGGGTCATTGCCATGAAAAGGGGTGGCACCTTATGGGTTGTTGCCATGGAAAGGGGTGGCACCATATGGGGCGTTGCCATGGAAAGGGGTGGCACCATATGGGTCATTGCCATGGAAAGGGATGGCACCGTATGGGGCGTTGCCATGTAAAGGGGTGGCACCGTATGGGGCGTTGCCATGGAAAGGGGTGGCACCGTATGGGGCGTTGCCATGGAAAGGGGTGGCACCTTATGGGTCGTTGCCATGGAAAGGGGTGGCACCTTATGGGGCGTTGCCATGGAAAGGGGTGGCACCTTATGGGGCGTTGCCATGGAAAGGGGTGGCACCTTATGGGGCATTGGTAAACTGTCATGGCACTGGTGGGCATGTCTGATGCCAATGAGCAGTGAGGGCAGCCAGGGATCTGCCTCTCATCGTCTGCTGGTTTCTGCTGGTTTTTTCACTTCATCCTGCCTGGACCAGGTCCTGGTTGGGTCAGTGGGGCTGGGACCAGAAAACTAGTCCTGCCAGTCTCTTACCTCACCTGAATGCCAAGGGGAGAAGCTTCTAGAAGGAGGAGGGTCGGTGGGGGGCAGGAGCTGGGCTGGAAAGGGGCTGCAGCGGGGGTGGGGCAGGTTGGGTGAAGGCGGTCGGGGTTGCTGTGTGGGGGACAGGGCATGGGAGGGGGCTTCCCGCGGAGGGCCTGCTGTGGAGGGAAGCAGGAGGGTCTGCTCTGGGAGCAAATGTGAGGCGGCCCCACTCCCGTGTCCGCTCCAGGGACCCTGTCCTCCCAGGGATGGGGAGGTGAGGCTGCCCTGCGATGTGCAGTGGCAGGGGGCTGGGAGCTCACAGAGGAGATGCTGCCGGGCCTGCTGGGAGCCAGGCTGAACTGCAGACAGGCAGGGATGCCGGCAGTGGGGACGCTGGGCTCTGCCGCAGATGCCTCCCCTCCTGCAAGACCCCTCGCAGGGGTGTGGGCTGCGGAGGCTCCCGGCCCCGCCCACCTGTCCGTGCCCTGAGGAGTGGAGGTGAGGGCTGAGCCCTGGAGAACAGGGTTGTTCTGATGATGAGTGATATTTCCAGTGTCCTCTCCTGCGTCCTGCAAGACAGGCTGTGCCCGGCGACTTCCCAAACAAAACACTAAATGCTTGGCATGAGGTGTTGGAGGAGGTGCTGCTGCCTGGCAGCAGATGCTGGCAGGAAGACACTGGGTCTCCGGGCAGAGGCCCAGGACGTGCCCCCAGGAGTCCTTCCCCTCCTGTCCCATGCGATGCTTCTCCGGGCCTTTGACGAGTACTTCAGAACATCTCATCTCATCCCTGCCACTGGGCACAGCTGGGGCCTGGAGAAAGGCACAAACTTATAAGAGGAAAGAGCTGTGAGGAAGGTGATGTTTCAGTGGCTAAACAGCCACTCTTCTCCCAGGAGCCATGCACTGAACCCACGTACACCAGAGGCCCATGGGCAGGTCTGGTCCAGGGAAGCCAAGGACAGGCCACACACATCCACAGCCTGCGGGAGGGTCCTGGCGAGTGTCCCCTGGGACCAATGGCTCCCTCAGGCCACTCTGTCTTGCCAGGGGAGTCAAGAGGTGCCCAGAGGTCAGATTCTCACCAAGGGAGCGCCAGGCAGGCTCTGAGAGCTGCCAGAGGCCAGAACCCATATCCTAACGCATTAGCCGTCTGGCCCTGCCCCATGTGTCTTCAAGGGGACAAGACTGGAGGGCAGAGTGGAGGAGATTCAGGTGTCCAGGCACCTGCTGCCAGGTGGGAAGTGTGATGAGGCCTCTCCCCACACTCCCTGCTTTGTGGAGGAGGCTGAGCGCAGCGGCCCTGGCCCGAGAGAGCCCTTGGGGTGCACGTGCCCCAGCAGGTGCGTCTGTGCAGGAGGCTGAGCGCAGCGGCCCTGGCCCGAGAGAGCCCTTGGAGTGCACGTGCCCCAGCAGGTGGGAGGCCAGCCCCACCCTGGATCACACCTGCCGTCCCTGGCGGTTCTGAGAAATTGCACTGTGAATGATGAGGTTCAGCTGGACTTTCTCCTGATAGATTCCTGCAAGTTAATTGAAAATAAAATGCACAAGCTTTTCTTTTAATGAGAAAAGGCAGATGTAGCTGGAACTAATCAGTGGGGGGCTGGGGCAAACTCAGAGACTGTGGAAGGAAAATAGAAGTTTGAAGGCATTTGAAAAACACGGCAATTCTCCCCAAACAGTGCCACGGTGATGCATTAATATCCTGAGTTCCGAGTTGTTGCTCCCGAGGCGATGACGACCCGTTACCCGGCACAATTCCCAGTTCCACTGTCGTTATCTCTTAATTAAATCACATTACTGTGGGTTTGCTGTCACAGTTTTACTGATGGTCCCTAGGAAGCTGCTTGGAGAGCCAGGAGCTGCAGCGTTCGGGGGCTGGCCTGGGCCTGAGGTCCACGAACCACGGCCCCTGGGCCCCTTCCAGCTCTGCTCCCCACCCGCACCCATCACTCTGCTCTTGGGGTGGTCCTGGCCCTGGCTACATCCCTCCTTCCTTCCCATGGACGTTCTTAGAAATGGGCTTGGCTGGCCGGGCGCGGTGGCTCACACCTGTCATCCCAGCACTTTGGGAGGCTGAGGCAGGTGGATCACTTGAGGCCAGGAGTTCGAGATTAGCCTGGCCGACATGGTGAAAACCCACCTCTACTAAAGATACAAAAATTAGCTGGGTGTGCTGACGCATGTCTGTAATCCCAGCTACTGGGAGGCTAAGGTACGAGAATCGCTTGAACCAGGGAGATGGAGGTTGCAGTGAGCTGAGATTACGCCACTGTTCTCCAGCCTGGGCCTGGGCGGCAGAGCAAGACTCTGTCTCAAAAAAAAAAAAAAAAAAAAAGAGGAAAGGGCCTGGCCACAGTTCGGCAGCAGCTCTCGATGCTGAGGGTGTCAGTGGCTGGTCCTCAGGCGTCTGGCCGTGACCTTCAGCCGCGTTATTCTCTGCACTCAGCCGAAAGACCCCCCCCGAGGTCTCGTGATTAGAACTCCCTGAGCCCTGGAGACCTGCTGTGGGAACCCGTTGTGTTAGCGTCTGTCCTTGTGTAACAAGGTCACCACAAATCTTGCAGCTCAAAACGACACACATCTGTCATCTCAGTCTCTGTGGCCAGCGGTCTGGCGCCACTTCGTGGGGTCCTCTGCTGGGCCCACAGGCTGCCATCAGGTGGCGGCTGGGCTGGAGGCTGAGCTGGGGCAGAGTTCACCTCCACGCTCACTCAGGGTGCTGGCAACCATCCGTCCTTCCAACTGTAGGACTGACGGCTTCATTTTCTCACTGGCTTTTGTCCAGAGGCTGCACTCTGGTGCTAGAGGCCACCGAAGGTCCCAGGTACGTGGTGTTGCCCAGCACGGCTGCTGTGTTCCCGCAGCAAAGGAGACAGCGGCTCCAGCAAGGCAGGGTCACAATCGTGCGTGGTGTGGTCGTGCACACACACTTAGCCACGGACACTCTATCGCTTTGATCCTATGATGTGGCTTAGGAGCAAGAAACAGGTCCCGGCAACACCCAAGGGGAGGGGACCAGGAAGGGGCACAAACCCCCGAGCTGGGAGCGCCGACAGGTGAGGGGCACAGGCTCCAAGTGCATGCTGGGGATAAGAAAGGCCGAGGTACCCACGCTGGGTTTGCAGAACAAGCCCGAACCCCACCCCCTCCTCTGTCCAGTCTGAACCACACCCCTCCTCTGTCCAGGCTGAACCCCACCCCCTCCTCTGTCCAGCCTAAACCACACCCCTCCTCTGTCTAGCCTGAACCCCACCCCTCCTCTTTCCAACCCTGCCCCCTGTGAAGTTTCCTCAGCTTTTGCTTTTGTTATCGTGGGCATCCAGGCCCTTTCTGTTCAGTGTCCTCCTTCCCACACCCACTCCCCCTCTGTCTTCCTCAACATCCATCCCTTTGTCATTGAGAATCCAGACAGCGGCTGTTTCTAACCTCTTTCCAGGGTCAGAGTAGCCCTGGTGTGTGCCTGGCTGGGCTCCAGGCCTGCGCCTCCCGGGTTCTGGGGGGGCTCTGGGATGTGGTCCTGCCAGCGGCCTCTGACAGGGGACGTGGGGCACCATGTGCAACCCCTCTCCTCCCTGGAGCAGCTTTTCTGGCCCAGAGGCTGGGAAACATCTTCCCCTCAGGGTTTGGTCTTCATTCTTCTTGTTCCCGCTGAGAAACCACAGCCAGGTGGGCGCTGGAGGGAGCTGAGGGGCACCTGCCTTCCCGTCTCCTCTGCTCCTCCCAGGGTCACCTGCCCACTCGGCCGCAGGCTTGGCCTGGGCCTGGAGTGCACGGGCCATGTGTGGCCTGGGACTGGCACGCACGGGCCATGTGTGGCCTGAGACACGGTGTGATCACTTTCTGTATGATTTACTTCTGGAGCCCTGATCCTTGACTGATGATCAATGTGAGGTCCTTGCAAGTAAATTCTACCTGTCAGGCTAGATGCCAAAACATGTAGCATTCACAGAAAAGAAAAGTCTGGGCCGGGCACGGTGGCTCACACCTGTGATCCCAGAGCTTTGGGAGGCCGAGGTGGGCGGATCACAAGGTCAGGAGATTGATACCATCCTGGCTAACACAGTGAAACCCCGTCTCTACTGAAAATACAAAAACAAAATTAGCCGGGCCTGGTGGTGGTCGCCTGTAGTCCCAGCTACTTGGGAGGCTGAGGCAGGAGAATGGCGTGAACCCGGGAGGCAGAGCTTGCAGTGAGCCGAGATTGCACCACTGCGAGATCGCACTCCAGCCTGGGCGACAGAGCGAGATTCCATCTCAAACAAAAACAAAAACAAAAAAAGTCAGAAGTGACCCTGCTCCGCCTCCTCCAGATCTGCATTTAGTGTGTGGACCTTCATCTGAGTCTCTGAGGAGGTGGTGAAATGTGGCTTCTCTTCGAGGTCACACCTGCCTGGGGGTCCCGTGTGGGGTCTGCAGGGTACCCAGGAGGCAGGGAGGGTCGCGGGGGAGGGGACTGGGGTGTTTCTTCGCAGCCCGGGGCGCGGCGGCTCATGAGACCTCCGCGGGGAGGCAGGAGACAGCGTGGCCTTTCCCGGGGCTGGTGGGGCTGGTGGGGAGGAAGCTGGAGCCCAGGGCGGGGGTCCGGGGGATGGCGGGGTGGGGTCGAGGACCCTCAGGTGCAGCGGGCGCCTCTGTGAGGGGCCGGAGGGGGCCACTTCTTCCCTGGACCCCGAGGCCCCGCAGGGCAGGACATGGCTGGGAATCTCCCAGGGCAGTGAATGAGGGGCTCCTGCAGGGTGGGCCCATCTGCCTCATGGGGGGCCTGAGACAGGGGTGGGACCTGCCCTGCCCTCAGGGCCTGGCCTCCCCTCCCCTCCCCTTCCTTCCCTCATTCATTCATTCGTTCATTCATTCATTCACCCCTCTTGGGTCCTCCTGGCCGCACTGGGCCTGGCATGGGGGGGGTCCCTGCCGGGCTCTCCTGGTTGCCGCCCACCGTTCCCCCAGGACCCCGTAGCCCTCGCGGACCAAACCACACCTGCGCAGGGAATCGGCTCTGTCCCCTGCCCCATACTGGTGCTGCCCCCACGATCCCAACGGGAGTCCCCAGAAGGCCGCCATGGGGTGGGGACGTTGAACCCCATGGGAGGGCACAGGGCCCAGTGGTCCCTGGCTGGATGTCCCAGCAGAGGGGTCAGGGGTGAAACAGGGACTGCGGTGGGACCCCCGGGGAGTAGCCATCAGGGCTGGGACACCTGGGGCAGTGCATGGGGGCCCTGGCTGAGGACGGGGGCCTTGGGGTGAGCCTGGGGCTGGGGGTCGGGGCCTGCTCTGGAGGGGAAGGCTCGGGCAGAGCTGCTCAGAGACATTCCATGTGATGCCGTGGAGCCCCGGGATGGCCATGTGGGGGGCTGCGGACCCCTGCCCTGCCTGTCCTGCCTGGAGCCCTGTGGGTGGGGTAGGGGTGAAGGGCACCTGTGCTCCCCACGGAGTGGGCGCTGCCTCCTGCCCTGCAGGCCCTGCCGGACACTCTGGAGAGGCTCAGAGTGCAGACCCCGGTTGGCCAGAGGGGAGCAGGGCGAGGTCTTCCCCACAAGGCTTGGTCGCTGTGACTGGTGGGATGGAGGCTGCAGCCGCAGGGACTTTAGGCTGCTGCAGCCTTGGCTCAGAAACTGGCCCTTCTCAGGACAATTGGAGGGTGCCCCCACTTGCCTGCTGTCGCTGGTTGACTCATTCCAGAGCACTGCTCACATTTCTGCCAGGCTCTTCCCCACCGGGAGCTCCTGGAGGCTGACCCCTGCCTCCCCCGGGGGCTGCTTCTGTCCTAGGCCCCCTACTTTCCCCTGGCACTGAAGCCTTTCTTCCCTGTATGATTGTCTTGATGGAGAGGGCAGGAGGCAAGGCCCCCTTACTGGGCGTCCAACCCGGCTGCTGTCCTGGGAACAAGCTTGTCAGGGGAGGCTGGGGTGTCTTTCTCCCGGGAAAAGCTCTGAGAACCCAGGGCCCAGGCTGGACGCAGTCCAGTTGGTGTCCCCAGGAGGGGAAAGGAGGTCCTTTTGAGCCCCTGTATGGCTCCAGGGGCACGGCCCTGCCTCCAGGCTCACCTTCCACGAGACGCCCCCTCCCCACAGCTCTGTGCCTGGGTGGGGCTCATGAACGTCCCCTGTGCTGGTGGGTGGAGGATGTGGGACTACCTAGGGTTGCCGGGCAGGATAACCCTAGGGATTGTGGGTCCTTCAGGACTCCCAGAAGCTGGGTCTGGAGCAGGCTCGCTTGACGGACAATCAATAGAGAAGCTGCATGTGTAACCAGGCCAAGTAAGGCAGCCTCTGTGCCCTGAACACCTGTGGTTGGGAGCACCAGCTCTGCCCTGTGTGCTGTGAATAGCGTCACACACACGCAGTTGGCTCACATCACCTGGAGACAGTGAGAGCTAATTAGGAAAACTCCAGACAGGCCCTGAGTACAGAAGGTGGAGGGCCCTGCAGCCTCCTTCCTCTGGGGCTGGGGCTGGGGCTGGGGCTGGGGCTGGGGCCGGGGCTGGGGCTGAGCCCACGGTCCTCGGCCTGCAGGGGGTGGGGATGGCACTGGTTGTGGGGACCCCAGGCGTGCACTGGGCACCCAGGTGCTGCTGTCCTTGGTCTCTTCCTTCCTCTGGGGCTGAGGCTGAGCCCAAGGTCCTGGACCTGTCAGTTTCCTCCTTCCTCTGGGGCTGGGGCTGAGCCCAAGGTCCTGGGCCTATGGTAGGTGGGGTGGTACTGGTGGTGGGGACCCCAGGCGTGCACTGGGCACCCGGGTGCCATCGTCCTGGGTCCTGTAGGCAGCCTCCTCCTGGGGAAACAGGAAGACAAGGGCAGCATCTGACCTCTAACCTCTGAGCCCAGGGGCCTCGGGTGTGTGTAGGGGTCTCTGGTCCAGTTTCACACTCCATGAAAATCACCCCTGAAGGGCTGCCTGCCTCCCAGCAGAGGCCTGACCTGCACCTTTCAGGCTGAGCTGGAGCCTCTAAGCCTCACAGCACCCAGTCCCTTTCCCAGGGGCAGGCTTTGTGGGTTTAGACCCCCAAGCAGCCCTGCCTGCTCCCTCTGCCTTTAGCCTGCATGAGACAAGTGTAAATCATACGTTATTGTAAGAAAGCTAAGTCAAAAATTCAGGAAACCGTTGAGTTCCTTCCATATATCAGGTGCTGTTAAAATTGAGGGTGGGAGGAGGGAGAGGATAAGAAAAAATAACTATTGGGTACTAGGCTTAGTATCTGAGTAATGAAATAATCTGCACAACAAACCCCCATGACAGGAGTTTACCTGTATAACAAACTTGCACATGTACCTCTGAACCTAAAATTAAAGTTAAAAAGAAAAGAAAACAATAGTTCCTAATTAACAGCAATGAGCTGTTACCACGGGCCAGCTAGTTTGCTGGAAGAACTAAGTAAAGAGATAGCTAAGAAGTGCCCTCCTGGGTCAGAATCAACCTAAGACTGGAACTCAAAACTATTTCTGCCTGGATTTAATTGAATTAGTATGCTGAGCAATTAATGCCCCAGGGCTTAGTGAAAAACAATAGAGCGACCAGCAGGTAATTAGTGGAGCTTAACAGGCTGAGGGTAATGGCAAATGAGGCAGAGAGCTTAACAGAGAGATCAGGGAAAGAGACAGGAATAGCCCCAGTGAAAACAAAACTGCTGTCATCTAGGGTGGTTGTGTATACACCCAAGGCTGAGCCCACT
Source organism: Homo sapiens (assembly GCF_000001405.40). Lineage (NCBI taxonomy): Eukaryota > Metazoa > Chordata > Mammalia > Primates > Hominidae > Homo > Homo sapiens. The sequence continues at coordinate 49,747,757 of NC_000022.11, read as the reverse complement.
AGAGAATGCCACTGAAAGGGGAAATGCCATTCTACGGGGGAAATAAATGTTACTAAAGTAACCTAGCCAAGTCAGAAATAAATACTCAAACAACAACAAAAACAAGCCCTAGGGGGTGGGGGGTCGGGAATCAGTATCCAGAGTTACTATAAAATATTATTTAAAATGTCCAGTTCTTAACAAAACCTAAGAGACATTAAAATAAATAGGAATGCATGACGGATACACAGGGAAAAGAGCAGTAACAGAAGCTGCCCATGGGAGGGATCAGATGCCAGACTTAACAGACAGGGACCTCCAAGTATCCATCATTAATACAGTCAAAGAAATAAAGAAAACCATGCAGAATTGTTATATGTAAATGCTTGCTCCCCGGTGCTGCAAAGAAATAGCACTTGAACATAAATTTAATTCTCTCAGCAAGGCAATCTTTACTTCCTGCAGAAAGGGTGCTCCTCGCAGATGGAATAATGGTGAGAGCACACCTGAACAAAGGAGGGAAGCAATTTTTATCCCTTATGCAGTTTGTCCCTGTTACTGTGTCCTGTCTCCATTGGCTAGAGCCAGACAGCACAATTTAAACTAAAACCCGATTGGCTAACAGTATAAAACTTTTCTAAATAGGTAAAAGTAATGGAAGGATAAAGGAAAAGAGGAAGCTGCTTATGAAAGAATTAGAAAAGTAATAACATTCCCAAATAAGGAAGGGGTATAGGCTGCGAGCTGGGACATGCCTGTGAGCACGTCCAGCACAGATATCTTGGTTAAAGTACAAGGACACAGAATGTACTACATGTCCATGAGCATGTCTAGCATAAAGTTAGTCTTTAAAAGAAACTATTATTTCTAACACTCATGATTTATTCTTTAACAAGAAGGGAAACTTTGAAGAGGAACTTTTACTTTCTACAAGAAAGAAGTAAAGGAAGACATGAAGACAGTGAGAGTATGAATAGAAACTATCAATAGAGACTCAAATACAGACTATGAATAAAAAGAAACTATGAAAGAATCAAGTGAAAATGTTGGAGTTGAAAAATAATTGAAAAAGATTTTTTTAGAGGGGGTCAATGGTGGTTTAGAACTGGCAGAAGAAGGAATCAGTGAATGTGAATATAGATTCATAGAGATATGCAATCTGAAAAACAGAAAATGGAAGAAAAATGAATAGAACCTCAGAGCAATGTGGGACAACTTTCAGTCACCAACATCCTCATCACAGGTTTACTTGAGAAGAAAAGGAGAAAAGACAGAACAAATATGTGAACAAATAATGCCTGGAAATTTCCCAGATTTGCTGAACACATTCATCTATACATCTGAGAAACCCTGTGACCTCAAAGTAGAATAAATGCAAAGAAATCCCCATGCAGACTCATCATAGTAAATAGTGAAAGCCGAAAGCAAAACACAAAACAAAACAAAAAACAACCAAAAAACATCCTGAAAGTAGCAAGAGAAAAAAATGACTCCTCATGGTCATGGTCATGGTCACTCCAACAAGATTAACCGGTGACTTTTCATCAGAAACAATGAAGGCCAGGAGGCAGTAGGATGACATATTTAAAGGACTGAAAAAAAAACCCAAACAAACCTGTAAATCAAGATTGTCATAGCCTGAAAACGATCTTTCAACATGAAGGCCAAATAAGTTCTCAGATAAACAAAAGCCAAAATAATTCATGGTTGGCAGATCTGCCTTGAAAGTGATCCCAGATGGAAATGTGAATCCACACCAAAAAAAAAGAGCCCTAGAAATGTAATAATGAATTACAAAAGACAGTATAAATGCACATTTCTTCTTTGAGTGATTTGAAAATCAATTGTGTAAAACAATATGTATATGGTTGTATTCCTGGACCTGTAACAAACAAAAATTGAATATATTTGACAATAGCACAAAGGAGGTATGGGGAACAACATTGTATTGAAGTAAAGAAGTCACAACAGATGGTAACTCAGACCCACAGAAACAAATGAAGGTGGCCAGGGTGGTTCATGCCTGAAATCTCGGCACTTTGGGAGGCTGAGTTCCAAGACCAGCCTGGTCAACACAGTGAGGCCTCATCTATACCAAAAAAAAAAAAAAAAGTTAAAGAAAAGACAAATGAAGAGAATAATAAGTGGTAAATAAGAAAGGATAATATAAACAAGGAAAATATAACAAATAATATAAGGATAACATGCCAACATATAATTGGAGTTCATATAAATCTGAAGTAGATTCTGATATGTTAAGCATATGTGGTAAGCTGTAGAGCAACCACTAAGAAAATAACTTAAAATATGGTGAAAAAGCCATGAAAGGAATAAAAAAAATTACACTAGAAAATATTCACTTAATTAAACAAGAAATCAGTAAAGGAGGAATAGATTAACAACAACAACAATAAAAAGACATGAGACCACGAGACATATAGGGAACAAAAGGTAAAATGCAGACAAATTCAACTATATTCATAATTACATTAAATGTGAATGGATTAAACAATCCAATAAAAAGGCAGAGATAGATTGGATAAAGAACCAATATCCAATTATATACTGTCTAAAGGAGACAGATTTTAGATTCAGAGATACAAAAATGCTGAAAGTAAAAGGATGAAAAATACATACCATGCAAACAGCAACCATAAGAGAGCTGGAGTACTTACAGAAATTTAAAACAAAAAGTGTTACTAGGGATAAAGAGGAATATTTTATAATGATAAAAGCCAATTCTTCAGGTAAAATAACAATTGTAAACATAGGCACCTAACAACAGAGCCCCAAGATATGTAAAACAAAAACTGACAGAATTGAATGGAGACATAGACATTTCAACAAAAATAGTTGGAGACATCAATGCTTCATTTTCAATAATGGATAGAACAATCAGGCAGAATAGCAACAGGAAATGAAAAACTCAAACACATTGCAACCAAGTAGATCTAAGTGGTATCTGCAGACCACTCCACACAACAGCCGAACACTCATTCTTTTCAAGCACACGTGGGATGTTCTTCATGATAGATCACATACTAGACCATTAAATCAGCCTCAGTAACTTTCTTTTTTAAATTTTTTATTTTACTTTAAGTTCTGAGATACATGTGCAGAATGTGCAGGTTTGTTACATAGGTATACATGTGCCATGGTGGTTTGCTGCACCTATCAACCCATCATCTAGGTTTTAAGCCCGGCATGCATTAGGTATTTGTCCTAATGCTCTCCCTCCCCTTGCCCCCCACCCTCCAACAGGCACTGGTGTATGATGTCCCCCTCCCTATGGTTCATGTGTTCTCATTGTTCAACTCCCACTTATGAGTGAGAACATGCGGCGTTTGGTTTTCTGTTCCTGTGTTAGTTTGCTGAGAATGGTGGCTTCCATCCGCATCTGTGTCTCTGAAAAGGACATGAACTCGTTCTTTTTTTATGGCTGCATAGTATTCCATGGTATACATGTGCTACATTTTCTTTATTCAGTCTATCACTGATGGGCATTTGGGTTGCTTCCAAGTCTTTGCCATTGTAAATAGTGCTGCAATAAACATACATGTGCATGTGTCTTTATAGTAGTATGATTTATAATCCTTTGGGTATATACCCAGTAATGGGATTGCTGGCTCAAATGGTATTTCTGGTTCTAGATCCTTGAAGAATTGCCACACTGTCTTCCACATCTTTCACAATTGTTGAACTAATTTATACTCCCACCAACAGTGTAAAAGTGTCCCTATTTCTCCACAGCCTTGCCAGCATCTGTTGTTTCCTGACTTTTTATTAATTGCCATTCTAACTGGTGTGAGATGGTATCTCATTGTGGTTTTGATTTGCATTTCTCTAATGACCAGTGATGATTAGCTTTTTTTCATATGTTTATTGGCCGCATAAATGTTTTCTTTTGAGAAGTGTCTGTTGATATCCTTTGCCCACTTTTTGATATGGTTGTTTGATTTCTTCTTGCAAATTTGTTTAAGCTCCTTGTAGATTCTGGATATTAGACGTTTGTCAGATGGATAGATTGCAAAAATTTTCTCCCACTCTGTAGGTTGCCTGGTCACTCTGATGATAGTTTCTTTTGCTTACAGAAACTCTTTAGTTTAATTAGATCCCATTTGTCAATTTTGGCTTTTGTTGCAATTGCTTTTGGTGTTTTAGTCAGGAAGTCTTTGCCCATGCCTATGTCCTGAACAGTATTGCCTAGGTTTTCTCCTAGGGTTTTTATGGTTTTAGGTTTTACATTTAAGTTTTTAATCCATCTTGAGTTAATTTTTATATAAAGCGTAAAGAAGGGGTCTAGTTTCTGTTTTCTGCATATGGCTAGCCAGTTCTCCCAGCACCATTTGTTAAATAGGGAATCTTTCCCCATTGCTTTTGTCAGGTTTGTTAAAGATCAGATGGTTGTAGATGTGTGGTATTATTTCTGAGGTCTCCATTCTGTTCCATTGATCTATATATCTGTTTTGGTACCTGTACCATGCTGTTTTGGTTACTGTAGCCTTGTAGTATAGTTTGAAGTCAGGTAGTGTGATGCCACCAGCTTTGTTGTTTTTGTTTAGGATTGGCTTGGCTATACAGGCTCTTTTTTGGTTCCATATGAGATTTAAAGTAGTTTTTTCCAATTATGCAAAGAAAGTCAATGGTAGCTTGATGAGAATAGCATTGAATCTATAAATTACTTTGGGCAGTATGGCCATTTTCATGATATTGATTCTTCCTATTCATGAGCATGGAATTTTTTTTCCATTTGTTTGTGTCCTCTCTTATTTCCTTGAGAGGTTGTTTGTAGTTTTCCTTGAAGAGGTCCTTCATGCCCCTTGTAAGTTGTATTCCTAAGTATTTTGTTCTCTTTGTGGCAATTGTGAATGGGAGTACACTCATGATTTGGCTCTCTGCTTGTCTATTATTGGCATATAGGAATGCCTGGGATTTTTGCACATTGATTTTCTATCCTGAGACTTTGCTGAAGTTACTTATCAGCTTAAAAAGATTTTGGGCTGAGACGATGGAGTTTTCTAAATATAGAATCATGTCATCTGAAAACAGAGACAATTTGACTTCCTCTCTTCCTATTCAAACACCTTTATTTCTTTCTCTTGCCTGATTGCCCTGGCCAGAACTTCGAATACTGTGTTGAGTAGGAGAGGGCATCCTTGTCTTGTGTCGGTTTTCAAAGGGAATGCTTCCAGCTTTTGCCCATTCAGTATGATATTGGCTATGGGTTTGTCATAAATAGCTCTTATTATTTTGAGATATGTTCCATCAATACCTAGTTTATTGAGAGTTTTCAGCATGAAGGGATGTTGAATTTTATCAAAAGCATTTTTCTGGATCTATTGAGATAATCATGTGGTTTTTGTCATTGTTTCTGTTTATGTGGTGGATTATGTTTATTGATTTGCATATGTTGAACTAGCCTTGCATCCCAGGGATGAAGCTGGCTTGATCGTGGTGGATAAGCTTTTTGATGTGCTGCTGAACTCGGTTTGCCAGTATTTTATTGAGGATTTTTGCATCACGTTCATCAGGGATATTGGCCTGAAATTTTCTTTTTTTGTTGTGTCTCTGCCAGGTTTTGGTATCAGGATGATGCTGGCCTCATAAAATGAGTTAGGGAGGAGTCTCTCTTTTTCTATTGTTTGGAATAGTTTCAGAAGGAATGGGACCAGCTCCTCTTTGTACCTCTGGTAGAATGTGGCTGTGAATCCATCAGCCTCAGTAACTTTCAAAGGATTGAAACCATTCAAAACACAATCACTGAGTATAATGGAGTGAAATTAGAAAAAAAAATAGAAAGAAACTTGGGAAATTCACAAATACGTCTACATTAAGTAACACACATTCCTAAATAACAAAACAGATTAATGACAAAATCACAGGGAAAATAAGAAAATACTTTGAGATAAATGAAATTGGAGATACAACATACCAAAACGTATGGAATGCAGCTAAAGCAGTGCAGAGAGGAAGTTTACATCTGAGAACCCTTACATTTAAAAAGAAGAAAGATTTCAAATCCACAACCTAACCTCCCAACTTGAGATAGTGAAAAAAGAAGAGCAAACTAAACCTCAAGCAGGCAGAAAGGAGGAAATAATAAAGAATAGAAAAAAAGTTAGTGAAATATAGATTAGAAAATAGAGAAAATCAGTAAAATAAAAGCTGATTCTTCCAAAAGATCAGCAAAACTGACCAACCTTTAGCTAGACTAAGAAAAAAAGAGAGAAGACTGAGCTTACTAAAATCAGAAATAAAAGATGGAACATCATTTAGGAATATGTTTAACAAGAGAGTGGAGAACTTAAACTCTGAAAACATCAAAACATTGTTGAAAGCAATTAAATTAGACCTAAATAAATGGAAAGACATTTCAAGTTCATGGACCATAAGACTGATACTGAATAGATGGCAATACTCTCCAAATTGATCTTCAGAATCAGTGCAATCCCTATCCAAACGCAAGTTGACCTGTTTGCAGAAACAGAAAAAAATCCATCCTAAAATTAGTATGGAATCTAAAAAGACCCTGAATATAACATCAAAACTCAAAACTTTACAAAGAACAAAGCTGGGGGACTCACACTTCCTTATTTCAAAACTGAATACAAAACACCAGTAACGGAGACAGTGTGGTAATGATACAAGGCTGGACACACACATCAGTGGAATAGAGAGCCCAGAAATTAAACCCTTAGTTGGTTTTTGGCAAAGACATTAAGACCATTTATTGGGGGAAAAGAATAGTTTTTCAACTAACCCTGTTGGGACAGCTGTATATCCATATGCAAAATAATAAATTTGAGTTCCCACTTCACACATACAAAAAATTAAGTCAAAGCAGCTCAAAGATCTAACTGCAAGAGCTAAAACTATAAGACTCTTAGAAGGAAACACACATGTAAATCTTTGGATAGGTAATGGTGTCTTAAATATGATACCAAAATCACAAGCAACAAAAGAGAAAACAGATATGTTGAACTTCATCAAAATTAAAAACGTTTGTGCATCAAAGGACACTATGTCTCTATTATAGCAAATGAAAAGACAACCCACTGAATGGGAGAAAATATTTGCAAATCAAATATTTGATCATTTATATCTAGAACATATAAGAATTATAGAAGGTACTATTACAGCAGTAATAGTTCCCATACATCTTCTGAAATCTAGGAGGAGGTTCCCAACCCTCAATTCTTGACTTCTGTGCACCCTCATGCTCCATGCCACGTGGAAGCTGCCAAGGCTTGGGGCTTCCACCCTCTGAAGCCACAGCCCGAGCTCTACTGTGACCCCTTTCAGAGTGGCTGGGATGCAGGGCACTAAGTCCCTAGGCTGCACACAGTGCGGGGATCCTGGGCCCAGCCCGCGAAACCACTTTTTCCTCCTAAACCTCCAGGCCTGTGAAGGGAGGGGCTACCATGAAGACCTCTGACATGCTCTGGAGACATTTTCTTCATTGTCTTGGGGATTAACATTCGCTCCTTGTTACGCAAATTTTTGCAGCTGGTTTGAATTTCTCCTCAGAAAATGGGATTTTCTTTTTTATCGCACCATCAGGATGCAAATTTTCCAAACTTTTATGCTCTGTTTCCCTTTTAAAACTGAATGCCTTTAACAGCACCGAAGTCACCACTTCAATGTTTTGCTGCTTAGAAATTTCTTCTGCCAGATACCCTAAATCATCTCTCTCAAGTTTAAAGTACCACACATCTCTAGGGCAGGGGCAAAATGTTGCCAGTCTCTTTGCTAAAACATAATAAGAGTCACTTTTGCCCCAGTTCTCAACAAGTTCCTCATCTGCATCTGAGACCACCTCAGCCTGGATTTCATTGTCCATATCACTATCAGCATTTTTGTCAAAGCCATTCAACAAGTCTTTAGGGAGTTCCAAACTTTCCCACATTTTCCTGTCTTCTTCTGAGCCCTCCAAACTGTTCCAACCCCTGCCTGTTACCCAGTTCCTAAGTCACTTCCATGTTTTTGGGTAACTCTTCAGCAGTGCCCCACTCCACTGGTACCAATTTACTGTATTATTCTGTTTTCATGCTGTTGATAAAGACATACCCAAGACTGGGAAGAAAAAGAGGTTTAATTGGACTTACAGTTCCACATGGCTGGGGAGGCCTCAGAATCATGGTGGGAGGTGAAAGGCACTTCTTACATGGCGGCGGCAAGAGAAAATGAGTGCTAAGCCTAACGGGTTTCCCTTTATCAAACCATCAGATCTCGTGAGACTTATACACTACCACAAGGACAGCACAGGAAAGACTCACCCTCATAATTCAGTCATCTCCCACTTGGTCCCTTCCACAACACGTAGGAATTATGGGAGCTACAAGATGAGATTTGGGTGGGGACACAGAGCCAAACCACACCAATGGACCACTAGGGACATGGACATATGCTCAACTTCAGCAGCTGTCAGGAACAGGCAAATCAAAGCCACAAAGAGACAACGCTTAACATCCACTGGGATGTCTGTAGTCTAAAGGGCACAATGACAGGTGTTGGGAGGATGTGGAGAACCAGATTCCTCATCCATCACTGGCAGGAGGGGCAAATGGTGTAGCACTGTGGAAAACAGTCTCATTTTCCCTCCAATGTCAAATATAGAGTTACCAGATGACCCAGGAATTCTACTAGGCATTTACCCAGGAGAAAGGCAAACGTGTCCATGGACAAAGCTGTACATCTGTGTTCATAGCAGCATGATTAGTGATAGCCAAAAAGTGGAAACAACCCAAATTTCTGCCAAGGGATAAGTAGTTACACAAAATGTGATGTAATCCATACAATGGAATCATATTAAATCCTAAATGGCAACAAAGGTCTGATTCCTGTTGCACCATGGATGGACCTCGAGAGCTTCTTTGGAGGTTCTAGCAGGGAAGCATGGCTGCTCGGACACCCCGGACTGAAGAATGGTCCTTTTCTATTTGGGAAGGTCATTTTCTTTGGCTGAGCACACAGTTTTGGGAGGGAGGCACATGGAGTGGTCAGGCGGGAAGGGAACGCCGCTGAGCTGGCCACATCAGTGGAATCAAACCTGGTAATCAATGGGGTGACAGATGCCACAGCCAGATCGCCCCCACAGAGTCTCGAAAGCATCATGCTGAGTAAACAAAGCTGATCTCCATGGACCACATGGTGTATGATTGAATTGATGTGAAATGTCCTGAACAGACACATCTACAGAGACAGAGAGTGGCCTCATGATGGACAAGGGCCGGGGAAACGGGAGACTCGGAGTGATGGCTGCTGGAAGCAGGATTTCTTTCTTTTTGAGGTGATAAAATATTCTAAAATTGTGGTGATAGACGCACAGCCTGTGAATATACTAAAAGGCATTGAGTTGGGCACTTAAAGCGTGTGAGTTTGAGGGTATGCGAATGATATCTCCATGCAGCCATTAAAAAACCTGGCAGCTCAAAGATGATAACCAGAACCAATGTCCTTTATTCAATCACCCCACTGAGGAGGCAGGGGCAGGCAAGGTGGGGATGTGAAGGGGTCTCTGCCTCGGGCCGGGGTGAAAAGTGGCATGGCTGCGGGTGCTTCCCGCACAGGTTCTCACAGCAGGTGCCTCCCATGTGGGTTCTCACGGCGGATGCCTCCCGTGCGGGTTCTCACTGCAGCTTGAGCCAAGTCATCACTTTTAGGGAGTGGCTTTTCAAGTATGGCCATATTCGTAATTAGTTTGGAAATCGTTAAATGACTTCTTACTCTTGTTTCTTCAAGAAAAATTCTGCGCTCATTACTAATCATAATTTTAAAGACAGAAGGGGCATCACTGGGAAGAGCTGTGTGTCGCCCACTGCCCATGCACACGCATGCCCGAGGCTTCTCATCAGCATGCAATGAGGTTACGCATGTGCACGAAGGGTATACTCTCCTCTTTGTGTATGCGGGAATGGAACCCTCTCCTCTCTGTATATGCGGGAATGGAACCCTCTCCTCTCTGTATATGTGGGAATGGAACCCTCTCCTCTTTGTGTATGTGGGAATGGAACCCTCTCCTCTCTGTATATGCGGGAATGGAACCCTCTCCTCTCTGTATATGCGGGAATGATACACTCTCTGTATATGCAGGAATGGCAGTCTCCTCTCTCATATATGCAGGAACCCAGTCCAGGGGTGATGGTCCTCCTCATACTCCCAGCTCCACTCTCACTGACCTCCAGGAAGCCCTCCTAAGTTCGGTGTCCTCCCCAGGGCTCTGCCGGTCCCTATCATGGATGCAGGGCCTATGGTAGGTGCCCGGCGAGGTTGACCAGCAGCGGGAAGGAGAGACCAGCACAAGTGCGCTGACTGATGCGTGCAGATGTGACACCCAGGGTGGGAAGAGGAAGATGTGTGCTGAGAGGTGCCTGGACAGCCAAGGAAGGCTTCGGGGAGGTGACAGGCGAGGAGAGACCACCAGGAAGTGAGGAACTAGGGGACAGAAAGGAGGGAGCCCGTGGCCACCTGGGGTCTTCAAGGGTCCTGTGGGCAGGGTGGGCATGGCACGGGGGGTCTCAGGCTTCCCTGTGAGGCCTCTGAGGCCATCACATAGGGGAGGCAGCTCAGGCATTGCCAAGCAGGGCAGGAAGTGGGGGCTCAGGGGCATTGCTTGCGGGGGCAAGTGAGAGGGCTGTGGGAGGCAGCGGGTGGGTCACCCGAAGGTGGGGAGCTGTCACCTGCCTGGGGGTGTTCCCTTCAACCTCTACATGAGGCCGAGCAAGAGTTAAAGGAAAGGTGGGGTGGGGGACAAGCCAGGGGTTGGGGACAAGCTGGGGGTTGGGGATAAGCCCGGGGTGGGGGACAAGCTGGGGGTGGGGGACAAGCCTGGGGTGGGGGACAAGCTGGGGATGGGGGGCAAGCTGCGAGTGGGCAAGGTGCGCCTTCCCGGAAGGCTTCGATGGCATAGCTGGGTTTCCAGATGCCCAGGGAAGGATGAGGATATTTGTCCTGCTATGGGGATCCTGGAACCTCTGCATCCTGCTGCTGGGCTGGTGTACCTGAGGTGCTGGTCAGGGTGGAGGTGGCATCCCCCCCATGGCAGCCAGCCCTGCCCCTGCCAGCAAGCCTGTGGGCACAGAGCTGCATCTGGCGACCCCACTGCACTGGGCCTGCAGGGGGCAGGGGGTGTCCAGGATGCAAGCACCACCTCCCCCACAGGTAGAACTTTGAGAGCTTAGAACCTCTGAGAGCTTTGAAATTCCTCTAGAATTTGAGGGGAAGAAATCTGTCAACACACAGCTTCTTTTTACAAAACAAGACATTTTCTCTAAATGATATTTGCAGCTGAAAGACAACTTTGTTTTTCAGATCTGTAATCTGTAATCTTATTCAGAAACAGACTTCCATTTGGCCTCATCCTGTGTTTTATGAAATAAAGTCAAAATTGCTAACACATTTCCTTATATTTCCATTTGGGAAGAAGATATATAAATAACTGGGCTTGGTAGAAGCGGCTTCCAATATAGACACACAGCTGTGAGCTATTCCCGTCAAGAGCAGAAAACCAGGCCCCCGGCATCAGGCCTGGCTTCAGAGATCAGCACGTCTGACTTTTGTGATGAGGGCTTAGTGGCTTGGAAGGGGCCCAAGGTCAGCCAGCAGGGCCTGGGCAGGGGGTCTGCGTTCCACTCCACATGGAGACCATGCTTCTGTGTTGTCTGACTTGGGTATATGTGCCAGTTTGGGGAGCCACGGAGCTGACGGGGAGCTCATTCCTCCAGGTGGATGCCTGGCCCGTTTGTGGGCAGCCTCCCAGGGGGCTGAGTCTCCCAGGAGGCTGAAGCACAGCCGGGTCGCACAGCACGGTGCCCCTTCCCTCTGTTCTGGACCCCAGGCTGCTGTCACGCCCCGGCTGGACAGCTCTCCTCTAGGAGATAAACCCTTTCTCCTTCCGAGGCTGGCATCCCCTCCGTGTCCACCACCACTGGTCTCTCTGGTGAGGCTCTGCCCAGTCCTGCACTGCCCCTGGCCGGAGCTCCAGGTTGGACTGACTCAGGCCTTGTGGGGACCCACAGGTGCAGTGCATGGAGGTAACCCTGAGGCCACTCAGTCCCTGGACCTGGCCGGATCCCTGAATCCGTCTTGACCCCATGGCCCCTGAGTATCAGAGATGCCCAGGAGCCCCGAGTCTGCATGACAAGTGCTGCTGTGAGCCCCATCTCCCCCGTCTCTGCCTCCTTGGACCCCTCTGTTCTCGCTGCTGCACAGGTCCTCTGAGTCCTGAGCCTGACGTAGTCAGGCCCTCCAGAGACGTTCAGGACCTCGGACAGCGCCCCACATTCCCCCATTCTGGAACTGGCGCTCACCAGATCTCACCAGGCGCCTCCTGCCACTGTCCCCTCCCCAGAACCCCGAGGAGGCCGACCCTCTCTGCGGGCAGTGGGCCTTCTTCCGAAATGTCTCAGCCCTACCCGGCCTTTGCAGTGAGAGTATAAGGGCAGGGGAAGGCTTCTCCTCTTGGGTGCCCTGAGGGAGAATAAGCCCGGGAGGGTGGGGGGCAGGGACGGGCCACCAGGCCTCAGTGGTGTCCCTGGCCACACGGCGGAGCTGGGACCTGCTGCGGACTCTCCTCTCTAATATCCCCGACCACCCCCTCCCTGAAGCCTGGTGCTGGTTCCTCCCTCTGGGTCATCCCGGCCTCCCCTGCAGCCCCAGCAGCCCAGCCGAGGCCGAGCTTTCTCAGCGAGCCTGAGTCTTCAAGTGTGGACATGGCTTCAGATGACTGGACCTCACAGGTGCCCCCATAGGTCCTCAGCTGAGACCTCTGAGGCCATCACGTAGGGGAGGCAGCTCAGGCATCCGGAGCAGGGTGGGTAGAGGGGTGTCAGGGGCGTTGCTGCAGGAGGGTGAGTGGGAGGGGCTGCCTAGATTCACCTTCCTTATCTGTAAATAAGGAAAATAACGTCCCCTCAACTCGTGGGAGTCGATATTAAAACAGAGCAGTTGTGGAAACCGCAGCATTATCTCTGGGTGAGTGTTGCAAGCGCCTTTCAGGCACCTTCCTTTGTGCTGCTCTTCAGGTTTGGTGCCTGTGTGGAAGCAGCACCTGGACTTTTTCTAGAGGCTCCACTGTGTTCCCGTGGGGCAGGTGTGCGACCGAGGGGGTGGGGCGGGTACAGTAGGGTGGAGGTGGGAGAGTGACTGGGGCCCCAGAGGCGTGAGGCTGTGAGTCAGTTCCCCGACTTTTCTCTACCCGAGAGGCTGAGGTTCCCCTTCTCCCCTGGAGCCCTGGCCGTGGGACACAGCCCGGCAGGCAGCAGAGCCAGGCGAGAGGGGACAGGGATGTCAGAATGTTCCAGAAAGAAGGGGACCAGGGAGGCCAGAGTGTTTCAGAAGGAAGGGAACTGAGAGGTCAGAGTGTTCCAGAAAGAAGGGGACCGGGAGGTCAGAGTGTTCTAGAAAGAAGGAGATGGGGAGGTCAGAGTGTTCCAGAGGGAAAGGCCAGTGCAGCTCAACACCCAGAGATGGTGGTGTGGCTACATGGGTGAATACCTCAGTGAGTATAATAGAAAAACCCTAAAAATCTCTGCTGCTGCACACAGTCAAGTGTATTTTACTCTCGAGTCCAATGCTGCTCATGGCTGGCTCTGTTCCTAACGGTCAGGAACTGGATTCCTTCTCCTAGGGTTCCTCCACCTTCCATACATGGTTCCAGATATGGCCCTGGGGTCACTTTGGTTCCAGACAGAGGGAAAAAGAGCCCGGGAAGAGCTTCCCAGGGTGTCCTGGAGACCAGGCTGGTGCACCTGATGCCCATACTCCTTTGCCAGAACTCAGTCCTGTGATAATCTTCAATATCAAGGGAGGCTGGAAAACATAGTTTGGTTGTGTGCCTAAGCACAACAGGAAGTGACTTTGGTGACAGCTGCCAGCTCCTGCCACCCACACTCTTCTGATCATCAGATGATCAAATGGTGGCCTCACCACTTTTCCCACACGTGGAACCCACAGGACCCCGTCTTCACCACCACAAGACACCCCAGGGGCCTGGCCAGCCCTGCATCCAGCTCAAAGCCCTGGGTCTCCGAGGATCTCTGCCTCTCGTGACTCTCTCTTGCTCTTGGTCACAGGGATACCGAAGACACATATGAAAGGGATTCCATGTGCATGTTCGATATTTTCCCGAATAGGAGAATGAATCAATGAAACATAAAAACGTTTTATTTTGTAATAGAATGGAAAGTTCAACAAAATACTAGCAGAAACCCAATTCAGCAGCATATTAAAAGGATTCTACTCCAGGACCAGGTGGAATTTGTTCCTTAATGCAAGAACGGTTCAACATATGAAAACCGATCGATGTTGTACACCATGTTAACCAAATGAAGGAAAGAAACCACGTGACCTTAATCAATGCAGAAAGAGCCTTTGAACAAACTCAACACCCTTTCATGATAAAAACATGGAAAAAACCAGGCTAGAACGAAACGACCTCAACATAACAATGGCCATGTAGGAAGAACCCACAGTGAGCGTTGTACTCAATGGTGAGAGGCACAAAGCCTCTCCTCTGAGACCAGGAACAAGGCAAACGTACCCACACTCTTCACTGCTGTTCAACACAGCACTGGAAGTTCCAACCACAGCAGTCAGAGGAAATAGACAAAAGGCATCCAACATGGACAAGAAGATGTGAAATTATCTCTGTTCACAGACAACATGATGGAATATGCAGAAAATCCTAAAGATTCCACCCAAAACCTGTTAGAACTAACAGAACTAATAGGTGAATTCAGCAAAGTTGCAGGATACAAAATCCACGCACAAAAGTCAATTGCATTTGCATATACTAATGATGAGCTATCCAAAAAAGAAATTTAAAAATTCCATTCATAATAGCACCACAAGGAATAAAATACTTATGAATTAACCAAGGAATTGAAAGACTTGTATGCTGAAAAGCACAAAACATTGCTGAAAAAATAAAAAGACATAAATAAATGGAAAGACACCCAGTGTTTACGAATTAGAAGACTTATTATAGTTAAGACATCCATCTTGTCCAAAGCAAGTTGTAGATTCAATGCAATTCCTATCAAAATTCCAAAGACTTTTTTTTTTTTTTGAGACAGAGTCTAGCTCTGTTGCCCAGGCTGGAGTGCAGTGGCGCAATTTCGGCTCACTGCAAGCTCTGCCTCCCAGGTTCATGCCATTCTCCTGCCTCAGCCTCCTGAGTAGCTGGGACTACAGCTGCCCACCACCATGCCCGGCTAATTTTTTGTATTTTTTTAGTAGAGACGGGGTTTCACTGTGTTAGCCAGGATGGTCTTGATCTCTTGACCTTGTGATCTGCCCGCCTCGGCCTCCCAAATGCAGACTTATTTTTTTTTTCCAGAAATAGAAAAACCCACTCTAAAATTCATGTGGAATCTCAAGGGATCCTCACTAGCCAAAACAGTCTGGAAAAGAAAAAAAAAAAAACCCAAAGTTGAAGAACTCACACTTTCTAATTTCAAAATTTACTACAAAGCTACAGTCATCAAAACAGTATGGTACCAGCATAAACACAGGACATATAGACCAAGGGAATAGAATACAGCCCAGAAATAAGCCCTCATATATACAGTCAAATCATTTTTGACAAGGGTGCCAAGACCATTCAATAGGGAAAGAACAGTCCATTCAACAAACGCTGCTGAGAAAACTAGATATCCCCATGTAAAAGAATAAAATAGAACTTTTATGTAGCACCAGACTTGAAAATTAACTCAAAATTTATCAAAGATCTACTTGTAAAAGCTAAAACTCTCAGAAGAAAAGATAAGGGAAAAGCATTGTGATACTGATTTTGGCAATGATTTCTTGAATATGACACAAATGCACAGGCAACAAAAGAAAAGATAGGTAAATCAGACCTTAACAAAATTAAAAACTTTCTTTCTTTCTCTCTCTCTCTTTCTTTCTTTTTTTTTTTTTTCTGGCAGAGTCTTGCTCTGTCACCCAGGCTGGAGTGCAATGGCACAATCTCAGCTCACTGCAACCTCCGCCTCCTGGGTTCAAGCTATTCTCCTGCCTCAGCCTCCCAAGTAGCTGGGACTATAGGCATCCACCACCACGCCCGGCTAGTTTTGGTATTTTTAGGAGACACAGGGTTTCACCATTTTGGTCAGGCTGGTCTCAAACTCCTGACCTCAGGTGATCCGCTCGCCTCAGCCTCCCAAAGTGCTGGGATTACAAGTGTGAGCCACCGTGCCCGGCCCCAAATTAAAAACATTTGTGCTTTGAAGGACACTATCAAAAAGGTGAAAAGGCAACATGTGGAATGGGAGAAAATATTTGCAAATAATCTACCTGATAAGGGATTAATATCTTGAATGTGTGAAGAACTCCTGCAACTCAACAACAACAAAAACCAAACAACACAATAAAAAACGTGGGTGGAGAAGTTGAGTAGGCATTTCTCCAAACAAGATACACAAGTATCCAAGATCCACATGAGGAGATGCTCCACATCACTAATTACTAGGGAAATGCAAGTAAAAACCACAGTGAGACCCCACCTCATGCCCATTAGGATGGCTCTTACGGAAGCAAGAGAAAATAACAAGTGTTGACGAGCACAGAGGGAAATTGGAACTCTGTGCACTCTTGGTGGGGATGTAAAATGATGCAGCAGCTATGGAAAAACCGTGTGCTGGCTTCCCCAAAAAACTGAATGACCATGTAATCCAGAAATTCCATTTCCGAATATACACTCAAAATAACTGAGAGCAATACTTGAACAGACATTTATACATTTATGTTCACAGCAGCGTTATTCACAAGAGCTAAAAGGTGGAAGCAACGCAAGTGTCCATCAGTGCATGAATGGGTAAACAAAATGTGGTCTGCGCGTCCGGTGGGATATTATCCAGCCTCAAAAAGGAAGAAAATCGGCTTGGGCAATGTGGCAAAATCCTGTCTCTACCAACAACACAAAAAATTAGCTGGGCGCGGTGGTCCACACCTGTAGTCCCAGCTACTTGGGAGGCTGAGGTACGAGAATTGCTTGAACCCAGAGGAGGGGCAGAGGTTGTAGTGAGGCATTACTGTGCCACTGCACCCCAGCCTTGGTGATAGAGTGAGCCCTCATCTCAAAAAAAAAAAAAAGGAAGAAAATTCTGATACATGTTACAACATAGATGAACCTTAAAAATTTACTAAGTGAAACAAACTGGACACGAAAGGGAAATACTGCATAATTCTGCTCATGTGAGGAGCCTAGAGTCATCAAATACACAGACAGAAAGTAGAATTTGCGGGGAAGGGGGTGGTGAAAGGGAAATTGTAAGTTAGTGTTTAATGGGGACAGAGTCTCAGTCTGGGCAGATGACAGGTGCTTGAGATGAATATGGCGATGGTTGCAGAGGGATGTGGGTGTACTTAACGCCACAGAAGTACACGCTTAAAAGTGGTTAAGATGGTACATTTTATTTATTTATTTATTTATTTATTTATTTAAGATGGAGTCTTGCTCTATTGCCCAGGCTGGAGTGCAGTTGTGTGATCATGGCTCACTGCAACCTCAAACTCCTGGGCTCAAGTGATCCTCCCACCTCAGCCTCCTGAGTAGGTAGGACCACAGGCATGCACCACCATGCCTGGCTAATTTTAAAAATTTTTTGTGGAGATGGGGTCTAGCCATGTTGCCCAGGCTGGTCTTGAGCTCCTGGGCTCAAGTGATCCTCCCCGCTTGGCCTCCCAAAGTGCTGGGATCACAGGCGTCTCTCCTAAAAGTATGAAAAATTAGCCAGGCGTGGTGGTGCACGCCTGTCATCTCAGCTACTCAGGAGGCGGAGGCCTGAGAATCGCTTGAACCTGGGAGGCGGAGGTTGCAGTGAGAGTTAGCCGAGATCGTGCCACTGCACTCCAGCTTGGGGGACAGAGCAAGTCTCCATCTCAAAAAAAAAAATTATTTGCTGGGTGTGATGGTTCATGCCTGTAATCCCAGCACTTTGGGAGGCCGAGGCTGGAGGGAGGATCAATTGAGCCCAGGAGCTCAAGACCAGTCTGGGCAATGAAGTGAGACCCCATCTCTACAAAAAACACAAAAATTAGGCAGGCATGGTCCCCGTGACTCGGGAGGCTGAGGTGGGAGGATCACTTGAATCCAGGGAGGTTAAGGCTGTGGGGAGCTGAGATTGTGCCACTGCACTCCAGGCTGGGCAACAGAGTGACACCTTGTCTCAAAAAAAAAAAAAAATTATTGAGGACTCCAGCAAGCTTTTGTTTATGTGGCTTATGTCTACTGATATCTACCCTATTGAAATTAAAACTGAGAAGTTAGACCATATTCATTCATTTCCATATAACAAAAGTAAACCTATAGCATTTGAACACATTTTTGTAAAAAGAAAAATATTTCAATATTTCAAAAAGAAGTTGGGTGCCAAGAGTGGCCATGTTTCCCGATTCTGAGATCTCCTTTGTGTAGCTGGAGCCCACACCTGCTCCCGGGGCTGGGGCTGCGTCTGCCTGTGCCTGCTATCCCGGGAGCAGCGTGCGGGCTCGGCAAAGACTGTGCTCCCTGCCCTCAACCACGGAGAGGCCCTCGCTGTCTGGAGCAGGACGGGAGAAAGGGGCGCTACAGACCATGGCTTGGGGGATCTAGAGGGTAAGTTGGCCCAGTAGATAAGGTCAGACGAAGCCACCCAGGCTCCGCCGGGCCAAGTGTGATGAGTACGCAGGGCACGTAGCCACCTGGAGGCCGTGCACTCGCCGATGTGATGCGGAATCGAGGTGTCACCATGGCTGGGCTGTGAGGAGGACACTTGAGTCCATGGGTGAGTAACGCAGTGGTCCCTCCCCAGCGTGCAGGGCCTCCTTGGGTCTGTCGGAGGCATGGCGCCTTCTGCCTGGACATGGGCTCGTCCTGCCTTCAGATTTGGACCAGGACTAGAGCTTGCAGCACTGGCTCTCCCAGGCTTCTGGTTCCCCTGGCTGGCTGGCTCCCCCGGGTGTCCGGCTCTCTCGGGTGTCCGGCTCTCCCGGGTGTCCGGCTCTCCCGGGTGTCCGGCTCTCCCGGGTGTCCGGCTCTCTCGGGTGTCCAGCTTGCCAGCTGCAGATGGTGAGCTCTCAGCTTCCTAACTGTGGGAGCCAATTTTTAAAAATAAACCTCTCTCTGTGCACGACCCCCTGGCTCTGTTCCTCTGGAGAACTCTGACTAACACAGCCAACATCTGGAGAGAAAGCAGGGCCTCCTCACCCTGAACCAGGTTGGTGTATACTTTTCTTTTGAAGGTTTAAACTTACTTTCCCTTATAAGGGTCCATTTTACATGATTCTTCAACAAATTCAACAGAAAACAAATCAGCTTCTGAGCAGCCCCTGTTCTGTGCCCCGGGCAGAGGAAACAGATGTTACAGGGTGAGTGGAGGTGGAGAGGAGCCCCCCACCCAGGGGGAAGCCCCTCACGACTTGTGGCTGTGGGAAGCGGGGAAGGAGGTGGGGAACTTCCTCAGAACAATGGTTCACGGGGCCGGGGAAACCTCTCGGGGTGAAGCAGGACCTCCTCCAACTCAGTTGTTGCCTCTGATAGCCGAGCTCTGTTTGATGTTTCAGAATTACTGAGATGCTAGAAGTGGATTCAGACAAGTCTGTGTTTTCTCTGCTCTGGTTCCTGTGAGGTGTCCCTTCCCCTGGGGTCTCAGTGACTGTCTCCACTGCGTCTCCAGTTAACGGAGGGATGGAGACCCCTATTCCAAACATGCAGTCCCCATGGCCACTTCCGAATTGCCGGGTCAGAGCTCACAGACAGCTATCGGTTCCCAGGAGGGAGCGCTGACTCCAGAGCCGGGGCTGCCACAGGCCTCCCACGAGGGCTGGGACCACTCCCAGCTTCCCCACACCTGCCCTGCAGAACACTTGCCCTGCAGAGGCTGCCTCAGACATCTTCTCCTTTTCCTCCGAAGAACTCACTCTCTCTCTAAACGGGCACTGGGAGCCACCGTGAGAGGGGCTGAAGTCGGCTTTGGGCAGGCGTCCCCTTGGCACCGCGGGGATGGGTACCAGCAGGGCCTGGGAGGACTGGGCTGGGGAAATGCTGGACAAAATTGAAAGGAAAGGACCGGATGGCCGATGGGCTGCGGGCAGGGAGCTGGAGTCTCATGGTGGCTGCGGTTTCTTGTTCCAGGGTGGAAGGCAGCGGTGCCTCCTGAGAGCTGGCCTGAGCTTGGCGTGAGAGGGCTGGCTCAGGCCTGGGACCAAGGCTACCTGGAGAGTGCGTCCTGCGCTGGGGCTTACAGAGGCTCTTACACACTCTGCTGAGCCACCAGATGTCCAGCCAGTCAGTGAGGAGGAACAGCTGGACCGACCGCGGCCATCAAGCCTTTACTCACTACGGTGGTGGCCACAGACCAGAGGCAGAGGGAGGCACTGGCTTCCGTGTCCCATTCACCCCACGGAGGGGACGGGTGAGGGTTGGCCGGGTGCAGTGCAGATGTGGGGATCGCCTCAAGAGGAGGAGCCCCCAGCAAGAGGCTCCTGGCAGAGCTGGGCACAGTGGCGGCTCACGTCTGCAATCCCAGCACTTGGAGAAGTCAGGCAGGAGGATCGCTGGAGGCCACGAGTTTGAGGTCAGCCTGGGCAACACAGCAAGACACTGCCTCTAAAAACAGTCTGGGGCCAGGGACAGGAAGGGCATGAGGGGAGGAAGGTGGCTCAGCTGCCACCCCCACCCCGCTAAGGAGGCCTCTGGATGTCGGTGCCTGGCCTAGGACTCTAGACGTGAGTGGGAGCTGGCCTTCTGGTGCTGGGGTGGCCGCTGGGCCCGGGACTGCAGCTCCCTGCAGACGCCGTGATGCGCTGGCTGCAGAAGACTGGTGCGGGGAGGGTAGCTTCCCCGAGGCCTGCCGGGCAAAGCCTCATCAGGCCTGTGGTTGGGGCCAGATTCTAATCAGGAACCAACTCATTAAATCTTCACAAAAGCCCAGTGCTGAGTTTCCACGCTGCAGACTGGGGTGGACTTGAGGGTTAATGCAGGTGGCCTAGCACCAGCGTCCAAGACGCTGACTTCCCCTGGTCCAGCCTGTCCAGCCGCTGTGGGCATCGGGTTGGTGGGACGCAGGTGGTGGGTGTGAGGGTCCGTCACTCTGAGTCATGCTGCCCCTTCTTGCTGAGTTGAACTCTACGCTGTGTGTTTCTTGCATCCCTCCCTCCCCTAGGAGCTGGGTTATCGTAGATCCTGGAATCTCTTACTTAGATCTTTGCCTGAAGTCTTCTTTTTTTCATGAGGGCAGCTGCACTGCACCCACACCATCATCAGAGGACCCCCTCGTCTCCTGGCCCCAGGGGCCACCACTTCGTCTATGGCTGGCCAGGGAAGGTGCCTCATCTTCCTGCCCACAGCAGGGCCAACTGGGGAGTCTGCATGAAGCTGGCTGCGGGGAACAGCGTCTTCCTCATGGCTGTGGGTAGGAGGGTTCAGGGGCCTGACCTGACTCAAAGAGAAGCAGGTTCATGGGGGCTGGGGGGCATGGTAGTGATAGTGGTGGGCAGAGGGGGAGACAGAGCGAGAGGAGAGACAGAAAGAGAGAGAGATCTGATAACGTCACATAAGCTCCTGGATCCAGCCATTCCTGAAGCCTCCGAGCCACCTAGCATTGGGTCCATCCACCCTGGGCTTCCCCTTCAGCTTAACCTTGGTTTCAGACACTAGCAACTTAGGCCCATTCCTAATTCTCCATTTTCAGCTTCCTCATGACATTTATACCACAGACAAAAGCAAATAAACAGATGGAACGCCAAACCCAGCCAATAAACCTTTTGTTTAAGCTCATTCTGAACCAGGAACCCATGCTCCTCATACCCTGCTGTGTCCTTGGTTTTCTCCAGGATGGTGCTCTGGGGATAAAACCAGACGACCCACCTGACACGCGGAGTTGCAGGGGGTCAGGTGACACGGCGGCTGAGCTCCGAGCCCAGATGACACCCTCACAGCCGAGCTCTGCCGTGCCCGTCCTTCGTGCACCCAGCCCATCCCTTCGGCTGCGTGTGACCCCAGGACCCGGGTTCCGGTTTTCAGGTGTTATTTCTGGTCAGTGGTTTGGATCCCTCCCAGGAGGGCCTGGGTGGCCAAGGCAGCGGGAGGTGCCCTGCGGTGGCACAGCGGCACTGTCTCCACTCGCTGTTCAGGTCTGGGACACACAGTGCTGTTGCTCAGCTGGAGACGGGGCATCCCAGTGACGGTCACCTTGCAAGGACAGGAGAGACCCCTGCCCAATGTTCGATTCAGATGTCAAGACTGAAGATGCCACACACACACCAGGAGGGTGAGAACGTCCCATCCCTTACACCACTGAGGTTTCCAGGGGAGCAGGAGCCCCCCGCCGCGCCCCATCCGAGCTGGTCCAAAGGCCAGGGTTTATCGTGATTGGGGTGGGGCCGGGGCGGGGGTTCCCCGGGATGCCAGGGGCTTCTGTGCTTCGAATCTTCTACAGGCACTAAAGTGAGGCCTGGCCGGTGTGGGGCCCAGGGAGGAGGGAGAGGGGAGGCATCAAAGCCATCAGCAGCCAGTCCTCAGACAGTGGAGTGAAATCCTCCCGACCCTCCCTCAGCCAGGCGGTTTCCAGTCCCACAAAATCCCCCGATAAATCAGGACCTTTGACTGGGACAGACCAGGGAGGCGCGGGGACCACCCGGCCGGGCTCCCGGGCGATTCTCAGGGGCTGGCCGGCCCGCGTGTCTCTGCACACCGGCTCATTCTGCAGACAGCGCCGAGTGCCGCTGTGCAGGGAGACGCTCGGCTGCGCGCGGTCCGGGCACAGTTCTCGGGGAGTCCAGAGGAGGGAGCACGAGCTCCAGGGATGAGCATCGGGGCCGGACTCAGCCGTCCGTGGCTATGGCTGGAGCGGCTGGTGTGAGGCTGTGGGACCGGCCAGGGGTGGGGTGGCCGGGGCTGTATGGAGCAGGGCCACCCATGCCCGGGTCCCGCGTGCGACTTGGGAGGCCACCCTCCCTCCCCGCTGCGAGGTGGGGAACACCGGGCGGGCTCCTGGCTCCCGTGGAGAGGGAGAGACCGCGGTTTCGCCCTGGAACGGGGCCGGCGGTCGGCAGGTGCAGGGCACGGACTCCCGTCATTTCTGACGGTCTCAACTCCCGCTTCTCCTTCTCCAAAATGCCCTGCATGTTTTTCTGTTCTGGAGTTCCTCTGGAAAATGCTGGTTCTGTTTATGTCCAAGTCTCCTTTTTCCTGGTCACCGGGGTCCCGAGGTTGCGGCGCCTGACGACATGCGTGTTGCAGAAGCTGCTCTGTGGGGACAGTGACCAACGGCGTTGCCACAGTGACCCGGCCATGATGCTTCAGGACAGGACGCACGGGGCAAACGCCTGGGCACCGGGGACGGGGCAGCGCCCTCAGGCAGGGTGTCCACGGGGTGCCCCAGGGCTGCCGGAACAAAGACCCCAGTACTGCGGGGCTTAAAACAACAGAAACGTGTTGTCCTCCATTCTGGAGGCCGGGAGTCTGACTTCAGGGTGTGGGCAGGGCCGCCTTCCCTGCGGTTTCCGGGAGAAGCTCCTTCCTGCCTCCTCTTCCGGCTTCCTGCCTCTTCCGGCTTCCTGCCTCTTCCGGCTTCCCGCCCCGGTGTCCCCAGGTGTCCTCAGCAGCCGCTGCATCGCTCCGGTCTCTGCATCTGTCTGCACAAGGCCATCTTCCCGGGCACCTGTTTCCTTTCTGTGTCCCCTCCGCTTCCTATATGGACACGAGTCATAGGACTGAGGGCCTACCCTGCTCCTGTGTGACCTCATCTAAACTTAATCACTCATATCTGCCAAGAATCTATGTCCAGCTACAGTCACAGTCTGAGGTTCTGGATGAACATTTTGGAAACTATTCAACCCACTGCATTACCCAGCTGTGGCTATATATATATATATACATATACATATTTATTTTTTAGTGACAGGGTCTCGCGGTGTTGCCCAGGCTGGAGGGCAGTGGCTCTTCACAGACACAGTCACCGTGTGCTACAGCTTCCAACTCCTGGGCTCGAACCATCCTCCTTTGTCAGCCCCATGAGTACTGGGGAGCACAGGTGTGGGGCACTGTGTCCGGCTGTGGTGACAGATGGAGCCCCCGACACAGGTTTGTAACTCAAGGCACTGACATCCAACCTGAAGGGCAAGAGCAGGGCAGCGAAAGTGCTGCAGACGGAGGCCGCTTCAAGCCTGGACACCTGCGGGAGAGAAACCCCCAGGAGCCAGGATCACCGAACACCCAAAGACGTCCCGCTCTGAAAAGAGGCTGCCGCCTCAATAAACAGGAGGAGTCACAGCTGAGAAACCAGAGGTAATCAAAGTAGTCAGAACTTCACAGTGAGTCCATTCAAAATTCAATCTTCAGAGAGATGAAGACAGATATCATTCATAAAACAAGAACAGAGTATTAGGAACAAGAACAACTGGCTAGACAAAGAACATAGTAGAAATTGTTTATTATGTATTTATTTTTGAGACAGGGTCTCACTCTGTTGCCCAGGCTGGAATGCAGTGGTGTGACCACGGCTCACTGCAGCCTCCACCTCCTGGAGTTAAGTGATTCTCCTGCCTCAGCTTCCTGAACAGCTGGAACCACAGGTGCATGCCACCACACCTGGTTAGTTTTTTCTTTTCTTTTTTTTTTTTTTGAGATGGAGTTTCACCTTGTTGTTCAGGCTGGAATGCAATGGCACGATCTCGGCTCACCACAACCTCCACATCCCAGGTTCAAGCAATTCTCCTTCTTCAGCCTACTGAGTAGCTGGGACTACAGGCATGCACCACCACGTGCGGCTAATTTTGTATTTTTAGTAGAGACTGGGTTTTCCGTGTTGGTCAGGCTGGTCTCGAACTCCCGACCTCAGGTGATCTGCCTGCCTTGGCCTTCCAAAGTGCTGGGATTACAGGTGTGAGCCACCACACCTGCCCCTTACTTTTTTTTGTACAGATGGGGTCACACTGTGTTGCCCAGGTTGGCCTCAAACTCCTGGGCTCAATGATTCTCCTGCCTCAGCCTCCCAAAGCATTGGGATTACAGGTATGAGTCACTGCGCATGGCCAAAATATTAAAAACAAAACATAATTTAAGTTAGAAGCTCACATGTGGCTAGAGGACCAGTGTCAGTGAAAGAGCATTTGTTCAATGTTGGAAAAATTAATAATGAAAAGACAAATAATTTAGTTGCAGTTCAAGATCCTTTAAGACAGCACTGGGTCTGGTTGCTGACACTTGTTTAGATTTGCACATCTGCTCATGAGGGCTGGCCCCATAGCCACCTTTCCTTTGGTCAGGTTTTGGCACCAAGATTACGCTGGCATCATTGTGCCAGCAGTGTGTGTTGGGCTTATTTCTTTCTTGAATGTTTGAAAAATTTCACCAGGGAACTCACCTGGCCTGGAGACTTTCTGTGAGAAAGTTTTAGGTTGAAGGTTCATTTTCTTTCTTCTTTCTTTCTTTCTCTCTTTCTTTCTTTCTTTCTTTCTTTCTTTCTTTCTTTCTTTCTTTCTTTCTTTCTTTTTTCTTTCTTTCCTTTCTTTCTTTCTTCCTTTCTTCCTTTCTTTCTTCCTTTCCCTTCCTTCCTTCCTTCCTTCCTTCCTTCCTTTCTTCTTTCTCTCTCTCTTTCTTTCCTTCTTTCCTTCTCTCTCTCTCTCTCTCAATGCAGTTTCACTCTTGTCGCCCAGGCTGGAGTGTGCCATGGTCTCGGCTCACTGCAACCACCACCTCCTGGGTTCAAGCGATTCTCCTGCCTCAACCTCCTGAGTAGCTGGGATTAAAAGCACCCGCCACCACGCCAGGCTAATTTTTGTATTTTTAGTAGAGACGGGGTTTCACCATGTTGGCCAGGCTAGTCTTGAACTCCTGACCTCAAGTGACCTGCCTGTCTTGGCCTCCCAAAGTGCTGGGATTACAGGTGTGCTCCACCAAACCTAGCCTGAAGGTTCATTTTCTTTAACAGACAAAAGATCATTGAGATGTTCTGTTTCTCTTGTATCACTTTTGTACATTTTCTCTATATTTGTTTTGCCATCTAAATTTTCAAATTTATTGGTTAATCAGTTAGCTTTTGTTGTGTAACAAACCAGCTGAAAATAAAAACTTAAAAAGGAAAGCAATAAGCACTCACGTAGCTCAGGACTCCGAGGGCCGGCACTTTGGGTGGGTGAGCCAGGCAGCTCTGTGGCCCCCGTGGCAGCGAGGCATCTCTGCTTCTGGGAGTCTCCAGTTAATTTTGGCAGAGCTGGGGGATTGAGCCCTTAGTTCTCCACCCGGGAGTCCAGTTGGGGCTTCTTTGCACAGCGGCCCTGGGGTCCCAGGATGTGCAAGCAGAGGCTCTGGGTCCCCTGGAGTTCAGGCTGGGAGCCCCCCGGGGGCACGTCTGACCTGGTGCCCCAGCAAGTGACCCACCCAGATTCACAGAGAGGAAATAGATAGACTCTGCATCTTGGTGGCAGGTCTCCCTCACATGGCCTCAGGTTGCCCACAAGCCCCGCTTGCTTCCTTTGGGGCCGTTGGCTCTCCTTCCGATGTGGGTACTCAGTGCATTGTCTTCATGTGAGTGGGCGACCATCAGAGGGACTTTAAAAAACTGGACACTTGGCCGGGCGCAGTGTCTCACACCTGTAATTCCAGCACTTTGGGAGGCTGAGGCAGGCAGATCATGAGGTCAAGAGATCGAGACCATCCTGGCCAACACGGTGAAACCCTGTTTCTACTAAAAATACAAAAAAATTGGCCAAGCATGGTGGCACGCACCTGCAATCCCAGCTACTCGGCAGGCTGAGGCAGGAGAATCACTTGAACCTGGGAGGCAGAGGTTGCAGTGAGCCAAGATTGAGCCACTGCACTCCAGCCTGGTGACAGAGTGAGACTGCATCTCAAAAAAAAAAAAAAAGACACTTGAGCATACCTCTGCCACAAAGACTGGGCTCGTTATGACTTTTACAAATTCTGGTAAAAATACATAAAATTTCCCATTCTGACCATGTTTAGGCCTCCATACCGTGAGTTGGCGCCAGGCGCAGGCCCGTCATTGTGTCATCATCACCACCCTCCACGCAAAGAACTTCTCATCGCACAAAAGCGAAATTCTGCCGGGAAGGACCTTGTATGTCACTGCCACGCTTGATGAGAGAGAACTTCTTATTTCTGTTTTAATCCTCGCCTCCTGTTCACACGGCAGCCTGTGCTTTGGAATTGCTCCAACCACAGCGTCTGCATGGCAGCCTCCCTACCTGCTCAGCTGGGAAGTGCAGGCCCCCCAGGGGTCCAGCCCAGGAGGTGGGGGCTGCTGGGCTCCACCCAAGGAGAGGAGCCTGTGCCTGGGCCCATCCCCCAGCCATGCCAGCCACACCCAGCTGGGACCTGCGGGACCCTGGGCACAGGCAGGACTCACCCCTGGAGCTGTGGCACGGGCAGAGGGGCCGGGCAGCAGAGGCCACCTAAGTCCAATTCCCCAGAATAGTCACTGCCACAAAGGGAGGCAGAGGTGGAAATCCCTCCTGGACTTGGGAGCTTTGTGAAATCGACGCTTAGTCAAGGTGATTCTCCCAGGAGCCTGTGTAGCTACCGGCAGATGCCGGGCACTCTCCTGCTGGCTATGCACAGAGCTTTCCCCACTATTTATCCAGTCAGCTTCTTACAGTCGTCACTTTCTCTAAATGTGAAAAACCACATGCGTTTCATATGTCTCTTCCTCAGAAATACCTGACTGCGAAGTGGAGACTCTTTCCCTCTCAGTATGTTCATTCTCTTGACAATGCCTGCTCCTTGCCTTCGTGTTCAAGCCGACAATGTTAAACACACACATTGAACACATTTATTGACATTTCTTCTTCTTTTTTTTTGAAATGGAGTCTCGCTCTGTCGCCCAGGCTGGAGGGCAGTGGCGCGATATCAGCTTACTGCAAGCTCTGCCTCCTGGGTTCACGTCATTCTCCTGCCTCAGCCTCCTGAGTAGCTGGGACTACAGGTGTCCGCCACCGTGCCTGGCTAATTTTTTGTATTTTTAGTAGAGATGGGGTTTCACCGTGTTAGCGAGGATGGTCTCGATCTCCTGACCTTGTGATCTGCCCGCCTCGGCCTCCCAAAGTGCTGGGATTACAGGCATGAGCCACCGCGCCCGGCCCAATATTTATTGACATTTCATAGAAGAGCCCTCAGCCACAACGCTGATTCTGTGGGTTAAATTAGTTCATACCCCTCCAAGTGGCAGTGATGTTCAGATGTGTCGCTCATGTTCCTGTCTCATGAAATGCGGGTAAAAGTGATGCCTGCAGCTGCCGTTTGCATGTGTTTGGAAATTAAGTGTGGGGTTACTGATAGCCCATCGAAGAGAAGGAATTACTTATTCCCTGTAATATTGAGACCTTTCCAGTTTATCCTGTAAGAAGGCTCTGGAGGACGTCACCGTGGAGAGAGCTGAGACTGCTGTTGACCTCATGGGTCTTCATGGGGAGGCGTGTTCAGCAGATCAACTTGTTAAAAGCATGAGGCCCTGGCTTTGAGCAAGTGGAGGATTTAGAGACAGACCAGAGTGGACTCACTGTCTGTTCTCCCCCAGGCAGTTTTGCTGCTTACAAGTATTTGCCTTGAGATGCCTTTAATCAGCTGCTTCCCTGCGGTTCCTGCGGGATCAGCCAGCTGTGAGCATCATCACGTGTGCCAGGCTGGCTGGGTCGTGATGCCATCTTCTCCAGTGGCCCCAGACTCAGACGTGTGGTCCGGAGAAGAGACACCAGGATAGGCAGCGGGGCAGCAATGGCTGTTCTGCTTTTGAGGCCAGGGGATGCAGCTCTGGGGCCCACTGCAGCCACTCGGCTGTGGGGGACAGAAAGGTCTCCCAGGTTCCACACCCTCTGTCCTGTCACCTTGCAGCTTTGCCCCCCAAAAGACATGGAGGCTCTTTCGTCACTCCTCGAATCTGGGCTGGGCCTGAGGCTTACTTTGGCCAATAGACTGTGGGGGAAAGAAGAATGTGCTGTCGTCTGGGGCCTCAAGGGGCCTTGCAAGTCTCTGCTCTCTCAGACCCCTGCTGGACCCGGGGGCTGGCCTGCTGGAGAATGAGAGAGGAGAGGGGAGTGCCCATTTGTTCCAGTCAAGGACATCCTAGGCCAGCTGACACCCAGCCGATTCCCAGACACGGGAGAGAGCCCAGCTAAGTGTGGCAGAACCGCCTTGGGACCCACAATGGACCTCAGACACATGAGTGGACCCAGCTGAGACCACACCTGCCCAGCTGTCCACAAACGTGTGAGCAGTACTACCTGTTTATCACTTCAGGCCACTTACCGTGGGTTGCTTGTTATGCAGCAGTGGCTGACGGATGCAACTGACCACTGTGAGTGGCTGCACAGATAGGAGTCCAGGCCTAGCTCATAGCAAGGTATTTCTGCAGTTTGCCAGGAAGGAGAAAGGAAGAAAAAGGAGAAGAAAGGGAAGTGGAGGGGAGGTGCAGGGCTGGGCTTCTGGTTCAAGCCCACAGGTGCTGTCCTCACGGGTGTTCTGTGGCTCCCGAGAGGGCGCAGTGGCTCTGCTGGGCTAGGAACTGAGCGAGAACTTTCCTGGTGCCTGAATATTAGCAACATTCCTTCCCAGCACTGACTGCAGAGGGTAAGAGCCGGAAACTACAATTTGGAAATTTAATTATATCTCCGGAAGAAATGTATGCTTCTTAGAATGATTTTATTCAAAAAGCCTTCAAAAAATAGAACCTACTTTTTCCCTATATTGTGATTAATTCAAACCAAATAAAAGGAACCGTTGAACTCTTATTGATACCCTACGGAGAGTTTTCATTTGCAATATCTGTAAACCCTGAAATCTCAATTTGTGTCAAATAAGCTCCTACAGGTGTGGTGCCAGGTTCCAGTGATAGCGTGTCACGTTTTGTTCCATTTAAATAAATTACATACTGTATCGCCCGGCATTATTCTGTCTCCTAATCAAATTGCCAATCAGGCGGGTCCCAGGCCTGATGGGGAGGAGACGGTGTGCGTTCCCCGGGGCAGGGCGCACACCACTGGCCGTAAGTTATGCAAATGCGCGGCTCCCAGAATGAAATCAAGATGTAAATAGGACTGTGGATTATGGTGATCAGCCTCGGCCTCCAGGGATGGGCTTGCCAAGCTCCAGGTGACTCGGCTGCTGCTTCTCGTGCGCAGCAGGTTTTCATTAGCACTTCCAAAAGCAGTGACCACGGCTGTGTGGGAGGGCAGACGGGCGGGGTCAGACCCCAGGGCACAGCCAAGTCCCCGGGTCTGCAGGTTGTGTGTGTGTGATGTGGACACGTGTGTGTACGTGTGTCATGCTGTTTGGGTGTGTGTGTAAGTATGCATGTGTGTGTGCATGTACGCACGTGTGTGTATATGATGACCCCTTCACATCTGTGGGCTCTTCGTCTGTGGATTCAACTAACTGAATATCAAAAAAATTAAAAAATAACAAAACAACAATTAAAAATAATAAAAATATATTAGAAAACCTGTGCCGTGTAACAACTGTTTACACAGAATTTACACTGGACTCGGTGTCACGGGGGGCCTGGAGATGATTGACAGCATCCAGGAGGATGTGCCTGGGTTTCAAGCAAATGCTGCACTGTTTTCGACAAAGGACGTGAGCACCTGCGGATGTTAGTGTCTGTGGGGGGTTCTGGAACCCACGGACACGGAGGGATGACTGTATGTCTTGTGTGGTGTGAACACGTATACCGCATGTCCTCGTGGGTGATGTGTGCCTAAGTTGTGTGCATGTGTGCCCTGGCGTGTGTGTGTGTGTAGACGTGTCATATTGCATGCATGCCTGTGTGGTGTGTGTGTGGCATGTGTCATACATGCATGTGCATAAGTGTCTCTGTGTGAAGTGGGTGGATTTAAGTGTGTGTGGCTCCTGCCCACTCTGGCACCTGCCCAGAGCCCTCGTTCCTGTGTCTGGTCTGGTCGCATGCCCGCTCAGGTGGCATCGCTGGCCCTCCCTTCCTGACCCTGGGTCTTCGTGTTCTTCTGTCCTAGGCCCCTGCCATCGTCCTAGATCTGGCCACTTGGGGCTGCTGGGCCCCACCTGCCTGGGCTTCCTCTTCCCTGGGCCGGATGCTCCTCTGAACCTGCCCAGAACAAGGGTTCTGTGCTGGGGCTGGTCTGGCGCTGGGGAGAAAGAGCCGGGGGGCAGGGCTTGGCAATGGGAAGCATCACAAAGCAGCGTGGCCCCACCCCTGGAGCGCTCCCCTCCCCTCTCCTGTCCTGAGATGCTGCTGCAGACTCACGTCTTCCTCCCCAAAGGTCCTGGGAGCCCAGCGAGGGAGCCCAGAGTGTCTACCATTCACAGAGAGCCTTTCCAGAGCAGCAGGTGCGCCGAGGACGGGGACTCAGGCATGCACCAGGTTTGCAGCACCAGCAGCAGCGAGGGAGGAAATCAGAGGCTTCTGGGAGGAGGAAGGTGGGCTGTTCCAGGAGACTCAGTAAAGGAGACGTGAATGTCAATGGATTCAGGCCCATCTCTGTGAGTGCAGAGAGGACCAGGGCCTGACAGAGCCTGATGTATTTCATGCGGACGTTTAACCGGGTCCCAGTGGGATCCAGTCTCTGCTGGGGGCCCTCAGGGCAGATGGTGCGGATGGCATCTGGCAACCTATGTGGTGGTGTCTTTTCCTAAACCACAGGTGCCGCTTCCTTCCCTTTACAGGTCAATTCTCTGATAAAATCAGAAAGCTGATGGCCAGGCATGGTGGTGTGTGACTGTGGTCCCAGCTACTCACAAGGCTGAGATGGGAGGATCGATTAAGCCCAGGAGGTGGAGGCTGCGGGAAGCCATGACTGAGACACTGCACTGCAGCCTGGGCAACAGAGCGAGACCCTGTCTCTAAAAAACAAATAACAAAACCAAAACAAAAGCAAGCAAGCAGAAACTGACGACTACTCAAACACCTGGGAAAATAAAACGTCGGATTCGAAGCGCCTTTCTCCCAAACCGGCTCTGAGATGTGCTGGCCTCTCCTCTCCAAGACTTGGGGATGAGGGCTGCAAGTAGTCTGGGACCACCTTCAGGTGAGGCTGGGCTGTGGGTGCTGGCAGGAGCCTGAGGACCCCAATGACACAGGCCACCCTTCACCGCCAGTGCGGGGGTGCACTGGCCTCCCCTGTGGGGCTGACCCTGCTCATGAAACCACACATTCTGAGCTAGAATCCTGAAAACACAGAACACAGAACAGCCTCTCCTAGGGCTGCAGTGTGACTCACCACCCATGGTGCTTTGGCCACTGTGGGCTCCTTGCGTCAGAATAATGTCAATAGTAAAAGTTACTTTGGACATAGCTAAATCTTTTGACTTGTTTTTTTTTCCATTATAGGCAGAATTCAATAGGTTTTCATGGGTGCTAAAATTTTCGTTTTGTTTTCCAGTGTGAGAAAAAACTAAAATACTTGCTTTGAATCTACAAGGTCACACTCCCCCACATTTTAAAAGAAACGAAAACATTTTCATGGGTCCCCAAAGCATCCTGGACGCTGCTGATGCCCTGTGCCCAGTGGGGAGTCGAGTCTGGCTTTATCGATGTGTAGCCGACATGCAGGAGCTGCTCAGGACTGAGCAGTGCGCACTTTGGTAAGGCTGGACGTGAAACCATGTCCACCATCGGGAGAATGAACAGACCGCCCCCTGAAGATTCTCTGTGCCCCTCTGCAGACTCCCTTCCTAGCCCACCCGCCTCCCCACACCCCTCCCCAGGCAACCACTGCCCTAAGTGCTGGGTGGGGCCTTTTTTTTTTTTTTTTGAGACAGAGTCTTGCACTGTCTCCCAGGCTGGAGTGCAGTGGCGTGATTTCAGCTCACTGCAACTTCCGCCTCCCGGGTTCAAGTGATTCTCCAGCCTCAGCCTCCCAAGTAGCTGGGATCACAGGCGCCCGCCACCACGCCCAGCTAATTTTTTGTATTTTTAGTAGAGATGGGGCTTCAGTATGTTGGCCAGGCTGGTCTCGAACTCCTGACCTTGTGATCCGCCTGCCTCGGCCTCCCAGAATGCTGCGATGACAGGTGTGAGCCACGCGCCCGGCCGTGTAGGGGCTTCTTTAGGGCTTTATGCCAATGGGGTCGTGTGCCTTGCAGGGTTTTAGCTTTTCCGTCCGGCTTCTTTCACTCAGCCTAATCATTTTGAAATTCATCTATGGCATCTTGTGTATCAGTCCTAAGTCTTTTATTTCTATGTCTGAGTACTGTTCCACCGCCTGGCTATAGTAAAACTTGTTTATGATTTTCCCATTGGGAACATTGGGCTGTTTTCAGGTTTTGGCTATTGCAAGGGGAGCCGCTGTGAACATGTGCGTGTTTTCACACAGACACATGGCGTTCACCCCTCTCGGCAGATCGCTGGCCACGGGATGGCTCAGTCCTGTAGGCGCATCCCCCTCACTTCCGCAGAAACCACCAAACTCCTCTCCAAAGTGCTAGAGCGGCAAGCAGGGTATCTGCCTCTCGGTATCCCCGATTCCCACCAGCCTTCAAATGCGGGAGCGGCAAGCAGGGTATCTGCCTCTCGGTGTCCCCGATTCCCACCAGCCCTTGATATGGCCCGTGTCGGAGTTCTGGGCATTCGAAAAGGTGTGGTCTAGAGATACTTCGTAGTTTGTATTTCTCTGATGACTCACAATGTTGAGTATCTTTCCATGTGGTTATTGGCCATTTGTATATCGGCAACATATGAATTCAAATCTTTTGTGCATTTATTTTTTCTTACTATTCTTTTATCAGATTTGTGATTCACAAATATTTTCTTCCGGGCGGTGGATTGTCTTTCCAATGCTTAAAAATGTCTTTAAAATTTTTATGAATTTATTTTTATTTACTTTTTTAAAGACAGGATTTCAGTATGTTGCCTAGGCTGGTCTTGAACTCCTGGGCTCAAGCGATCCTCCCACCTCAGCCTCCCACAGTGTTGGTTATTTGTTTCCTCTCTCTTTTTCTGTTATTAATTGGATAGAGATTTAAAATTTGATCGATCTTCTCTGAGACCTTTGCAAACACACACCCTCTTCTTCCCCTGCAGACTTTCCTCTGTTTGCAAAGTCTGACTCTCAGGATTCCGCCGGCCACGCTCTCCTGCTCCTCTTGCTCCCTGGGGGCTCCGTGACTCCACAGCTCCCTGTGCTTCTTAGTTCATTGCCCCTGGGATTAGGGAGGACGCCCTTCTGGGTAGCTGAGACTATGACCGAAGACCCATGCCTCTGAGCAACAGAGTCTTTCTTTTTGACAATAGAAAACTTTCCAGCAAGGGAGCAGACAGGCCCGGGGGCTTGATCACCCAAGGTGTCTTTGATAACACAGGGCGTCCTGTCCACCATGCCCCGAAAATCTCAGGCTGCCTCTCCATCTTCTCCCATCCAGCAGGAGCTCAGCGATGCCTGCCCGTCTTCTCCCATCCAGCAGGAGCTCAGCGATGCCTGCCCGTCTCCTCCCATCCAGCAGAAGTTCAGCGATTGAAAACTCCGACGGCATCTCTTAGGGAGAGGAGGGGCGGGGGTGGGAGGCTGCTGTCTGAAATGGGATGTCAGGAGGCCTGGGACTCTGCAGGCCCTGATAAGTGGGATTTATCCTCGGGAATGTAATGAGAGCTGACACCTATTTCTGACGCGACTGTATCATAGATTGCCGGGGCAGGATAGCGTCGCATTCCGAGCAGGCAGAGATGTATTTGCTGAAGGTGAAAATGTCATTTAAACTGTTGATACCTTTCAAATTGTCTTGGCAGGATGCCACAAGTAGCCCAGGCCTTTTCCAAATAAATATATACAATCTCCAATTCTGCGCCGAGGACAGGGGTGTGTGATTGTTGTGTTGACTCTGCTGCTCTTCCCAGCAATTCAAGCTCTCTGCGGAGGGAATTTGATTTTGTGTGATAAAGATGCATAATCAATATTGCCTCGAGGTTCCGGCCCTTAACTCAGACATCCTGAGCCTCCTGCTGTAGACTAGACCCAGAGCCCAGCCTGGAGCTGGCAGCTGCCTCAGTCCTGGTTTTGGAAGCCCTGTCTTTGTGTCAGAGGCCTCTGGGAGGAGGAAACTAAAGAGGTGACAGGTGACCCGTGGAGGAAGAGGGGGGCTTTAGTGGAAGCAGCTCTTGGTATCCATGAGGATTAGAAACGAGCTCAGTTAGGAAGTGAGCTTTCTGAATTCCTCCCTCAGGACAGTCGAGGCAAAGCCCTGGCCCCAGCCACAGCTCAGAGCCCACTGGGTCTTGCCACGGTGGCCACCATGTTGCTGTTCTGAGCCGTGCCCCGCCTCAACCGCTCTCTGGGAAAAGCCCTTCTGACCATGTTATTCAAATAGGGGACTGTGTCTCCCCATAAATGCTTTTAGAATCCCGAGCTTGAGAAAACTCTGGTTTGGGAAGGCTGGAGCTGGCCTGGGAGCCGCGGCCTCCACGCGAAAGGGGCTCCTCCTCGCTGCCCGGCCAGAGCTGTCCGTGGTGCTGACTTCAGGCCCAGCCTGGCCCGGCTCTGGGGCCAGCCTGTCTGCGGGCGGGCCGGGCTCACCTGTGTTCTCCCTGGCCACAGAGGGTGGGCCAAGAGGGCCCCGGATCCCAGCTGGGCCGGTTTGAGCCTCTCCCGGGGATTTGTATAAAAAGAGCCTTTTATTATAAAAAACTTCAAACATATTTAGAAAAAGCATTAGACCATCATCCGCTATACCCGTCTCCCTCTGGCAGGGCCTTAGGACGCTCTCATTTCAGAGCTCCTTTTGTTGGAACATCAGGGAAGCACCAAATCTCAGCATTTCATGGATGAGGCATTCCAGTTTGTATCTCCAAAAGACAAAAACTCCTTTTTAAAAGTAACCACAATATCACTCCCACATCTAAAAGTTGCCCACAATTTCTTCATATCAACAAATATCTGGTCAGTGTCCACATTTCCCCAGCCATCTCCCATCTCATGTTCTGCTTTGTTCGGTCAGGGCCCAAACCTGGCCTTGGGCTGCCTTGGCAGGTGGGTCTTGGGTGTGTCTCAGAGTCCTGTGGAAATGGCTCTCTTCCTTCCTTTTTCCCTGGAACATGTTGAAGAGGCCGTGTCGCTGGGCCTGCTGATTTCTCTACATTTAGGATTTTGCTGGTTGTGTTCTGTGATGCTGATTTCAGATGCCTTCTTCTGCCCTGAATTCCCTGTGAGGTTACAGTCAGATCGTGGGCCTGCTGGGCTTTTTTGGTGAGCAGCATGGCCCACGGCAGTCCTGTGCTCTTCATCAGGGTGCACTCAGTGTCCGGCAGGCCCTTGGCCACGTGACCACTGTTGACGGTCAGTGTCCAGACCCACCGTTGCCAGTGGAGTTTGCAAAGGTGTGAGCTTTAATTCCACTGTTCCTTCCCCACGCAGGGCTGGAATTCTTCTCTTAGGAGACACTTTTCCTCCTTGACCACTTGACTACTTCAAGATATCATTTGTGTAGGAAAGTGAGGTTAGGGCTTGATTCTTCCTTTTATTTACTGGTTTTCAAAAAACTAGGAACAGTGGGGTTTCTTTCTTTATTGTTTTGAACTAGCGGATTTTACAGAATTGACTCTTGAATCCTTTTGATGTGACGCAGCTCTGAAGGCTTCTTTTCTCTCTGCTATAACAAGATGTTCAAGGTGCCAGGTCTGTATCCTACCCCAGGCCTGCAATCAACCATTTCTCCAGGGAGCCTCATCCCTTCCACCACAGGAAGACACAGTAAGAAGATGCCATCTATGAGCCAGGAAGTGGGTCCCCACCACACAGAGCCTGCCAGCCTCCAGAGCTGTTCTTGGACTCCCAGCTTCCAGAGCTGTGAGTAGTGAATGCCTGCTGTTTATAAGTTATGGTAGTTCGCTGCCGTGGCCCAAACGGACGAAGCCATCACGTATGTGCCCAGCACTGGGGATGAACAACCGAGGCGTGGTGCCAGGACTGGAGCAAGAGCTGGCCTGGGAACAGGTGCTGGGACACAGCAGGACCCAACATAGGAGGGTGGACATACAGGGGCACCCAGGGAGGGTGGGACTGGTCGTGGCTCAGAAGAGAAATATGTGGGTGTCGGGTGAGGCAGGAGCATGAGAGGTGGGTGTGTGTGATCAAAGTTCCCAAAGACATGAGTGCTCGGGGGTCGAGGGTTCACAGGTAGACACGTGGATAACTCTGGAGGGCAGTGTAGTGCCGTTTTGCCAAGGGTCTTGGATGCCCAGTAGGATTTTGGGTTCATCCTCTGCAATTAAGTTTCACTCAATTGGGAAGTAACCTGATTGCATTTGGGCTTTAAGGGTAATATTGCTGCTGAGGAGATGGGGGGCTTGGGGACCAATGCCTGTGGTGGGAGGTGTGGGTCTTGGGTTCCTGGCTCGGGAAGCATTTGGGAGCTTTCCTGAGATTTAGAGAATGCCTCCTCCTTGTCTCCTTTCTTCTTCCTCTGGTCATTTCTTTTCCCAATCAGCCAAGCCCACCAGTTTCCACCTTGCTTCTCCACAGGTCTTTGGCTGGTTGACTGCCATCAGCATCTGTCAACAGAGTGGGAGGCAAGGAGTGTTTTCATCTGGGAATCTTTTCATGTGGTGAACCCCTCAGCTCAGCATTAATGTGACAGATCCCACGGATTGATTTTTAAATGTTAAATCAACCTTGCATTCCCAGGTGAACACACTTCCAGATGTATTTGTGATACATTCCTTTTTGTCTATGTTAGTAGGTCTGGTTTGCTAATATTTTGCTGTGGAGTTTTCATCCAAGTTCATGAGGAAGATTGGCCTTTATTTCAATTTTCTTGTAATTTCTTAGTCTTACTTAAGTATCAGTGACATGCTGGGTTCAAAAATGAGTTGGGGCATTTTCATGCTTCTACAATTCTCTGTAAGAGTTTGGATATAATCAGCATTTTCTTCCTTAAATATTTGGCAGAATTCAGTGGTGAAATCCCTTGGGGCTACAGTTTTCTTTGCGGAAAGGTTTTAAATGTGATACAATGTATTTAATAGATAGATATAGGGCTGCTTACATTTTCTTTTTCTTCTTATGTCAGTTTTGGTGAGTTATCTAGGACATTTTCCATTGCATGTAAATTTTCGAATTCATTGGCATGACATTTTAAATAATAGGTTTGTAACCAGAGAAATGACCCCGCTTAGTCCAAAGTGTGCTGTTGGGGATACGTCATCACTCCCAGGCTCTTCTATTCCTTCCTAAGGATCTATGACCTTAGTTCTTTACCTGGTTATTCTTAATGGCAGCTTACTGAGGTCCAGTCGATGCCTGATTTCAGGCCTCTGCCTAATTTCCCTGTGAGTGAAAGAATAATTGTACCATATGATTGGGAAACTGTGCAAATGTGGGGTCAGCCCAGCCCCTTCCTGGCTTCCCTTGGAAGGAGGTAGCAGCAAGGACAGCTCCAGGGCAAGGACTGGCCAACCCAATGCCTACTGAGATGGCCATTCTTACTGGGCACTTGGGCTCTTCTGGGGACAGGTATCCCTCCTCCCACTAGGGACAACCGGACACCTCTTATTCCAGTAGCAGCTGGTGAGGGTAAGCCCTTCTTTTCTTTGCAAATCCTGGAAAAGAAAAGGGAGCACTGCAGTTTGGACTCGGGTCTGAGTCCTAGGGGAACACCTTTATTCCCCTGGGAAAGCATGGGCTCAGGGCCTGGGCAGGACAGTGGGGTGTGGGTGGTGGTGCTGACCCTGCTGAAGGCTGCATGGGCAGCTCCCAGGGGTATTTTTGCCTCATGGTACCTCCAAGTTCAAATTGTCTGATTCTTCCTCCAGGAAATCATTCCCTTATTTCCAGGCTGTGATACCATGAAATATGTATTTGATCTTCACCTAGTTTCCTGCCTATAAGTCCTAAAATCCTTGGACTCTCGAAAGCGATGAGTGTGTTTTTGTATGTTAATGAGTTGACAGATGGCTGGCATCCCCTAGGTGGCTTCAGGATGGGGGCTGGTGACTGGAGAGACCAAGGCAGGATGAGAGGTTGGGACTATCAGCAAACCTCCAATCTGTGGGAAGGGGAGGGGCTGAAGTTGAGCTAATCACCAATGGCCAGTGATTTAACCAATCATGCCTACATAATGAAGCCTTCATAAAAACCCAAAAGGACAGGTTCTGGGAGTTTCTGGACAGCTGAACACATGAAGGTTCCTGGAAGGTGATGTGGCCAGGGAGGATATGGAAGCTCCACACCCCTTCCTCCATAACTCACCCTATGCATTTCTTCATCTGTGTCCTTTGTAATATCCTTTATAATAAACCAGGAAATGTAACTAACTGTTTCCCTGAGTTCTGTGAGCCCCTCTAGAAAATTTTATTAATTTTATTAACCCAAGGAGGGGATTTGGGAACCTTGATTTACAGCCTTTTAGTCAGAAGCACAAGCAAAACAACCCAGGGCTTGTAACTGGCATTGAAATTAGGGAGATTCTTGTGGGACTGAGCCCTCAAGCTGTGGGCTCTGATGCTATCTCCAGGTAGACAGTATCAGAGCTGAATTGAATTAGGGGACACTCAGCTACCGTCCACTACAGAGGCAATTGATTGGTTGTTGGTGGGGACAACCCACCCCTGACCTCTGTGACTCCAGAGGTCACAGAATTCTTCTGTATTGATGGATGTGGGATGACAGCAGAGGAAAAACAGTTTTGTTTTTTTCTACGGAATTGGTATCAGAAGTGGGATTTGCTAGAAGGGCCTGGCTCATAGAAACATGGGTTTGGGAAGAGAAAGGATAAAAGGGTGGGGGTTGAGGAACTTTGATTCCTAGGTGGCCACATGGTCACCCCTGGTATGGAGCTGCAGGTGGTCTGGGCTCAGCTACCAAAGGTGAAAGTTACCAGTGGAATTTAAAGATGGATCCAACTCCTGGGGAGCTGGTTTGCTGGATACATAAGGAAATGCAAAGTAATAAAAAAAGCAAAACAGTCAGTCCCTTGGTTATGTTATCTGTACTAGCTAAAATAAAATTAAGAGTGTGTTGGCTGCGCATGGTGGCTCACGCCTGTAATCCCAGCACTTTGGGAGGCTGAGGTGGGCAGATCGCCTGAGGTCAGCCTGACCATCATGGAGAAACCTTGTCTCTACTAAAAATTCAAAAATTAGCTGGGACAGGGTGTGAGTGTCTCATGGAGAAGGACATTCTGACTCTGAGACGCAAACAGGACCTGCTTCCTCTGCCAGGCTCGGGCCCTGGCTTGGTCCA
Organism: Homo sapiens; assembly: GCF_000001405.40. Classification (NCBI taxonomy): domain Eukaryota; kingdom Metazoa; phylum Chordata; class Mammalia; order Primates; family Hominidae; genus Homo; species Homo sapiens. The sequence continues at coordinate 49,707,638 of NC_000022.11, read as the reverse complement.
GGTGCCACCAGATGGTTGAGGCAATGTGGACTTGGGTGGCCCCAGAATCACCAGAGGCCTGGAGAAGCTGGCCCAGCAGGGCCATCTAAGAACTTTTTAAGCTGCTTTTGTAGAGTACTTCTGACTTATTTTGGTAGTTCAAATGATTTGTCTTGCACATACAATATTTCACACGTGATCCATCGGATTTATTCTTTTGGTGTCATCTATCCTAGCGGGGCTTGCACCTGCAGACTTAGCTGATAGATTTGTTAAGCCAGATTGCAGATATCCAGGGGCTGCTCCAGTGTGGGGCTCTGCTTTCTTAACAGTATTTCTTTTTTTTTGAGATGGAGTCTCGCTCTGTTGCCCAGGCTGGAGTGCAATGGCTCAATATCGGCTCACTGCAACCTCTGCCTCCCAGGTTCAAGTGATTCTCCTCCCTCAGCCTCCCGAGTAGCTGGGATTACAGGCATGTGCTACCACGCCCAGCAAATTTTGTATTTTTATTAGAGATAGAGATGGGGTTTCACCATGTTGGTCAGGCTGGTCTCAAAGTCCTGACCTCAAGTGATCCACCCACTTAGTTAATAGTATATCTCAATCTAACAAGGCCTGGCTCCAGCAGGCACTCAATAAAACATTCGTTCATTCAGCTCCTATTTCCTGGAGCCACCAAATTCCAGGGGCCACATCCGGGACAGACGGGGGCAGGGCTCCCCTTCCGCAGAGCCTTGCACGGCCCAGGGAGCCTCGGCCCAAAGAGGAAGGGAAACAGGTTTCTCCCTTGTGCTCTTCAAACACATCGGAAGAATAAATATCCTGGATCTTAGAATACTTATCATTATACTTATCAATACGTACATTACCATATTATAAAGGTAATGTGTGCTTATTTAAAATAATTTGTGAAACACTTGAACTTAGAAAAAATTAAAAAATCATCTTTAGATCCATTGACCAAAGATGACTTCTGTTATAGTTTGGTCTATTTCAATCGAATGGGTTTTTTTCCTCTATGGGCTTTCACACACACACACACACACACACACACACACACACACACACACACACAGACATAATCATGTTTTAAAGACATTGTAATTTTAAATGTACACTTTATTGTAAATAAAGTGTATTTACATATACACTATGTAAATAGTGATAACATAGCATAGTGTCTATGCTATTTTATCCACTCTAGGATCCCATCTGTGCCTATTTCATTGGGCAGATGGATATATAGTAATTTTCCTATTTCCTTATTGATGGACACTGAAGCTGTTTGTGAATTTTTATCTCATGAATGAGACTGCAACAAATATCTTTGAGCATAAGGATTCTTATCTTATGCTTTGGATTAGTTATTTTGAAAGGTGGGTTAATGGGCACATACACACATGTGATTTAGAGTCTCCAGTGTTTCCAGGAATGGTACCGAATGCTCCCCACCTGATCTTCTGGGACAGCCCCGGAGCTGCGCACCTGGAGGCGACATGCGTCACCTGCGCCTGGTCCACGTGTGCGGCTCTCGCCTCATGCTGGCGTGATGGTTTCCCCTTTCTCCGTCTCAGCTTCGGCAATTTTGTTGCTGTTTCTCAGCTGAGCAAAATCTTTCCCCTGCGAGGTTCCATGCTTGTCTGTCTTCTGTTTCCCCCATTTTCTCCCTGAGTTTTTAGATCTCCTGGGCTGTGAGCCAGCGAGTGCTCTGAGTGGAGGCTGTGGGGAGCTTGAGGCCGAGCTGCCATGCCCGCGCCAGTGCCTGCGCCCAGCTCTGAGGGGGCCCCTCCCATGCAGGTGCAGGAAGAGACACGAGGGGTGCTGGCCCCTCCCCTCGGGCAGAGCGGCCCCTCCCATGCAGGTGCAGGAAGAGACATGAGGGGTGCTGGCGGCTCCCCTTGGGCAGAGCCGCCCCTGTGTCCTGCACATCCAGGGCTGGTTCCCTGTGTGGCCTCCTTATCAGTTAGCAGGTTGGATTCTGCTTGTTGCTTGAAATTAAGGCAGTGGTGTTCATCAGCAAACTACTTAAACAATTCAGAAAATACACCCAAGTAGGCAAAAGAGAAAAAAGAAATCTAAAGGGATGCAAAATCTCAAAAGGGAAAAGAAACCACCTTAATCCAGATAAGCCTTCGGTGAGTGAGTATTGATTGCCAATCGCTTTCAGGTGCCTGCGCTGAGCCAGGTTTGTCATTAGGAGAACGAAGCGGCCCCTCCTCACTCCCCTCCGCCTTCTTGGCCTCTCTCCACTGCCTGGGCTAGGGGGCCCCTTGCCCCACACACTCCCGTCCTCCTCGTGGTTCTCCTGGGGGCTCTGGGCAGAAAACCCCCCTCCCTGGGGGGCCGCCACAGCTGGAGCTGGGGCCTGCCCCGCACCCCAAAAGGAAGGTGACGAATGCCTCCTCCATCCCCCTTAGCGACCCCAGCACCTGGCTGGTGCCTGAGCTGGAAGGGGAGTCCGCAGAACAAGGAGCCCCTTGGCCACCTGTGCAGCATGGGTGGAGCATGCAACGGCGCCCGCGCTGGAAGGGCTGTAAGGCGATGGGGCAAGGGTGTCTCAGGCCTGGAGCTGTATTGAGGACGCACTCATGGAACTTTCGTCTTCACAGGAGTCTACGTGGGCCCCGCAGGTAGGAGCTCTGCCCAGATCCACCCTAGACCAGCCCCGCCAGACCCACGCTGCCTGTTGCCCCCGTGTCTGCGCCGCTTCCTGCTATGGGCATCTCAGGGGCCTGGGTCCCTTGGCATGCTGTCTCCCAGCAGGCACCTCCCTCTCCCAGGACCGGGAGTGGCCCCAAAGCAGGCCCCTGGGGCTGGGGTGGGGAGCCCTGAGTGGGGCTGAGGTGCTGAGGCCCGGCTGGGCTGGGGGAAGCTGTTCTTGCTGATTATTTTCCCGCAAACCCTTATCTGGCCTCCAGTACCTACCGGAAATGAGGCTGGGCTGGGGGCAGCAGCAGAGATAATCAAGACAAATGAGCTGTCTGGAAGCCGGGGGCTGCGGGCTGCTTGGGCCTGGAGCTGCGTCTTTCTCTATGTGAACCCCGGTCTGGCGGGAGGAGGCGGGCACGGCTGTCGGGAGGTGTCCTGGCTGCCCAGAGGCCACAGGGGAAGCCGTCTCAGCCCTCACCCCACATGCCGGACCCTCACAGCTCGGCCCGCCGGGCAGTCTGCACCATTCCCTGCCTTGCACCCGGGTACTGCGGCCACTTTCTCACCCAGCGACTGTGATTCCCGGGACGCCCTGTGGTCATTCAGACCCTGCACAGCTCACGGCCCTATCCGTAGGGTGTGTATAGAAGTTAGGGGCCAGCAGGGCCCTTTTGAGAAGGAAAGCAGGCCCCGCTGGCCACACGGGGCACGTGGGTACAAACCTGGATGGAGTTGCGCCGTTTATTCACCTGTTCAGGACCCAGCCCCGTAGCAGGCCAGGCACTGGGAAAAATCTGGCCTCACTCAGACCAGGCGACCCCTTCCCTCGGCTCGGTGACCTGGAGGCCACTCTGCCTGCCCCTTTTCAGGACTTCACTGCTTGCTAAGGATAAGAACAAGGATAATGATAAATAACACTAATAACGCAGGCTGTCCTTGAGCTTCCCCCTGGGCTGCACCCCTTCTTCTCTCCTGGGGAGTCTTTTGAAAAATTCAGTATTTTATATAAGTAATTGATATGTGTGTTTAAAATGGTGTGTAGTTATACTCAAAACAGAAGTCGCAATTCTCCACAGAAATACGTTTTTGTGCATAAACAAAATAAATCACAGGCTGTAACGAGCGTGGCTGGAACGGGGGGATCGTAACGATGCGACGAGCGTGCGGTGACCCTAATTATCGTGCCTGCCGTTATTTCAGTGAGAAGCAGGGTCGGATTATTTGTGAATGCTGACACAATGACTCATAAAAGGGGCTGCGTTTCTTGAGTTATTGGCGGCACTGATGTGTCTGATGATAATTCACATATGAGGTGAATGAGCTTCAGGGAAGGGGCTAATGCCAGGACCATCCAGGCCTGTGGCCCCTCCCTGCCCCATGGGAGGCCAAAGGGGCTGCTCCTGCCGGTGGGGTGGGACCCCAGGGTCTGGAGGAGGCATGGGCTGGGGAGGGTCTTGTAGAGGGGAGGAAGGGCATGGAGTCCCCTGGAGCTGGCTGCTGCCCACCCAGCCGTGGACGGTGGTGGGGAGATCAGAGACAGGCGGGTCGAACCCAGGGGACTTTTAATATCTTTTAAACTCTTATGTAAATCTATAATTGTTTCAAAATGAAATGTTAAATAGGGAGGATACTTAGTGAGTGAAATGACTTACTGATTTTTAAAAAGAACAAACTTCACTTACCTAAGAAGCTTCTAAGCAGATATTGGAGTCTTTGAAGATTCCAACTGGATTCTCTGAAAATGTGAGTAAAGTTTATTTCTCTATAGAAATCAAAGGCCAGGTGCAATGGCTCATGTCTATAATCTCAGCACTTTGGGAGGCTGAGGTAGGCAGATCACCTGAGGTCGGCAGTTGGAGACCAGCCTGGCCAACATGGTGAAACCCCATCTCTACTAAAAATACAAAAATTAGCCGGGTGTGGTGGTGGGCACCTGTAATCCCAGCCACTTGGGAGGCTGAGGCAGGAGAATCACTTTAACCTGGGAGGTGAAGGTTGCAGTGAGCCGAGATTGCGCCATTGCACTCCAGCCTGGGCGACAGAGCAAGACTCTGTCCCCCACCCCCCAAAAAATCAAAAAAGCATGTGAAACTGTAAAAATATAATGAGCAAAAATATTTAGGAAATAATATAAAAGACATAAGAGACTGCAACTTATTTATCAGATTCTGCATCTAGGGAAACTGTTTTCCAAAGAGAAGAGATGTCAAACACAAGTCATTTAAAAAAATCTAGGGGAGAGTGACTGATTTCTTAAGTAAACTGGGATGTGAAGTCAACACTCTAGAAGTTGTTCTGTGCCAGGACTCAGGGGCTGATGAGACTGAAGCCCAGTGCCAAAACCTGCCCCACTTTGCAGGGAGATCAGGAAAGACAGGTCATTTTGTTTTAAACCCAGGGCTTAAGGTAGATTCCCTGCTTGTAATGAGATCAGAACATTTCACAAAAGCAAGAGTTTCAGCCATTCTCAGAGAACTCACAGAAGTTCATCTTTAACCTCTGCTTGTCTTGAAAGATGGGAGGGAAACTTAAGATGGGAAAAAAGGTTCTAATTTCTCCAAATTTCTTCATCTTAGAAATGCAGCAAATCTTTCCTGATTCTACTCCAGCATGTTGGGGTTTGGGGAGATTCATCCTGGAGGAACCCAAATTCCCAAAGCACCTAAAACTGTTGGTTGAACCAATGTCACATGTAGCAAGGGGATTGCCTGCACTGCAGGAGGGCCATCACACCCATTCTGGGGACTCCCTTCTCAGCAGTCTCTGGATCCAGGGCTTCTCACGCTTCAGTGATAAAGCACTGCAGTGTCTTGTTGAGCCTCAAGGGACAGGCACACACTTCACCTAGGTCTACTGTTGGGTGTCCAACAGCCAAAGGCCCCTCCTCTGGTTCTCATTACAACGGCACCATCAGTTAGTGCTGTTCAGATGAAGCAAATGAAAAAGACAGAGGGGCAAAGGAACATTAATTCCCTACATTGTTATATATTGAGATTTGCCATTCAGTACTAACAAAACGAAACAAAACAACTCCGCAGCTATTTTCCGTCTTTTCCTGCATTTTGAATCTCTTGCCACCAGGGGGCAGTGTTGAAGTCTGAACACCAACATCTGAGCAGTGAATTTTAACCCCACATGTAAGCTTGTAGTCTGTTATTGATGGGGTTAACACAAGCACTATTACCTGCAGTAGTGGCTACAGGGGGCCAGGGCTAGCCTTGAGTTAGCATGTACCCAAACACCTTTCTCCTCAGCTTCCTGTGGCTTTGAGCTCCAGATTTCCCATGATTCAAATACAGTTTTTCTCCTAGCTCCGCCTCCTCATCCCATGGCTCTCAGCAGCTTCAAATTGCGCAGACAGCTTCAGACTTTAAAAAACGATAAACTTCCCTTAAGTTGTTTTCTTAAAGGGCCAATTTCCCTTACACAGCACATTGTGAGAAACATGTAAATGAAGTTTTTGAGTATAGATTCAAATTGGTTACAAGATAATTGCTAACAACAAAAATGTACAGCATTGCAGTTGAGTCCTCAAATTCTAATTTTATGCAAGAATTAATTCACAAATATATAATTCCAGCTAGCATATGTTGTCATTTTTATGTCTGTGCAACTTAGACTTTTACCTCCAAAGTTATTTTAAATCTGTCTTGGAGGATGTTTAATATGAGTTCGGCAAATGACATTTCTGTGGACGCCTCTGGGGATGACACTTGTCAGGAGGCCGTCTGAGGTAATTTGTGTAATTTGCTGGGGTTCATTATTGCAGATATCAGCAATCAATATTTTTTTCCCTCAAAAAAGGACATCAGTTGGTTCTTAAAAGCACATGGGAGTCTTCTCCTCCTCTATAACCCATCCTGGAGCGTCCACAGCAAGGACACTGGTCACCCCTCTGGGGGGCAAAGGACAGTCAGGGCTGTCAGACCGTAGGGGCTGAGGGTGAGAGGGGGCCTGAGAGGAAGAGAGAGACAGAGACAGAGACAGCAGCAGAGACAGAGAGAGACAGCAGCAGAGACAGAGATAACAGCAGAGAGAGAGAGACAGCAGAAAGAGGCAGAGACAGGCAGAGAGACAGTAGCAGAGACAAAGAAAGAGATAGAGACAGAGAGAGCAGCAGAGAGAGTCAGAGAGACAAAAAGAGAGACACAGCAGAGAGACAGACACAAAGATAGCCCAGTTTCCCACTGCTATAAAGAAATACCCGAGACTGGGTATAAGGGAAAGAGGTTTAATTGACTGACAGTTCAGCATGGCTGGGGAGCCCTCGGGAAATTTACAGTCATGGAGAAAGGCAAAGGAGAAGCAAGGACCTTCTTCACAAGATGGCAGGAGAGAGAAGTTCAAGCAGGGGAAATGCCAGATGCGTATAAAACCATCAGGTCTTGTGAGAACTCACTCATTATCACGAGAACGGCATGGGGAAACCACCCGCATGATCCAATCACTTCCACCTGATCCCTCCCTTGACACAGGAGGATTATGGGGATTACAATTTGAGATGAGGTTTGGGTGGGGACACAGCCAAACCATATCAAAGAGAGACAGAGAGAGGGTGAGAATGAGAGTGAGCACTGTGGTGCGAGAAGGCAGGCAGGACAGCCCACGGAAGTCCACGGTCCTCCCTGATGCGGCCACTTGGCTGGGCTGAGGACACACTGAGGAGGGACAGGGTTTCCTCTGAAGGCTCCATGACTTCAGAGCAGGCCCGAGTGGAGGGCTGGATCCTGCAGGCTGCCAAGGCCTGGAGCTAAGTGTGGGCCGATGTGGGCAGCAGCTTCCTCCAGCCCATGGGGCTCAGGAGAGACTGCAGGAACTGGGGCCAGACCGAGGCCAGTTCCGCCCTGTCCACAGCTGCCTGGGGTTCCTCCCTGTCCACAGCTGCCTAGGGTTCCTCCCTGTCCCCTGAGGCCTTGAGGGGGGACCTGACCTCCAGGGTCTCCCTGGGGCCTGGCGGCACACGTGGATCCAGCGGTGGGCAGGAGAGGGGGAGCTTCTCTGCCCAGGGACCACACATCAGAAACGTGGGGAGACCCAGATGCCCCTGAGTCTGTCCCCCTGGCTCCAGGCTTTCACAGGGGTGCAAAGCCACCTTGATTCTTTGCAACCCTTCCCATAAAAGGGTGGACTCTGCCTCTTGTCTACTCCCTCAGCCAGGGCCAGCCTGTGGCCGCTTGGCCAACAGAATGTGGTGGAAGCATCACTGTGAGGCCCAGCCGGGGCTTGAGAGCCTCCTGTTTACTGTGGGATCCCTGCCGAGCTGCTTGGCAAAGGAGCCCGGGCCTGTGGAGCAGCAAGGACCCCAGCTGGGGTCTTCACACCAGGCCTCCACCAGCCCAGCCCCAGTCATGCCGGCCACTGACCAGCAACATGTGAGGGTCAAGTTGAGATCAGAAGCCACCCCGCTGAGCCTGGCCTGGGCTGCTGGCATGTGAGTGGGTGCAGGTGCACAGCTTCGAGAGCCCTGATGGCTGCTGTGAGAAGCCACTGTCTTGGGGGTGGCTTGCCGTGCAGCCGAGGGAGACCGACTGGTGCAGGCATGTGGCGTGTGGATTCACACTCTTTCTTCTTCAATAGATGGAAGGCTGTTTAGATTAAGTGCATGGTACCCATAAGAAATGCAAACCAACCTGGGTATCTGCCACTCAGCCTCAAATAAACAGACAGAAAAACCCAAGAATTCCTGAAGAGCCCTGTGGGGCCCTGCTCAGCTCCATCCGTCTGCCACCCCCACGGGGGAAATGCCACCATGAATTTTGTTTCCCGTTACCTGGCTTTTAAAATAATGTTTCCACATTGGCAAGGACCCCTAAGCAATGTCTTGCCGGATCGCCTCGTCCTAGATGGATCACCAGCTGGGACTCCTGCCCCCACATCCTGCTGATGCTGTCTCTCCTGGTGGGATGTCCCTGAGAGCCCCTCACGCTGAGCACCTGCCTGGGGTTCCACCCTCTCCACAGCTGCCTGGGGTTCCGCCCTGTCCACAGCTGCCTGGGGTTCCTCCCTGTCCACAGCTGCCTGGGGTTCCTCCCTGTCCACAGCTGCCTGGGGTTCCGCCCTGTCCACAGCTGCCTGGGGTTCCTCCCTGTCCACAGCTGCCTGGGGTTCCTCCCTGTCCACAGCTGCCTGGGGTTCCTCCCTGTCCACGGCCGCATGGGGTTCTGCCGTCTCGATGAACCACAGCTGGTGTATCCAACCTACCACCGCCAGCAGCTTGGGCTGCTCTCATTTTTCACAACATTATAGAAATGGCCACATTGAGCATTCTTGCACAGACCCACATGCCCAGGGTGGGAGTTTCTCTAGTGCTTCCCACAGGTGGGCAGGGAGATCGTGATGCCCCCCATTTGACCTGCAGGGTGACTTGGCCAGGCCTGGTGCCCCTCAGCACTCCCCTCACTCTGCCCTTTTCCACCTGTGCTATGGTGAGAAATGCTGGAAATTGCTCATGGGGCCACACGCGCCCAACATTCCAGCCGCTCAGAGGAACGCACGTGCAATTGTGCAACCGCAACATCTCTCAGTTTCACTTAGTTTCTTTAAAATGATCCAAACTGATGTTCACTGCGCCAGGGCACCTTCCTCATAGTCTCACCAACGCTTGATGTTTCCAGACTGTGGACAGTTCTGTAACACGTTTTCAAATGATGGTTTTAATTTGCATTCACCTGAATACCGAGTGCTTCTTAACTGGCCACTTATATTCCTCTTTCACATTCAATCTTGATTGTTTCTCATTCATTTGGTAGAGTTAGTTATGCATTCTGGGCACTAATTCATGCCAGCTGAATGCATTGCAAGTATCTTTTCCCAGTTGGTGGGTCTACATCCCATCTATTTATGCTGCCCCTGACGAATTTTAATGTCACAGACTTTGTCAATCTTTTCCCTTAGTATTTGCACTGTTGGGGTTTTGTTGAAGAAAGTATTCCTTAGGCCATGGTCATAAGTATGTTCTCCTATGTTGACCTTCGAAGTTTTGTAAACATTTATATTTCCAGTAAGTCTTTGATTCATTTGGAACTGATGTTTATGTATGAAGGAAGTAGAAATCAATTTTCCTTATTTTTTTAAGATATTAACCAGTTTTCCCAGCACCAATTATTGAATAAGCTTTCCTTTCCCCTTTAATCTGCAATTCCAAACTCTATTAAAATACTGTTGATTGGTATATATACATGTATTATACCTATTACACACATATAAATATGCGTGTGTGTGTGCGTGCATGTATGTGTGTATACGCATTTTCATGAATACACTTACATTGTGGATTTCCTCCTAGACCCTCTCCACATCGTCAGAACCTGAAGTCTGGTCACCAGAGCTCCACCCCTTCTTTGGGAGGGAGCCTGTGTTCAATGTGAATTCACCTCACAGGATGTCCACTTTCACTGTGGTTCTGGACTCTGAGGATGTCTTACTTTCCAGATAGTTTTGTGATTTACTGAGAAAGATCTTTAAAGCGTATTGTATCTAGCATTTATAGGCCTTTTCAATTGGTTCATATTATGCACTTCATCTGCCATACTGCTGGATATAGAAGTCCTTCACTTCTATATTATGCACTTCGTTTACACTCAATACTTAGACTTGCTATCAAGTTGACCAATTTATCTGATCATGATCATTTCTTGAATCCTATTGCTTCATTTTAAAATACATTCTATCAAGTTCTTTCACTGATAGTAAACTTTTGATCTTGGTCTAAAACTGCCTTTACCTTCACTCTAGAGTAATTTAGCTGGGTATAGAATTTTTGATTGACAGTTGCTTTCTGTCAGCACATTGAAGATTTGAAGATATTATCCCACTGACCTCGGCAATCACTGTGGTTGATGAGAAGTCTTTCATTTCAATACGATCAAGGCATGTATTTGCTTTTATTTATTCTCTAGTAGAAAATGTTTTCTTCAGTTGGAAGTGGTGGCTCATGCCTGTAATCTCAGCACTTTGGGAGGCTGAGATGGGTGGATCACTTGAGATCAGGAGTTAGAGACCAGCCTACCCAACATGGTGAAACCCAATCTCTACCAAAAAATACAAAAATTAGCCAGGCGTGGTGTTGCATGCCTGTAGTCCCAGCTACTCTAGAGGCTGAGGCACGAGAATCACTGGAACCCAAGAGGCAGAGGTTGCAGTGAGCTGAGATTGTGCCATTGTACTCCATCCTGGGCAGCAGAGTGACACTCTGTCTCAAAAAAAAAAAAAAAAGAAAAAAAGAAAATGTTTTCTTTAATCTTAGAAAACTTTCATTGATTATCTTTCAAAACATTGCCTGTGCACTCTTTTCTTTCTTTTCCCTTTTTTGGAACTCTTAGAAAATGTGTGTTGAATTTTGCATTCAATTTCCTTTTCTTATTTTCCTTTTCCTTGTGAGAAAGTGACTTCCTCAGATCCACCTTTAAATCCACATTTTTTCTCTTCAGCTGTGTCTAATTGACTATTTAGCCTGTCTATTTAGTTCTTACACTCAATGTTTTTATGTCTGCAAATTCTTTCTGCTTCTTTTTCATTTGTTTACAATCTATCTCCTTTATTTTTATTTATTTATTTATTTATTTTTGAGATGGAGTCTCACTCTGTCACCCAGGCTGGAGTGCAGTGGCACAATCTCAGCTCACTGCAAGCTCTGCCTCCCGGGTTCATGCCATTCTCCTGCCTCAGCCTCCTGAGTAGCTGGGACTACAGGCACCCACCACCACACCTGGCTAATTTTTTTGTATTTTTATTAGAGATGGGGTTTCACTGTGTTAGCCAGGATAGTCTCGATCTCCTGACCTTGTGATCTGCCTGCCTTGGCCTCCCAAAGTGCTAGGATTACAGGTGTGAGCCACCACGCCCGGGCTACCTCCTTTATTTTTAGTGTCCTTTTTTTTTCTTTTTCTTTTCTTTTGTTTTTTTTTTTTCTGAAGCAGGATCTTATTCTATCATTGAGGCTGGAGTGCAGTGGCACAGTCATAGCTCACTGCAGACTTGACCTCCTTGGCTCAAGCAATACTCCTGCCTCAGCCTCCTGAGTAGTTAGGACAACAGTACATCTACCGTGCCTGGCTAATTTTTTAACACTATTTTTTTTTTTTTTTTTTTGTAGAGATGAGGTCTTGCTTTGTTGCTCAGGCTGGTCTCAAACTCATGGCTTCAAGCAATCCTTCTGCCGTAGCCTTCCAAAGCACTGGGATTACAAGCATAGTGTCCTATTCTTGTCTTACTGTTTCTGTATTTTTTTTCTTTAAACATTTTGAACATATTATTTTAAAGTATCTCTTAGCAGTTCTGTTTTTCCCTTGCTTTTGGGGTGCACATTCTCCAGTTCTTTGGCCAGCCCCTAGGGCTGCCTCGAGTAGTCACTGCCTAACCTGGTTTTCATCTTCACTGTGAGAACATCCCGTGGGTTCTCTTCATAGCAGCCTCTTGTGCCCTGATTTGTGGAACTCTCTTCTTGCATGATTTCCACTTCTTGCAGGGGTTTCCACTAAATCTAGGAGTGTTTGCATTTTAACTTAAGGAGTTCTTCCCATGGAACAAGGAATGTAAACCCCACCTTTACACACATCCATGGTTTAGGCCAAGGCCTAACCATTCCATTGATAAATATTAATTTTCATTCCATTGATAAATATTAATCCTTGTTGAGTACCTGTCTGTGCCCAGCAAAGCTCTCAGCTGGCTTCTATTTCCTTCCCAAGCCCTGGCAGTTGACTGGCTGCCTTGCCATTTCCTCAGACTGGCTGTGAAGTTTTTAGTCTTTTTCATAAGGAGGGAATTCTCTGGGACTCCCAACCTTATGCAAGGAGTGCATTCAGCCCAGCTCCCCTCCACGCCCGGTTCTGTGGCCCCAGCTCCCATCCAAGCCCGGTTCTGTGGCTTGGCTGTGATGCCAGTGTGGGCCTCAAGCCCAGCCCCTGAGGCCCACATCAGAGTCTTTGCTGCTTCTCATCCCTCCCCAACCCCCAGGCCGGCTTTGAGCTCTGGATCCTGGCAGCTCCGTCCTTCCAGTCTCCTACATGTGTCCCTGCAATTGTCATGCCATGGTCAGCATTTCTATGTGTCTGGACCAGGGAGGGGCTGGAGGGAGCTGGCAGCTGGAAGGGACGTGGACCCAGCCCTGGCCACCCCTGCTGACCATCGCCCTCCCCTTCCTGTCCCATAGCTGCCAGGAAGGACCCCTCTGCCCTGCACCCCTCCTTCCACCCCACTTGCCTGGAACAGCTAACTTGGATCTGCCACAGGCACCCCCTGGAGCTCCCTGAGCACCCCTGTCCTCTGCATTTGGGCTGAAATGTCCTCTGTGCTCCAGTGGCTCTGGGCCTGCCCACAGCTGCCTAGATGCTGGCACCCCAGATACCCCAGGCACCCCAGACACGACAGACACAAAAGGCACCCCAGATATGCCAGGCACTCCAGGCACCCCAGCCACCCCAGACACTCCAGGTACCCCAGTCAATGCCAGGAACCCCAGACACCCCAGAAACCCCAGATAACTCAGGCACCTGAGACACATGAGGTGCCCCAGACACACTGTGTGCCTCCCTCCGGCTGGACACAGCCCCATTGCTTTTCTGCAATATCTGATTAACTCAAGCATTCAGCTCTCTTCCCACCAAAAGAGGGGGAAAAACAGCTCAAAACTGGGAAAGGTTTCTAAATGGGCATCTGTTGGAAGCACAAGGCCAGCAGACTCAATTAGAAGCATCTCCAGAAACTGCAGAAAAATCAATCTTCTTTCATCATGGAAATAATGAAATTTTCCCCATTCCTGTCCAAACATGGTGCTCACAGGCCAGATGGCAGCTCCACTCCTGGGCACAAGGGGTGTGCTCTGTGGGGTGGGTGCAGGTGAGTGCAGGGGCTGGAGGGCTGGATGGGGCCACAGCCTGGGGGACAGGCCAAGCCCCTGTCCACCTGGGCCCCCCAGATCCTCCTGCTCAGAACCAACTCACTTGAGCTCCATGCTCGGGGCAGCCAGGGTCCGGCCGCCCTGTGAGGCCTTTCTGTCCATGGGTGGCCCTCGCTGGAGGCCACTTTATTAACGGACACAAGTCATTGCGACCATAACGCTGCTTGCTTATGATGACACCTGCATGGTCCTCGGGGTACAGCGCTCACCTCCGTGTTCTGTGGTTTTTCTATTCTACACAGAGGTTCTTCCTGGCCAGACATGGAGGAGATGGGGAGATGGGGGTGCCAGAAGGATGGGGTCGGTTAATGCTGGTTTCCTAGAGGGTCCCCCTCTTCTTCCCAGACCCCCCCCGCCGTTCCCTCTTCCCTCCAGGGATTTGTATTCACTTTTTCAAACCCCTGCAGCCTTGTTGCACACGGGCAATGACATGCACCCACATATGTGTACACGCACAGGCACGCAGCTGGAGGCACAGCTGTCTGCAGCTGGAGGCACAGCTGTCTGCAGCTGGTGTCTGATGAGCCTCGGGGGAGTGAGTCACCTTTCGACAGTGGGCAGCCTTGGACCCTGGGCCTCCGCACCCTCCCTCCACTGGGAGCCTCAGGGCCCACACCCTCTGGGCCTGCCCGAGAGCATTGAGGCTGATGTGGTCCTGAGCCTGGGCCTCGCCCTGTCACTGCCTGGGGTACAGACAGGGACGGAATATTCGTACCCTTCAACATTCTTGCTGAGCCCTAACGTCATCCAGCTGATGGTGTTAGGAGGGAGGGCCTTTGGGCGGTGATCAGGTCGTGAGGGTGGGGCCTCCTGAAGGAAGGTTATTGCCCTTATATCAGGGACCACAGGGACACCACCATCTCCGCGACCACGTGAGGGCATCTATCAGGAAGAAGAGACCTACACCAGACCCCAGGGAGGCCTGTCTCTGCCTCTGCACTTCCTGCCGCCGGAGATGTAAGAAATAACATCCTGTTGTCTGTGCGTTCCCTAGGCTGGGTCCTCTGTGACCTCCCCCAGGCCTGGACCTCTGTGAGTCGCCCAGGCCTGGTCCTCTGTGAACCCCCCGGGCCGGGTCCTTTGTGACAGCAGCTCAGCTGAACCAGGGGCCCAGCACCACCATGAGCTCGCCACGTCCTGCAGCCGCAGGTGACAGAGGCAGGAACAGGCTGTGGGGCTGTGTCGACAGGGAAGGGCCTGGGCTGGACCGTGAGTCCCCTGGAGTTGCTGGTGCTTCCCTAGTCCTGCCAAGATGACCTGGACCCACCTGGCTGTGCAGACGTCCAGTGTCCGGTGGCAGACGCTCCCTGGCTGGCTGGGTTTCCACCCCTGTCCCTCTCTGTCATTTTGAGTAGTGTCAGACCTCGTGGTCGGCACCTGCTGAACTCGCCTCCAGCTGACCAGTCATTAACTGACACCATAGGGGTCATGTGACTGCTCGGCTCAGGGGTGGCTGTGGGCTTGCCCATGGCATGGTCTCTATGTGAGCAAGTCCCTAAGCCCATCACCCAGGGAGGGGAGTTTAGCTCTGCCCACTAGAAGGAGGCACATCCAGGGATTTGTGTTCACTTGTTCAGACCTCCACAGTAATTAATAGCAACTTTAAAGACACTTCCAAGCCACGTAACTTTCCTCTTTCTCCTGCACTTCTGCTCACCAATCTCGGCCTCCAGCACAGGGTGGCTCCCGTGGCCATTCCTGCTCCGTGCTCTCACCGACTTTCCGTTTCCGTCAGTCCTTCTATGTGGGTGATTTGGAATTCTATAACGAAGACTTCTCTCTTCTTTCCCATTTATCTATTTATGTATTCACTAATTAATATTAATAGGGGCTCTTGGATACATTTTCTTTGGGTATCATCTAATAGGGTCGCTATTTATTTTACGGCTGCGCTGTTTCCACACTTGACCGTTGGGGTCTCCTGTGTGTTTCTGACATGCCCCACCATCCTTTTTTTTTTTTTTTTACTTTGCACTTCCCAACTTTCTGGCACTAGCAGATGCCACAGGCTCATCTTGTATATTTCCCGCTGTAGACCCAGAGTCAGATTCCTTCTAAAGAGCCCTGGTTCCTTTCCTTAGAGAATGGGATTTAGAAGCCATGGTCTGGGTGCTGGCTGTGCTCGAGGATCCTGGGGTGTCACTGCTTCTAGGCCTTCTCAGGGGCAGAGCTGGGAAATACATGTGTGTCCACTAGCCCATGTCCACACACATCTGATTTATTTCTGTATGCATCTAACTGTAAATAGATACTTATTAAAACAAGCTCAGCCTCGTGCTGACATCTCAGACTCAAATCCACTGCCTCAAAGCCCATTCTGCCTCCCCCTAGCGTAAGTGTAACTGTTCTTCCTGCACTGACTGGTTCTCATCTCTACAATGTATGTGCTTGTTTAACTCTAGGGTACATAGTGTCAGAATTGCTCATCTGTAACCCTGCCGGACACTGGAGCACACTGTGCACAGGCAGCATCAGTTGAAATACCCTATTCTGGAGTTACTTACTTACTCAGCTCCTCTCCTCCCCACCCTGTTGGGCAAGATTATTGCGCCTGCCTTTAAATACAGGTGGATCCACTTGTTAGGTGCCACATGCCATCCTGAGGCCCCCACCTCCTGGCTGATTTCTTGGTTTGCATACTACCAGTCAGCCTGGGTTGCCCTCACAGAATGCTATGGACTGGGCCACATAAACAGCAGACATTGATTTGCTCACAGTCCTGGAGACGGGAAGTCCAAGAGCAAGGTGCTGGGGGGTGTGGCTCTGGGTGGGAGCTGTCTCCCTCACTGTGTCCTCTCCTGGCTTCTCCTCTGTGCATGTGGACCTCTGGCATCTCTTCTTAGGAGGACACCGGTCCTGCTGGGCCAGGGCCCCACCCATGTCAGCTCATTTAGCCTCAGTTACCTCTAGGACCCATCTCCAAATATACTCCCCCCGGGGCTTAGGGCTTCAGCATCTCAGTTCGGGGAAGACACACTTCAGTCCATCGCACACGCAGTGAAGTGTCTCAGAGTGTTGACAATGCCCGGAACCACTTATCCACTGCCAGGGCATTATACAGAGCAGCTCCACTGCCCTAACAACCATCTTCTGTGTCCCTTTTTAGCCAATTCCGCCCCCTCCCCCAAGCCCTGGCAGTGGCCAATATGTTTTCTGTTCTATAGTTTTGTTTTTTTCAGAATGTCATACAAATGGGACCACCCACTGTGTATCTGCTGCGGTCTGTTTTTTGTCTCTTGGCAAAATGCACTTAGGATCAGTGCGTGTTGCTCCATTACCCAGACTTGCTCCTCCCGTGGCTGAGTGGTGTTCCCAGTGTGGACCTGCTGCAATGAGTCTGTCTGTCCATTCCCCAGGCTCGCTCCTCCCGTGGCTGAGTGGTGTTCCCAGCATGGACCTGCTGCGATGAGTCTGTCTGTCCGTTCCCCAGGCTCCCTCCTCCTGTGGCTGAGTGGTGCTCCCGGCCTAGACGTGCTGCAGTGAGTCTGTCTGTCCATTTCCCAGGCTCGCTCCTCCTGTGGCTGGGTGGTGCTCCCAGTGTGGAAGTGCGGCAGTCTGTCTGTCTATTCTCCGGCTGGACACTTTGGCGATTCCCGGTTTTGTCGATTATAGACACAGCTGCCCTGAGCAGTCATCGTGTGTGGTTTCTCGTGTGAACAGTTCTCAGTTTGCTGGACTCAGTGCTAAGAGGGTGATTTCTGGGTTGTATGTTTAGCTTTGTCAGAGTCTGCAAACCATTTTTCCAAATTTTTTGTCCCCAACAGTGGCCGGATAGAGTTCTGCCCCCACCCTCCCTTTCCTTCCTGCTCAGTCGGGAAGCTGCCCCCTCTGGAACAGCGGGGAGCTCTGCACGCCCCAACAACGGACTCTGGGCTGTGACAGCTTCGGGGAAGTGGACGGGCAGGAGGTGGCCAGGTTGCCCTTTACGTGTGTGGGCTGGCTTTGTCATTCTTCCTGGGCTCCTAGCGGCTCCCTGGTAGAGCCTCAGGCAGGGACCACCCCACCCCTGATGCCTGCTACTCCTAATGCAACTCCAGGCCCAGGAAAGGTGGCTGTGGCTGGCTGGTCGTGCCCCCTGGAGCGGCTGCAGGGGCCCTGGTTGGGGGCACGGTATTGTCTCTGGCAGGACCCTCAGTCCTGGGGTGATGGCACGGCCAGGAAGGTTGCACAGGCCTCACCTCAGGTTTTGTTGGAGAGATCCCTGGGTGCTACTGACCCCCTTTTTTGGGAAGTCCGTTCTCCCCTGAGCCGTTCCCCCAGGGCTCCTGTGGTCTCCTTGCCACAGTGATCAGTCAGGCAGGACTTCTGCCAGTGCGTCCTGGGGCTTCTCACACTGAAGGTGGAGGGAGAGCTCTTCCCATGGCCGAGCTGGGCTGATCTCAACTCAGGGGAGCCCAGGTCTCCTGCTGGAAGGAGGGGCTGGGGGAGGGAGTGTGTAATGAGCTGATGGTTATTGCGACCCTGAGGCCCTGGAGCCTCAGCCTCAGTTTCCCTGTTCTTGAAGCTTTCCTTGTGCGTGCAAACTACAGGTGTCCTTCCAGGAACTCCCCTGCTGCGGACATCTCAGGCCAGGCCAAGTAGAGTTTGCTTCTTGGATCTGAGACCCTGCCTGTAAGGCCATCTGGTCTACTAGTCCCACGCAGCCAATGGCATGGGAAGGCACTGAGCACAGGGGGCCCTGAGGCCAGCTCCCCCTGCACTTCTCAGAGTTCTGAGGGACTGAGTCCCAGCACAGGGGCTGTGAAGCCAGTTCCCTCTGTACTTCCTGGAGCTCTGAGGGATTGAATGTCACAGACCCTCTCAAGGGGGCCCTGGAGGGGCCATCACCAAGGGACACAGTCTGTGTTCTGAGATCATGGGTGGGGAACCAGAGGTGCTTTGCAGCAGAGGGATATTTAGGGGTCTTGGGGACAGATAGGACTGTCGTAGGCAGTGATGAGTGCCGGGAGTGTTCTGCAGGCGGGAGCCCCAGATGAGGATGAAGGAATAGGATTGGGTCTGGAGCTTGGGAATTGGCAGTAGGGGGCATTGGGAAAGGGTGCGTTCTCGAGGGCCCACATCCTCTCTGGCAGCGACTTTGAGCCCGTTTCTCTTCACCCGCCCAGAAAGGGGCACAGAGCCGGGCACAGCCTCGGGCCCAGGAGACGCAGTCTGGCCCTGCCCTCTCCTCCAGGTGTCTGGCCTGAGTATGTGTCCTTTGTTCTCAAACTCGCAGCTTGCCAGGCTTGGTGCCTGGTAACGGGAGCTGACTCGCATGTGGGGTGTGGGGCGGAGGTACCACGCTGATTTAACATTCTGGGGAGCGCCGCCTCCTTCCCAAGCTCCATATCCATTTTCCGAGGTTGAAAATCCCTAGAGCTTTCTCAAGAGCCCCGCCAGGCACCACTGCAAGGAGAGATCCTCTGGGAGGCCTTCTCCACCCTGGTGAGGGATTTAGCACCTTTGGGCTCCTGAGGCAGCTGCTGCCTTGATCCCACCCCCACTGCTAGTCAGCAGCACCTGTCCTTACTCCCAAAGGGAAGGTGTTTTTTGTAGGGCTCATGGCTATTGAAGAAGCCAGAACCCCTCCTGCTCCCCTTCCCCAGGACCTCCTTGGTCTGCACACCTGGTCCCAGGCCTGGCTGGTGTGGGGAAGGGCTCTGCACGGATGGGTCCTGGGGACCTCGGAGCCTGTCATCCACAGTGGCCGGGAGTGGAAGGCAGGGCCCCTGCCCTGGTGAGGCCAGCGGATTGAGCGTGGAATTGTGATTCACATATGCTGGCTGCCTGGGTGCCAGTGGACGCCGGCGGATCTGACACATCCAGGGGATCAGTGGATGCCGGCAGATCTGATGCACTCAGGTGACCCAGCTCCAGACAAGTGGGGCCGGGTCAGGAAGCTTCTCAGGTCGGGGACTGGGAGACTGACTCCAGGAGGGCAGCTGTGGCCCAGGTTTCCTGTGGCCGCCCTCAGGGGCGGCAGAGCAGGATCTGGACCCCACGCAGTCACAGCAGAGGCCTCCCTGGGCCCCATGGGAACGCTGGGCCTGGATGGCTCTTGGGTGTCCGAATCTGGGGAGCGGCCAGCCCTTGCATCTGCACTGATAGTCCCTGGCTTCGGGCTCAGGGCAGAGGCCAGTGTGAGATCTGGCTTTCTCCCAGTGGCTGCCCCCAGCCCTGCTGTGTGACCTTGAGGGGTTTGACAGGGGTCCTCGCAGGGCTGGTGGGAGACGGTTGGGGGCAGGCCAGGTTGCCCACAGAAAGGAGTCCGGTTTGGGCGGTGAGTGCGGGAAAGTGGGTGTCTCTGAATGGTGGCCTCGGCTCCAGGAGCAGCCCAGGCTGGGGTGGGAGGTGGGAGGTGGGGCTGCTTGCACCAGGAGTGGTAGGTAGAGTTGGTGAGAAAGGGTGAAATTGAGGATGTTTTTCCAGAGGAAGAGATGAGACCTGTTGATATCTGGGGCCCAAAGAAAAGAGACATCCTGAGATGGAGGGAGGGGGCCTGAGACTGCAGGGCCTGGGAGGTGGCGCTCCGGGGTCCCAGTGGTCCTGGCCCTGCATGTCCATTTGATTGATGGCTCTGCTGTTTGCCTGGATGCTGCCCCTCCTCCCAGGCCAGCAGCAGCATCCCGCCCAGCCCCAGCTGTGTGCTCCATGTGAGCTTGCACTGTCTGGGATAAGCCAGCTGGGACCCCAGGCAGATTGGGGTGCTGTTAGGGGCCTGCCTGCTTTCCTTGGGGGACAGCAGTGTGAGGCCTGGGACCCACCACCTTGCCTGAGCCTTCAGGGCCTCAAGAGCCTATTGCCCACAGTCCTCTGTGGCTCTCCGAGGTAGACGGTGGTGTTGCTGCTAAAACGATGGTCACTGGAGCTTTGGGCACCGAGGTGATGAGACCACACATTGCCCCAAACCGTCATTTCAGTTGGCCAGGCAGCTGGACTTGCGACGCTGCCAGACGCTTTAGGCGAGGGTTGTCAGGGCTCACCCAGGTCTGCAGGGAGTCTGGCCTCAGGCTCATAAACCCTTCTGCAAACCTGGGTGCTCCCCACAGAGTCAGACCTGAATTCAGATGGAGATGACTTGATCCCTCCCTCAAGTTTCCAGTAGGGGATTCCAAAGGCCACGCTGCACCGAGGAGGAAGGATGCAGCTCCCTGGGGGTGGTGGCCATGGTCCCCACCTGCTCCATGGGCAGGAGGAGGGGTGTAGCTCCCGGGGTGTGGCGGCCGTGGTCCCCACCTGCCCTGTGGACGGGAAGAAGGGTGTAGCTCCCGGGGTGTGGTGGCCGTGGTCCCCACCTGCCCTGTTGGTGGGAGGAAGGGTACACTTCTCACAGGGTGGTGGCAGTTCCCCACCTGCTCTGTGGTCCTCACCTGCTCTGCGGGCGATCACCTCCTCTTCGCCCCTGTGGGTCTGCAGGTGGAGGGAGCTGGACCATGTAGCGCTCTCCCTGGTGCCTCCCCACTTGTTGCTCCCAAGGCAGGAGGGGGCCTGGGGTGGGCCTGGACTGCCTCCGGATCCGGATCCTGATCCCCCTCACTCCTGTCCAACCCGACATTCACAGCAGCCCAGCGTCCTTGACCAAAGGCTGGTGTCCAGGTCCTGGGCTCCTCATGCCCGTCCACGGGGATCCTGTCCTCACTGGCTCACACCTCCTGTGGCTCAGTAAGAGCTGGGCCCTGAACTCTGTACAAGTTTGTTCTTAAAATTATAATCCCCCTGCTATCTAGGGATCTGGACCCTAATTTCCCAGCTGGAAGCCTCAGGTTTTTTCGGAACCATCCATCCAGCCCCTACCCTTGCTGATGAGCCCACTGTCTACAGTGTCATTCCCTCCACCAGCCAAGGGGCAGGTGCGCCCACTGGAAAGTCCCGAGGAGGTTCCCCGCAGGTGCTCCTGGAAGTTGGGGGCATCTGGGGTTTGGGGCACTGGTGGGTTGTCCTTCTCACCTCTTTACATTTTCACTCCGGTATGCGGAGTTAATGCTGGCTTTATTTTATTTATTTTTACAAATAAAGAACTTTGTAAGCAAGGGTTGAGCACACGTTATTACATGTTGCTTTTCCTTCTGCATTTTAAACCTCCTCTACCATGGTTTACTGTCTGTCACTAAAAGCAGACTCCTGGACGGGAGGCCCTGCGGGGAGGCCTTGGCCACCTGCAGAGCCTGGGAGGGGTTTGTCCAGGTGAGGTGCTCACTGGACCACTGCCGGGTGAATGGACACATGCCGGCAGCCGGTATCAGAACGGGACGCTGTCCTGCCCTGGGCTTCAGCACCGTGCTGGCTGCTGAGCCTCCTTATGCAGAGGGAGGTCGCTCTCCGGTCTGCTTGGCAGTGCCGGGCCACGGTAGGTACGTGAAGACACTCAGGGGCCCATCATCTGGGTTTAGATTCCGGCTTCGCCAGCTACTGCTGCGTCGCCTTGGGGGTTTGATTGACGTCTCTCTTCTCAGTTGTCCCATCTGTAAAATGGGGTTGATAATACTGCCTCCTAGGCTGCCTCCTAGGCTTGGTATGAAAAGACAGAGTTCATGTAAGGAAAGTGCTCAGAATGGTCCCGGATAGTGGACAGCATATGTGTTAGCTGTTTAAAAGTTATTATTATTTTTAAAATTTCAGAACTGGGTATAGACATGTATCAGATGGATGCTGTATTTGTCATGTGGTCACACAATCACATGATCTCGCAGCACCAAGAATCTTGGGGGCGTCTGATCTCCTTCCACGGGTGGCAGAAGAGTCCAGGTGGGGGTGAGGGGCATGGGTGTGGCAGCAGGAACACAGCTGCTTCACGCTTCTGGGCTGGTGGCTCCCCCCAAGGGTGGGAGAGATCTCGAACCTGCCAGCACGCCTGCTGCATAACGCTCTGTGCCTTGGGTCAGCTGAGTATTCTGCAAATTGGATCTGGGGCCTGGAAATCCCAAGTCATCACCTTGGACCCCATCCCTGTCTAGAGACCTGGGACTTGAGTCTTGCAAGTTCCCCGCTGACTGGCCCATCTACGACAGCCTACAGCCACCATAGCAAAGTTCAAGAACTTCACAGCCAGTGAGACAGAAGCAGTAGATATCTGGGTAAATAGATTCTTCTTTCCCTCTTGCGTTTGAAATTATGCTTTGAGAATTATGATTGAAAGTACAAATTATAACTCTGTCTGATGGGGTTTTCAATGAACATAAATGTATTATATAAGATGACCACAAGAAGGGTGAGGATAAAGGGGCCTGACTGGCAGTAAAGTCTCTGTAATTCACGTGAAGTGGTAAAGTACGATTCTAAGAAGACTGTGAAAAGGTAACTGTATGTAGTATAATATAACCCCTGGAGCTATCACTAAAGAGGTTATACAAAGAGATACAGTCAGAAACACAATAAAGAAATTAAAACAGAATACTTAAAAAAGTCCAGATAAACCAGACAGAAGGAAAGGAGAAACAGAAAAATGAAAACTAGAGGGAGGAAACAAAAAGCAAAGAAAATGGGAGGTCTCAATCTAAATCTCAATGCAAATTATCAACAGTTACAATAAATGTAAATAGTTTTATTAGACTGGGTGTCGTGGCACATAACTGTGATCTCAGCTGCTCAGGAGGCTGAGGTGGGAGGATCTCTGGAGTCCAGGAGTTCAAGGCTGCACTGAGCCATGATCACACCACTACACTCCAGCCTGAGCAACAGAGTGAGACTCTGTCTCAAAAAAAAAAAAAAAAAAATAGAAAGAAAGAAAACATGTCCTAATCATGTGCTATGTACAAGAAATTTACTTCAAATATAATGATAAAGGTGAGTTGAAAGTAAAAGATAAAGAAATATATATAATGGAAGCAATAAACAAAAAAAGCTGGAATGGCTACATTAATATCAGACAAAACAGAGTTTAGAGCAAAGAAAATTATGAGAGGAAAAAGAGGGATATTATGTAATGCTAAAAAGATCAATTCACAGAATACATAATAATCCTACATGTATATGTACCTAACGAACAACAGAAGTTCAAAATACGTGAAGCAAAAGAGACAGAAATGAAATGAGGAGGAGACAAACCCACACTTGTTAGAGATTTTGGCGTCTCCTTGTACTGGATAGAATTAGTAGAAAGCCAGGAAGGATATAAAATAACCGAACATTATCATCAACCAACTGGATCTAATTGGCATGCTTTTCAAGAGTACATGAAACATTCACCAAGATAGACCATATTTTGGTCATAAAACAAACCTTAACACCTTTAAACGAATTGGAATCAAACGATGTATTATTTCTGAGTACAATGAAATTAAACTAGAAGCCAACAATAAAAGATAAAAAGGAAACCTCCAAACACTTGTAAATTAAATGTTTGAACAACACCCATCTAAATAATCCGTGGATCACAAAGATGTCTTAAAGGAACCTTAAAAATACTTTGAACAAAAATTAAAATACAACATATAAAATACTAATTTTGTAGAGTGTGGCTAAAGCAGTGCTTAGAGGGAAATTTATACCATAAATGCTTAGATCAGAAAAGAAGAAGAAGGCCTAAAATTAATAATCCAAGCTTCCAACTTTAAAAGCTAGCAAAAAATATTAAAAAGTCAAAAAATAACAAATGCTGGCGAGGTTGCGGAGAAAAGGAGATGCTCCTACGTGCATGTAGGTGGGAATGTAGATTAATTCAGCCATTGTGGAAAGCAGTCTGGCAATTTCTTAAATAACTTCAAACAGAATTACCATTTGACCCAGCAATCCCATTATTGCATACATACCCAGAGGAATATAAATCATTCTATCATAAAGTCACATGCATACATACATACATCACAGCACTATTCACAATAGCAAAGACATGGAATCAACCCAAATACCTATCAATGGTAGACTGGATAAAGAAAATGTGGTACATATTTACTGTGGAATACTACACAGCCATTAAAAAGGACAAGATCACTTCCTTTGCAGCAATGTGAGCGTAGCTGGAAGCCATTATCCTAAGCAAACTAATGTAGGAACGGAAAACCAAATACCGCATGTTTTCACTTATAAGTGGGAGTTAAACATTGAGTATACATGGACACAAAAAAGGGAACAGCAGACACTGGAGCCTACTTGAGGGTGGAGGGTGGGAGGAGGGCAAGGATCAAAAAACTGCCTATTGGGTACTATGTTTATTACCTGGAGGACAAAATAATCTGTATACCAAGCCCCCATGACATGCAATTTACCTATATAACAAACCTGCCCATGTATCCCTGACCTAAAACAAAAGTAAATAAAAAAGCTAACAAAAAATAGAGCAAGATAACCAAAGTCAGCAGAAGAAGAGAAATAATAAATAGAAGAAACAAATAAAATTGAAATTGAAAAACAACGGAGAAAATGAGTGAAACTTAAAGCCGTTTCTTTGAAAAGATAAATAAGATTCATAAAACTCCGTCATGACTGGCAAAAGAAAAAAAAGAAAGAAGATACAAATTACGAATACCAGGAGTGAAGAAGTGGCTCTCGTACAGGCATTAAAACGACAATAAGGCAATGCTACAAACAACTCTACACGCGTAAATGCCACCACTTAGGTGAAATGAACAAAACACAAACCACAGAAATGCACCCAAGATAAAATAGATGATCTCAACAATTCTACAACTATTAAAGAAACTGAATTTGTGATAAAAACCCTCTGGAGTGACTATTTTAACAACTGAATTTGTAGTTAAAAATCTTCCTGAAAAAGAACTCTTTAGGCCCATATGGTCTCACTGGCAAACTTCGCCAAATATTTAAAGAAGGAATAACACCAACTTTATACAATTTCTTTAAGGAAATAGAAAAGCAGGCAACACTTTCCAACTCATTGAATGAGGCCAGCATGACTTTGATACCAAAACCAGATGAAAAATTAAAGAAAACTATAGACCAATGTCTCTCATGAAAACAGAAAGTCTCAAAAAATATTAGCAAATGGTATCCATCTACCTATCTCAACAAGTGACATTTATCCTAAGAATACAGAATCAATATTCAAATATCAATCTATGCAATTCACCACATTAACTGTCTAAAGAAGGAAAAAACACATGATCATATCAATTGATATAGAAAAAGTAACATTCTTAAATGATAAAACTTCTAGAGTAGAAAGGAACATCTTCACTTGGATAAAAGATAATCATGGGCCGGGCATGGTGGCTCATGCCTGTAATCCCAGCACTTTGGGAGGCTGAGGCGGGTGGATCACCTGAGGTCAGTCAGGAGTTCAAGACCATCCAGCCTGATCAACATGCCTGATCAAGACGGGGTGAAATCCTGTCTCTACTAAAAATACAAAAATTAGCCGGGCATGGTGGCACATGCCTGTAATCCCAGCTACTCGGGAGGCCGAGGCAGGAGAATCGCTTGAACGTGGGAGGCAGAGGTTGCAGTGAGCCGAGATTGCGCCATTGCACTCCAGCCTGGGCAACAAGAGCGAAACTGTCTTAAAAAAAAAAAAAAGAGATAATCATGAAAACCTTTCAGCTAACATTATACTTCATCGTGAATGACTGATGCTTTTTTCCCGAAGATCAGAATCAAGACAAGGATGCTTAGTCTCACTACACTTATTCAACATCATGCTGGAAGTCCTAACCCCATGCAATAACATAGATATATATATATGACATGTCATATACATAAGATATATGTAATATGTATGTATGTATTTTTATATAAACATAGGCTGAATAAAGAATCCAGAAATAGACACATACAAATATGGCCAACTGATTTTTGACAAAGGTGTAAAAGCAATATATATATATATATAATAGAATATTTTATATATGTATAATATACACTAGAAAGGAAGGAGTAAAAATGTTCATCCCTAATCACAGATAATATGTCTACATAGAAAATCCCAAGGAATCTGTAAAACAATTTCTATAGTAAATAAGTTTAGCAAGCTTGCAGGAGAATGGTGAAAAAAAAAACCCAACAATTAGATTTCTATATGTTAGCCATGAACAATGAGAAACAAAAATAAAAAATGAATCAATTTACAATGGTTCCAAAAATGAAATATTTAAACATATATATATATATTTTTTAGATGGAGTCTCTGTCGCCCAGGCTGGAGTGCAGTGGTGCCATCTCGGCTCACCGAAACCTCTGCCTCCCGGGTTCAAGCAATTCCTGCCTCAGCCTCCAGAGTAGCTGGGATTACAGGTGCACGCCACCACTCCCGGCTAATTTTTGTATTTTTAGAAGAGACCAGGTTTCACCATGTTGGCCAGACTGGTCTCAAACTCCTGACCTCAAGTGATTCATCCACCTTGGTCTCCCAAAATATTGGGGTTACAGGCATGAGCCACCGTGCCTGGCCAGATATAAATATTTTTAAAAAGTATGTTGTATGCTGAAAACTACAAAATGTTGGTGAAAGAAAGCAAAGATCTAAATAACTGGAAAGCCATGTCATGTTGATGTATAGAAAATTCTGAAGGGAAGATGACAACTTTCCACAGGTAATCCATAGATTTAACATGACACCAGTCAAACTCTGCACAAATGTTTTGTAGACATAGGTAAGTTGGTTCCAAAATTTACATGGAAAAGCAAAGAAACAAGAATGTCTAAACCAACTCTAAAAAAGAAGAAGGAAGTTGGAGGAATCTTTGATTTTAAGACTCACGATGAATCTACAGTAGTTGAGAGAGTGTGGTGTTAGTGAAAGACAAGAAACATAGACCCATGGAACAGAGTGAAGAAGCCAGAAATAGCCACACAGAAACATGGCCGGTTTTTGACAAAGGTGTAAAAGCAATTCGAAGTTTTAATGAATAGTGTTTCAAAAATGGTGTTGGATCAACTGAACATCCATGACAAAAAAAATGAGCCTCAACCTGAAGCTTACACCTTATGCAAAAAATAACTCAGAAGGGACCATAGACATAAATGTAAAATGTAAGACTCTAACACTCTCAGGAGAAAAATCTTTATGACTTGCAGTCAGGCAGAGCTCTTTTTAAAAATATTTAAAAATTTTCATTGTATTCTAAAGTGACAAATAATTGTACTCAGCATTGATACTCTGGGCCGCAAACCCTCTTCTGTGGTGATTTTTGGATAATCATTACTATCCAGTTAGCTGCTTATTCTTTCTACATGGCAAGCTCCTTTCAGAAAATTACACTTTTCCCCGGAAGTCCTGTGTGCTACTGACACTTTCAAATACGCTCGCCGAGTTGTACAACATGTTCTAAGCAGACATTTTACCAAAAATAACACATTTGCCATAGTGTTCTTTTGCAATTAAACATGTTTTGCTGGTTGATATGTTGTGTTTTCCATTGGTTCTCAGAGGTTTAGCTAGTTTACTGGCTTTTTCAAAAAGGTGTGATTTTTCAATGATCCAGGGATAAAAGTCCTGGTTTTCCAATTCATTATGAAGTGCCATCTTCCTCCCATTTCTCTGTTTTAACTTCTCTGTTCTCCAGAGCTCCTCTGAGAGTTTCGACCCTGTGATCCCCTCCTGTTTTCTGAGTTGATAATTACGGTATCCGAACTTGAGGCGTCCCCTCTGCATTGAGCTCTGGCCAGGCCCTCCAGGTTTCCGCCCAGAGAATTCTTTTAATTTTTGGAAAGCATACTACTTAAAATTTTTATTTCCTTTTAGAACAGAATCATATATGTTTTAAAATTGCCTATAGTTGGCTTTTTTAAACCGTATTTATTTTTATGATGTTTTTCTGGTCTTCTTGTCTCAGATGAACAGAACTGTCATTTCTGTCTCTTACAATTTATTGTAGTTTTCGTTCTGCAGCCTTATTGATGATGGATATTTGCAAATCTTTCATGAATTTTAGAGGAAAAGTGTGTGCTATGTCTATGCATATTTATTAAATCATCCTTATTAATCATCTTATTTATTTTCCTCCTACAATCTCATCTATCTCTGTCCATCTCAACATTTGAAGAGCGAGTGAAAGGTTAAATTTTTTCACTGTAACTGCTTTTCTGTCAAATTTGAAAATACTTTTGTCTTTGTCTTATATGAACATTTCAGTGCCCTGTTACTGAGCACATCTGAATTCTTGTAGCAGCTTCCGTATGTGGGTCGCGCCTCTCGTCTGTGTAGAGGCACCTGCTTTCCTTCCGTCCACGGCATCTGCCTGGGGTCGTGTCTGCTCCCGTCTGTGGCCCCCCTACACTGTGAGTCTGCGTCCATCTCCTTGGTTTTGTTTGTCCTTTTGCCTTCTTAATCCCCATCATTTTAAAAATCACTCTGCCTTTTGTGAGCAGAATAAATCTGGACTTTGTTTTGCAACCGAGACTGGGGTCTTTGTCTTCCCGTAAGAACGTTTAGTGGCACTGTCACCCTTTGCATTGCATGCCTCTGTGACCTCCCTTCTGAGCTCAGGGGCTGGGCCGTGGGGTGCCTGGGCTCCTGCTGACTCCCTGTGGCTTTCCTGGGGAGTGTCCTGCACGCCCCCCGTGGTCCCATCCCACCTCTCTGGGGGTGGATTCAGACTGGAGCAGCAACATCAACAGCCACTTTCCAGAAACCGGCAGCCCCTGTCCCCGTCATCGTCTGTGTTTGTTCTTCCGCAGAGCCCAAGCTTCCTCTGTGCCCAACAGCCACTTTCTAGAAACCGGCAACCTCTGTCCCCGTCATCGTCTGTGTTTGTTCCTCCGCAAAGCCCGAGCTTCCTCTGTGCCCAGCCACCTACACAGGTGTGTGGGCCCACGAAGGAAATAAGCCTCAGTTTCCCTGAGAGGCCCCTACGGCTCCATGCATCTCAGGGTGGGGGAGGTAGACCAGTGGCTCCTGGCCTGTGCTGCCGGGGGTGCCTGAGCCGGCCTGGGGCTCCAGCTCCCACCCCTGAGCCGATAGGTAAAAAGGCTCCTGGAAAGCAGCGCTGTTCTGATTTTCATCATTTTCAAGGTTAAAAACCTAAATTCCCATATGGAAGAATTAAGTTTAATAATGAAGAGGTAAGGACGTGTATATGTGTGTGTGTGTGTGCGCACACACATGTCCAGGCTGACAGCACGCACAACTGGCTCTGCCCTGGGAAACGTCTGGAATGTAAATATGTATTTATGAAGGAGTATGTTCTCCATAAATCGCTTATAAATAATTTCTTTGGAATGAAAATATACAGGAATTCAATTTCCCAGGTAGTCTCCAGGCTTCTGAGCACCCATAAGCGCCAGGTTGTATATAAACACGTGAAATATTTATGTCAGACACAGCCTGTGGCCTCGGTCTGTGGTGTCTGATGTCTGGGAAGCGCTGGCCCCAGGGAGCTGGACCCCACTCTCTGAGGATGAGCAAGAGCCGGGTCAGCACACTTCAAGGAGACAGCAAGGGCGCCAGCTCAGAGAGGAGGACGCCGAGGCTCGGGCACTGAAGACACAGGGAGTGCCCCCAAAAGGCGTGACGAGCGCTCTGTGGTTGGGGGATGTCACCCACGCGGTCGGGCCACCCACACCCCGGCCAGACGTCCAGCTGCCAACACTTGCGTCTCCACTGATGCCCCTGCAGGCCTCTGACAGCTGAGTCCCCTCTGCCTGGGTGGGCTGCTGGGGAATTAGGCAGCCCCTCCCAGGGTCCTGCTCAGGGGGCGGTGTTTGCTGTGTAGTGCATCCCCAGCTCCCTCAGGCCTCGGTGCGGTAGCACTGGCTCTCATGTTCTCCATGGGCTCTGTGCACCCCCAGCATGGCCTGACCATAGGCCCCTCTCCAGCTCTGTCCCTTCCCTGTTCACTTCCCTGCACCCCCGACGGTTTCCTGGGTCATCTCCCAAGTCAGCTACTTATGCTCAAGCCCTTTTCTCAGGGTGCTTTGGGGGCACCTGGCAGGAAGGGGGAGGGAACCAGCAGCTCAGGCTCCTTGGGGGAGGGCACGTGCCCCACAGTGTCCACCCCGAGTGGCCAGCAATAGCTGCCTCGCCAGGAGACAGGTCACCAGGGCCATTCCTGGGCTCCACCCAAGACCTGCTGGATTAGAAGCCAGGGGAATTGGGCCCAGCAAACCCTGCAGGTGACTCTGCTGTATCCCAGCATGGGATCTTGCTGTAGAGTATGGGGATCAGGGGGCCGTGGGCAGCTCGGTGGACCTGGCCTTTCCTGCTCTGTGAAGGTGGCCCCTCTGCCCACCTGAGGAGGGTTGAACAGGAAGTGCTGAGATCAGCAGGAGGCCACTGTGGGGTCTGCGAAGGTGAGGGCCTGGCATTGGGGAGGGAGGCTGGGCATGTACCTGGGGGCCAGCTTGAAGACTCCAGGGGGAGGTGAATCAGAGACATTGGGAGAGGCGGGGCAGGTGGTATGGACAGGGCTGCACCAAGTTTGATTCTCTGCTGAGCTTTGAGAGCTTGGTGGGTGAGTAGGAAGTCTTCCTACATTTTTTGACATAATTAATTAATTTCTGATGTATCTTACAATCTTGAATGCATCATAGCTTAATGGGAAGCTTTAAAATATTTATTAACAATATGTAGGATAGCAGCTTTGATTTGTGAAATATCAGAAAACAATGTCTGGCTGTGAAACAACCTATGGGTGTTAGGAAATGACAGTGGGTCACAGTAAACTTGGATAATGGCTCTTGTCACCAGTATTCAATATGCAGTTTTGTTACTGAGAAAATTTAACCTTCATCTTGACACCTGTAAGCAGCTTTGAGCTGGCAAATGCTTTTATCGGCCAATTAGCCCAAGAAGCAGCTTTCACACAACAGGGGCAGAAGTATACCTTCACAGCCTCATCTTAGGGCCGAGTCAGTGTTCCTGACGTCTGTCAGAATTAGGACTGGGTCATCTCGGTTCACCATCCCACAGAACATCATGCTGGTCAGCCACATTGGTGGTATCATGCTGCTCGAGTCTGGTGAGCTGGAAGTAGCAAATATCTCAGAGAGGAGAGATCAACCCACACTAACTCAGGACCTCGCGACCTTGTTGAAATGTCCAGGGATCCAGTGATCCGAAGCAGGTCAGTGTGTCTCTACAAAGTAGAAGATACCTTGCTTCACTTTGCCGTCCCTCACGTTGATAAAGAGACACTGTGCTTTGGATGTTTAAGACAATATGAATCATCCTTCACTGTGCTTCTCTAATCCATTTAATGAGCAATAGATAAGCTGTAATCCTTGAAAAAATTTGGTTACTTTTGAGTCTTCTCCTACCTTTTCTGAGATCAGAGATACTTCAAAAATGTGCCCTAAACTCATGCTCTGTATGTATTTTAATAAACGAGGAAAATTACCTGAAAGAAAGAAACCCTGTTTGTCTTGACTTAATGTAATTTATCCTATCCTCCTTCACCTTTGGCCATGCCTGGACCACTGCAAGCGAGTTGTAGGCAGTTGGCTTACAGGCCAGGGTTAGGTTGGGTTGGATGGATGGATACAACCCAAGGGTTGCACCAACTCAGGGCCAGAAAGATGGCGATACAACTGGAACCAATGAAATATTCCTAAGTGGAGAAAGGAAATAACTCTCTTAAAGGAAAACCCATTTTAAGTTGTTAGTTCACATGCAATCTGCCCCTCCTGAATGATTCTGTTTTTAGAGGCTGGACCTCTGGATATGCCATTCAGTTGGAATTCATTTCTCCAGCTTGCTCCCCACGGTGCACCCTCCCCTTGGGCATCATGATTTACTGTTAGACTGGGTAGGTTTTAGCCACACTCCCTGGCAAGAATTTTCATCTCCTGTTTCTCTTTCTTTTTCTTTCTTCCTTTCTTTCCTTTCCTCCTTTCTTTCTCTTTCTTTTCTTTCTTTTCTTTCTTTCTTTCTTTCTTTCTTTCTTTCTTTCTTTCTTTCTTTCTTTCTTTCTTTCTTTCTTTTTCTTTCCCTCCCTCCCTCCCTCCCTCCTTTCTTTCCTTCCTTCCTTTCCTTCCTTCTTTCTTTTTTTTTTTGACAGGGTCTTAGTCTGTAGCCAAGGCTGGAGTGCAGTGGTGCAGTCATGGCTCGCTGCAGCCTTGATTGCAGCCTTAAGCCAGGCTTAAGTGATCCTCCTACCTCAGCCTCCCAAGTAGCCAGGACTACAGGTGTGTATCATCCTGCCTGGCCAATTTTTACAAGTTAAATTAATTTTTGTTGTTGTTGTTGTTGAGACAGGGTCTCCCTATGTTTCCCAGGCTGATCTTGAACTCCTAGGCTCAAGTGATCTTCCCGCCTCAGCCCCTTGTAAAGTGCTGGGATCACAGGTGTGAGCCCCAAGCCTGGCTTCCTCTCCTCTTTCTGAGTCCTCCACCCTCCCAGGGACTGTGCTGTGACACATTGTTACGAAAACACAGTAATTTCCCACTTGAGTAATTGTCTTTATCCACTGGGCTTTCTCTGTCTCCTCTAACTGATGAGTATGTAGCTACATTGCGAATGTGGAGGTCATCTGTGCTCTCAAAGAACCGGCGAGAGTTACAGTTAGCGTCAGCTGGCTTGGCATGGAGTCTGGGCATCTGAGCTGCCTGGGGAGTTTACCAGGATACCAGGAACCCCTGCTACAGAGGAGGGCATTTGTGTCTGCACGCTGGCACCGTCACAGCATCTGATGATCCGATTCAAATGCCCTTCCTCTCTTTGTGTCTCTCTTTTTTTTTTTTTTTTTTTTTTTTGAGAAGGAGTCTTACTCTGTTGCGAAGGCTGGAGGGCAGTGGTGTGATCTTAGCTCACCGCAACCTCCGCCTCCTGGGTTCAAGCGATTCTCCTGCCTCAGCCTCCCAAGTAGCAGGGATTACAGGTGCGTGCCACCACGCTCGGCTAATTTTTGTATTTATGGTAGAGATGGGGTTTCACCATGTTAGCCAGGCTGGTCTCGAACTGCTGACCTCAGGCAATCTGCCTACCTTGGCCTTCCAAAGTGTTGGGATTACAGGAGTGAGCCACCGCACCCAGCCTCTTTGTGTCTCTTTTACAAGCTCATGAAAGACGCGCTGACAATAAGCTGCATCTTTGTTAAGTGGCCACATTTGCGAGGGGATTGACAACCTCCTCTCTGTGTGTTAATGCACTGACTGGAACATTCAGGCTGCGGTGAGGAAAGAGGTTAGAATTCCAAGCGAAGTGAAGTAACATTCCTGGCTTCTCCTTGCAGCTGCACTTCTCCCAAGCCGATGGAGCCCTGAAGCGACATGAGGCTGGGTCCTGCAGAGGCCAAGCTCCGTGAAGCCCAGGGTGCCCCCCACTCGGCCCCGCCCTCCTGTCCCCCTCCATGGCTCTCAGGGGTGCAGCTGATGATGGGGTACAGGGCGAGGAACTGAGGGAGGTTAGGGGTCACTTCACTGGCCGAGGGGAGGTTTTGAAGGCTGAGACACTGGCCAACTCAAGTAGGACTTTCACTGTTGTCCATGTCCACTCCTTGTGCTGGGAGAGTCCAGAGCCACAGTGACCTCTCGGAAGGGAAGTGAAGGGGCCTTGGAGGAGCCAAATGCTGCAGGAATGCCGGCTCCTTTCCTCCATGGGGGCGGGGGCGGGTTCTAGGGACTCCCCCTCCCCCTCAC
This sequence comes from Homo sapiens, assembly GCF_000001405.40. Classification (NCBI taxonomy): domain Eukaryota; kingdom Metazoa; phylum Chordata; class Mammalia; order Primates; family Hominidae; genus Homo; species Homo sapiens. The sequence continues at coordinate 49,673,665 of NC_000022.11, read as the reverse complement.
TCCCCCTCCCCCTCCATCCCCCTCCCTCCCCCTTCCCCCTCTCCCTCCCCCGCCCTCCTCCTCCCTTCCCCCCCCTCTGTCCTCCCTCCCCCTTCCCCTTCCCCCTCCCCACCTTCCCTCTTCCCCCTTCCCCTCCTTCCCCCTCTCCCTCCCTTCCCCTCTCCCTCCCTTCCCCTTCCCCACCCTCCCTTCCCCCTCCCCTGCCCTCTGTCTCCTTCCTCCCTTCACTTCTTTCTCCTCTCTTTTCAGAGGCTCTAAACGTGCCAGACACTGTGCTGGGCCCTTGGGACACATCCACGAAATACCACTTTCAAGATCACAGTCGCGTTTTTCAGAACAAAATGTTTTTCTTCTTGGAGAATTAACTGGAGCCCCGTGCGTTTGTGCGTGGCCATCCCCGTGTGACTGCCGGCTGTGCTGGTGCACTGGCCTCTGATGAGACATCCCTGGGTCACTCGTTCACTCGCTGGACAGGCCCCCTGGGCCCCGGCTGTGTGCCAGGTGCTCGTTTAGGATTGCTGCTGAGAAGTGGACTCTTTATCAGTCGAATTCTGTTTTCCACAGATAATTTATTTCAGAATGAATGATTCCTCCTCTTTCTCCTTCCCTTCTCTGTGGAGAAGATGCTGGAGGGTGAAGTGAGGAACAGAACCTGCGCTTATGTCTGACGGGGGTTGAATCCTCAGAGTTCCCCGCGAGAAGATGCTGGAGGGTGAAGTGAGGACCAGAACCTGCCCTTATGTCTGACGGGGGTTGAATCCTCAGTGTTCCCCGCGAGAAGATGCTGGAGGGTGAAGTGAGGACCAGAACCTGCCCTTATGTCTGATGGGGGTTGAATCCTCAGTGTTCCCCGCGAGAAGATGCTGGAGGGTGAAGTGGGGACCAGAACCTGCCCTTATGTCTGATGGGGGTTGAATCCTCAGAGTTCCCCGCGAGAAGATGCTGGAGGGTGAAGTGAGGACCAGAACCTGCCCTTATGTCTGACGGGGGTTGAATCCTCAGTGTTCCCCGCGAGAAGATGCTGGAGGGTGAAGTGGGGACCAGAACCTGCCCTTATGTCTGATGGGGGTTGAATCCTCAGAGTTCCCCGCGAGAAGATGCTGGAGGGTGAAGTGAGGACCAGAACCTGCCCTTATGTCTGACGGGGGTTGAATCCTCAGTGTTCCCCGCGAGAAGATGCTGGAGGGTGAAGTGAGGACCAGAACCTGCCCTTATGTCTGATGGGGGTTGAATCCTCAGTGTTCCCCGCGAGAAGATGCTGGAGGCTGAAGTGAGGACCAGAACCTGCTCTTATGTCTGATGGGGGTTGAATCCTCAGTGTTCCCCGCGCCTCCCCCCAGCAGAGCATTTCCTGCTTCAGAAGCCGCCCCCCGCCCCCACCCCCGCTGGGGCAATTTTTCCTTAAGGGCCTTGAGGCGCTCGGTTTTTGAAGGATAATTGCAGCCCCCACAGAAGCCGAACGATTCCTGGTTGAGGAAACAGTGTCTCCCCATTTATCTCTGTTGGAAGTTCAGATCGGCAGATGCTGGTCAGAGCCCTCTCCCCTCACAGCCTGGCAATAATCCACGTGGAGAAACGTTGAGTGCTAGGATTTCATAAATTCATGAAACGTATTAACCAGAAGTGTTGCCAAAAGACCTTGTTCACAGTCCAAGATCTGAGTGTTTATGCACAGAAGGGGTCTGCTTCCCGCCGGGACCCCCCTCACCAGCATCTGCTGATTTCCCCTCCCGCTAATGGAAAGTAACTGATGTGATGAGAAGGGACAGGTCGGAGCCGCCCCCTCCGCCCTGGCTCCAGCGGGGCTGAGGACGCTTAACGACGTTCTGTTCCGAACACCTGCGATCCCATCATTACCTCCCAAACAGAACATTTTGGAGAGATACTGCATTTCCATAGGTTTCAAGAAGTACTTTCGAACCACTGTTCCCAAGCCAAGGTGGAAAGCTACGTTTCAGCATCTGAGTAGTTTTTGAATGACCCGCAGTGACTGAAGGAAGGAGAGGGATTTCGAACACACTCGGGAAAGACAAACTCCCCCCGTCCGCTTTAGAACTGGAGAGAGAGCAACGCTCGCGGTTTGGAAGGAGCTTGGGGGGGCATCTGATCTGGTGAAACATCTGCCCCCACCCCTTATTACAGCCTCGACTCTTTAACTTTTATGGTAGACCCTGGGCTGGGTGCTGAGGATTTAAGGATAAATGGGATTTTCTTGCTGCTAAAGGGCTAAGTTAGTGGGGGTGCATCCACACCACGGATATTTGTTTCACGACGTGATACATGTGACGGGCTGTGTGTGTGACTATACAGTGAGAACAAGACAGGGATTCGAGAAGAAGCGTCACAATCCGCAGGCCTCTCTCTCTCCGCTGACCTGTGGCGCGGGGCGGAGAATCCTGTGGTTCCTGTCCTGCTTCTCAGCCCCGCCCTCCTTTTGGGGGAATCCGAAACGCTGCCTGGACGCTGGTCGAAGGGTGCCACCTGCCTTCCTTTTCATCTGGGGTCCCGGCCACACCCCCACGTCCCTGCTGCTACCCTGTTTTGTTCCCCTCCGTGTGACAGGAGCGCAGGATTTGCGTGGGGAGGGCAGGAGGTGACGTGAGGGGCTGGGGGTGCAGAGGACGCAGGGACGGCAGGGGCCGGGGGTGACGAGGGGCGTGGGTGGGGCTGGAGGGGGTCAGGGCTTGGCCGGCACCAAGACTCAGCCCTGTGGGAGCAGATGGTGGTCTCCAGCCTCCCTCCCCATCCCCAGCCGGGGTCTGGGTTCCAAGTGTTCAATCCCCTCCCCTCAACCAGCCAGTGCTCCAGCTGGAGCTAGCAGAGGCTCCTGCAGGAAACGCTGACCCCCGGGTTGAGAGCCGAGGGCTGGCTGGGGCAGGCTGCCCGCTGGGAGGGAAGCGCTCTCCCGGGCCGGGTGACAGGTGGCAGCCCACGCAGCCGTCACTCACTCTCAGCGCCTCCTCGGCCTGGGCGTCCGCTCTGGCCACGCCCGAGGAGCCCTGCATCCCGCCACCGCGCTGTGGGGGCCCCTCTCTGGCTGGCCGAGGCCGGAGCCGGCTCCCTCTGCTTGCGGGGAGGTGTGGAGGGAGGGGCGCGGGCGCGAACCGGGGCTGCGCGGCGCTCGAGGGCCGGCGCGAGTTCCGGGTGGGCGTGGGCTCCGTGGGCCTCGCGCTGGGAGCGGCCGGCTGGCGCCGCGGGCCGGGCAGTGAGGGCCTTAGCACCCGGGCCGGCAGCTGTGGAGGGTGCGCCGGGTCCCCCAGCAGTGCCGGCCCCCCGGCGCTGCGCTCGAATTCCCGCCGGGCCTCAGCTGCCTCCCCGCGGGGCAGGGCTCGGTACCTGCAGCCCGCCATGTCCGAGCCTCCCTGCGCCACCCTGGGCTCCTGCGCGGCCCGAGCCTCCCCGACGAGCGCCGCCCCCTGCTCCGCGGCGCCCAGTCCCATCCACCGCCCAAGGGCTGAGGAGTGCGGGCGCACGGGACTGGCAGGCAGCTCCACCTGCAGCCTCGGTGCAGGATCCACTGGCTGAAGCCAGCTAGGCTCCTGAGTCTAGTGGGGACTTGGAGAACGTTTATGTCTAGCTAAGGGATTGTAAATACACCAATCAGCACTCTGTGTGTAGCTCAAGGTTTGTAAATGCACCAATCAGCACCCTGTCCCTAGCTCAAGGTTTGTAAATCAGCACTCTGTATCTAGCTAATCTATTGGGGACTTGGAGAACCTTTATGTCTAGCTAAGGGATTGTAAATACACCAATCTGCACCCTGTGTCTAGCTCAAGGTTTGTAAATACACCAATCAGCACCCTGTCCCTAGCTCAAGGTTTGTAAATCAGCACTCTGTATCTAGCTAATCTGTTGGGGACTTGGAGAACCTTTATGTCTAGCTAAGGGATTGTAAATACACCAATCAGCACTCTGTGTCTAGCTCAAGGTTTGTAAATGCACCAATCAGCACCCTGTGTCTAGCTCAAGGTTTGTAAATGCACCAATCAGCACTCCATGTCTAGCTCAAGGTTTGTAAATGCACCAATCAGCACCCTGTGTCTAGCTCAAGGTTTGTGAATGCCCCAATCAGTGTTCTGTGTATAGCTAATCTAGTGGGGACTTGGAGAACTTTTCTGTCCAGCTCAGGGGTTGTAAACGTACCAATCAGCACCCTGTCAAAACAGACCAATCAGCTCTCTGTAAAATGGACCAATCAGCAGGATGTGGGTGGGGACAGATAAGGGAATAAAAGCAGGCTGCCCAGGGCCAGCAGTGGTAACTTGCTGGGTTCCTTTCCCAGCAGTGTGGAAGCTTTGTTCTTTTGCTCTTTGCGCTAAATCTTGCTGCTGCTCACTCTGGTCTTTGGGTCAGTACTGCCTTTATGAGCTGTAATACTTACTGCTAAGGTCTGTAGCTTCACTTCTGAGCCAGCAAGACCATGAACCCACCAGAAGGAGGAAACTCGGAACACATCCAAACATCAGAAGGAACAAACTCCAGACGCACTGCCTGTAAGAACTGTAACACTCACTGCGAGGGTCTGTGGCTTCATTCTTGAAGTCAGTGAGACCATAGAACCCACCAATTCCGGACACAGGGATAGAGCAGTGACCATCTAAGGGCTCTCAGGGCCAGGCCGGGAGCCAGGAAGAGCAGCTGCGTCGGAGCTGGGCAGCTTTTGGGGTCCGTGGGTCACTGTCAACTGGACTTTGCATCCAGGAAGCGTTGGTTCCTTTTACAGAGTGTCACTGTGATAGTGGGGTGTGTTCGTGTTTTACACGTTTAAAATGGTGCTGGATGCCTGACAGAGCCCTCATGACTGTTTAACACATTTTCTTGAAATCACAAAATTGACTATAAAATGTTCCTCGGAAGTTTTCCAGACTGCGGGCATCCTGGAACACCGGCCAGTTTTCACCTGTTTCTGGACGTTGTGTCGTGGAGCCGTCTTTGTAAGGGACTCGGATCACGCGTTTTCTTTGCTGAGTCGCCTTCCACGTGGCTTTGTCTGTTCTGTGGTTGGGGCGTCTCCTCCCTCCCACACGGGGTGTGCTGTGCCACCCTTGGAGGGCCTTCTCCCATCGGGCCCCGCATCTCCCGCCTGGCCTGTGGAGTGGAGTCCCCTGCCCTTGCTGCTGCTGTGGCCTCATCTCCCAACTCAGCCTTGGCCTCCAGTGACAGGGCTGGAACCCTGGCAGCAGAGCCACCACGGCAGCGACTCAGCTGTGGCCTCCGGTGACAGGGCCGGGACCCCAGCAGGACCTCCACCATGGTGGCAAGGCCTGGACCCCAGTGTGGGATCACGCTTCTGCAGGTGCTGGGGGGCTGCATGGCCGACTTCAGGGGGCAGGAAAATGATGCTTTGTCTTTGGAGAGGGAGGATGTGGGACAAGCTGCCAGGTACTTAGCTCCCCTTCTTCCACCTGCGTGTGCTGAGCCGGGGGCCCTGGGTGGTCAGGACCCTGCCCCTGCCCGCCCCCCCGCCCCCCCCTCGCCCCAACTTGAGCGCTGAGCTGGGAGGCCCCAGGGTGGTCAGGACCTCCTCCCACCTGCATGTGCTGAGCTGGGGGCCCCAGGATGGTCAGGACCTCCCCCCACCTGCGCGTGCTGAGCTGGGGGCCCCAGGGTGGTCAGGACCTCCTCCCACCTGCGCCTGCTGAGCTGGGGGCCCCAGGATGGTCAGGACCTCCCCCCACCTGCGCGTGCTGAGCTGGGGGCCCCAGGGTGGTCAGGACCTCCCCCCACCTGCATGTGCTGAGCTGGGGGCCCCAGGATGGTCAGGACCTCCCCCCACCTGCATGTGCTGAGCTGGGGGCCCCAGGATGGTCAGGACCTCCCCCCACCTGCGCGTGCTGGGCTGGGGGCCCCAGGGTGGTCAGGACCTCCCCCCACCTGCATGTGCTGAGCTGGGGGCCCCAGGATGGTCAGGACCTCCCCCCACCTGCGCGTGCTGAGCTGGGGGCCCCAGGGTGGTCAGGACCTCCTCCCACCTGCATGTGCTGAGCTGGGGGCCCCAGGATGGTCAGGACCTCCCCCCACCTGCGCGTGCTGGGCTGGGGGCCCCAGGGTGGTCAGGATCCCCTCATGCTGCGCTTTCTCTCGGTGCCTCCACCGTCCCTGACCTGCCTTGTCCTGCAGGACCCCAGGCTGGCTGGGCCCATTCCGGGTAAGGCTGGGCTGCTCTCAGAGGGATGGTGTAGGTCCTCAAAGCCTAAGCCGAACCAGCACGGGACCCTGGGGAGCCGGGGTGGAGGGGTGTGGGGGGAGGGTGGGGGTGTTGAGGGGGAGGGTGTGCTGTGGCCGCTCAGTGTTTGGATTTGCATTTCCCTGTGACTTGGAACAGGAAGCGCGTTTTCCGCCCGCGGATATTTCCTGTCTACCAAGTTTCAGTTCAGGACTTTTGTCTCTTCTCTGTTGCTTTTGGTCTTTAAAGAGCTTCTTTTGTTTTTTTGTTTTTCTTTTACATGTTGTGGATAGTTTTTGGGTGAACATAAGCTTTCACTTTTAATGTAGTTGAATTTATCAATATTTTCCTTTTATGGGTAGGAGTTTTTCTTTGTGCCTTTTTAGAGAAATTCATTTCTACTCTGAGATCATGAAGTTATTTACTGCCTGCCTCCCTCCCTCCCTTCCTGCCTTCCTCTCTTTTTTGGAGATGAGGTCTCACTCCGTCTGGAGTGCAGTGGTGCAATATTGGCTCACTGCAATCTCTGCCTCCCACATTCAAGTGATTCTCCTGCCTCAGCCTCCCGAGTAGCTGGGATTACAGGTGCCTGCCACCAGGCCTGGCTAATTTTTGTGTTTTTAGTAGAGATGGGGTTTCACCATGTTGGTCAGACTGGTCTCGAACTCCTGACCTCAGGTGAGCCACCTGCCTCGGCCTCCCAAAGTGCTGGGATTTACAGGCATGAGCCACTGCACCTGGCCTATCTTGTCTTTTAAGAACTATAGAGTTTTGTCTTTCACAATTAGGTCTGTGATTCATGAGGAATGATTTTTGGGCATGGCAGGGGTCAGTGAGCTACAGCCTGAGGGCCAACTCCGGCTGACCACTTGTTTGTGTCAATAAAGTTTTATTGGAACATAGCCATGCACATATTGAGTGGTTGAGGCAGACGCCAACTAAGTGGCTTTCCAGGGCCCAAACGACTGTGGCCCTTTACAGAAAATATGTGCTGACCCCCGGGGTATGGTGTGAGGGAGGGTTCGGTTTTGTTACTGTTGCATGTGTATGTCCTGGGTCGCAGCATCATTCATAGAGGGAACTGCTTTTCCCCTGGCTCCATGGTTCTGCCCTTTCCTACATGGGTATCTACATGAGGCTGGCCCTGCTTCTGGCCACTTCCTTCTCTTCTGGGCTATTTGTTGAGCCTCTGGCCGACGCCACACTGTCTGTCACTGTGGCTTTATGACAAGTCCTGCGTGGTGGAGCCAGCTGTACTATCATTCTTCACTGCTTGCACTCTGGCATGAATTGTGGACTCGGCTTGTCAAGTTCCACAAAGATCAGCTCAGTAGACTCCTGGAGGGGAGCTGGCATCTTGGCTACCCTGAGTCCTCGAGCTGGTTGATAGGAACGTTCCTCCAACTGTGGTGGTCGTCTTTAAAGCTTCTCAGGAAAGTTTCATGAAGGTCTCTGGATGTCTTGGACTCTGTTAGATATACTTCTAAATCTCAACTATTTAAAAAATATTATTGCATATGGTATGTTTTAAAATCTTTCATTTTCTAGTTGTGGATTGCTGTAGAAATAATGGATTTGTTATGTTAATTTTGTCCTTGGCAGTCTTGTTTAACTCCTGTAATCCTATAGATTATTTATCTCATCATCTATGAATACATGCAGTTCTGTGTCTTCCTTTGGAACTCTTATGTATTTTTTTTTCGCCTTGTAAACAGGCCTCCAGCTCATTTCTGATGGGCGCTGATGGAAACAAGAATATTTGATTTTTCTCTTAATGTCAAAGAGGCACTTTCAGTGGCTGTGTGATGTCTTTTGTAGTTTTTTTTTTTTTGGTAGTTTTTTTACAAATGCCTTTCATTAGAGTTACCTTCTGTTCTTCATTAGCCAGAGTTTTTTATTTTGTCATGAAGGAATGATTTTTTTTCAGATTCTTTTTCTGTATTGATTGAGCTACACGTGATCTTTCTCCTCTCTGTTGATGGAGTGAATTGCTTTGATTTTGAGCATTCTATTCTCTTATGTTAAACTTTGAATTTCCAGGATAAATTCAGTGTGACCATGATGTGCTATTCTAGCATTTATTGGTGGATTCAGTTTGATGATGCTTTTTATGATTTATATATCTATGTGTATGAGTGGGATTGATAATGCTTTATGATTTATATATTTATTCAAGCTGTTTTGCCCACCTGCTGCCCACCTTCAGAGAGGGTGTAGAAAAGTGATGTGAGCCCCCCAGCGTCCCCGCTTGTGCCGTGGGTCAGGCCAGCCCCGAGTGAGCCACAGAGCAGCCTGCGGCCAGCGGGGCTGGGGGTCAGCAGGGTCTGGAGGGTCTGCAGGCCTGGGGGCGGCGCTGGGACTGAGCAGGCCTCCGAGCACGGGGGCGCTGCCCTGTGCTCCCCGGGGCCTGCCTGCCTCATGGCTGGATTTCCACCCACCTCGGCTGAGCAGAGAGTGCTGACGGGGCTCCTTGCTCTCCTCTGCTTGGTTCTGAGCTATTGAAATAATAAGGCAGGAAGCCAGAGACACGTGCCCACGTCTCTCCTCTGTCTTGTTAAGGAAAGCGGCGCTTCTGATCAGAAAAACAACACAAGGATCTCAGAGGCAGGACAGAGTGGGATCCGAGGGACCGCGTGGTGTTTCTGGCCCCCTTCCCTCTCGATGGCTGATTATTCAGAGTGTTCACACCCAGCAAAGGAGCAGGCTGCTCGTTCCCGACTGCAGCACGGCGTGCCGGGCCGCGGTGTTCTTTCTGGATCACTGGTTTCCTCAGCAGCAGCGCTAACAGCCGCCCGGCATGTCGGGCTCAATGCATCAGGTCTAATCAGATGTGGCAGCTGCTGAAACCCAAATGCCTCCATCCAACCAAAGCATCTCAATGCTGCCAGTGGTCTCTGGCTGAGCCGCCTCCAATTCAAATGCACGTGACAGGGTCCCTGGCTGCAACCCAGGTTGGAGAATCCGGGATTAGAAGGCTGAGGACTTCGGACAACCAAACCCAGGTCTCTGCCAGATGGCTGGGCCTGGCTTCACCTGTGTGTGGGTGGGAAGGAGCCGTTGGCCAACTGGTCTCTAGAGATGGAGACCCTGACCTGGGTCAAGAGTGACGGGAGATGCCAGGAGGACCTGGCCAGGGCGCCGTCTTGGTTTTTCACCCATTCTGTCTTCCTTCCCTGACCCATGACTCGGGTTTCCAATATTTAAAATACTCTCATCCTGGACCCTGCAATCTAAAGATGATTTTCTTGCAGAGGCTGAGTGAGCTGGCTCTGACCCACCAGATGTACCGGGCCCTGAGCTGGACCCTGGTGTCCAGAAGTGGACACAGCCCCTGTGGGGCTCCAGCCTGTGGGGTTGGGGGGTGATGAGGGACTCCTTCAAGAACGGATGCAGTGCCTGGCAGGGCTGCAGGCTGCTGCCCACAGAGGGGCCTTTGCAGGTAGGCTGGGGGCTCCATACCTGGGCCTGGGCACCCTCTGGAGCTGGGGACAGAACTCGGTCACAGGCAGACACAGCTTCTGCCTCCATGGTTTTGGGGGTGCCAGAATGGTATTCCCTCCTCGATCCTGCTCTGGGGTCTGGGGGCTGCAGGGGCAGGGCTGCTGCTTAAGCAGGGAAGAGACAAAGTCCGGTCCGAGTACTGGGGGGTCCCAGACCTGCGAGTGGACAGGGAGGCTGGTGGCCTTGGGTCCTTGGTGCAGGTGAGAGGCTGTGGCAATGGGAGGGGAGCATCTGTGGGCACCAACCCGCGCTTTTATGTTAATTGTTTAACTTTGGGTATTTCAGATGGAACTCTCCTAAATGTGTCTCTTCCTTTCTCAGCTGTCCCTGATGAAGTTGCCTGGGCACACCAGAGTGTGGGAGAGTGGACGGCGCGGCCCCTCCTGCACTTGGAGCTGCTCTCAGATCTTGGGCTGTGACCCCTGTGGGTGACACGAAGTTCAGTGATTGTCCTCCTTCTGGACTGAGGGACATCCATCCACACGCGCCCCCTCCACAGCCCGATCCCATCACGTCCTGCTCGTCCAACATGGGCCTTAGATCCTGGGGTCTCTGCTGAGTGCCTCCCCTCTGAACGCCCGGCTGGCACTTTCACGGTGAAGCCAGCTGTCATGGACACCGACGGCAGGTGGCCTTTCTGCGTTGTCTACCGGCTGATCTTGAAAGTGAAAACGGACATTGTCTGCCCTGTGGTGACCGTGTTGGGTGATGGTCCTGGGGTCAGGCCCTGCATGCACCTTCACCCAGGGATGGCTTCTTAGCTGACAGCGGCTCTGCCAGGAACCACGATCACCCTCCAGTTTGCTCTTTGTGCTGAATTTTATTGACATGAAATTCGCATGACGCCAACTTTATCGTTTTAAAGTGAATGGTTAAACAGAATGCGGCACTTTCACAGGGCGGCATGACCCCCACCTCTGTCTGCCTTCAGAACATTTTCATCCCCCACGAAAGGAGGAAGCGCAGTCCCCAGGAACAGTTACTCCTCATTTCCCCTCCCCAGCTCTGGCTTCCGCAACCACGAATCTGCTTTCTGTCTCCGTGAATTTGCCTCTTTCGGATATATTTCACGTAAATGGAGTCCCGTGATAGATGAGCTGTGTCTGCCTCTTGCGGGCAGCACAGTGTCTGGAAGGTTCTCCGTGCAGCCGCAGGGGTTGGCGCTTCCTTCCTCCCGAGGCTGACCCGGCCCCGTCGTACGGGGAGTCCACTGTGTGTCTGTCTTTTGGCTGCTGTGAGCCTGGGTGTGCCGCCTGCTCCAGCCCATGTTTTCAGCTCTTTCAGGTGTGGAGGGAGGAGTGGAATTGTGGGATCATATTGTAACTTTAACTTTGGAAGGATCTGCCAAATTACCCCTCTAATTTGTTTTCAATTTTATTCTTATTTCCCTGTCACTTGTTCTTTCTTTTGACTGGTTAAAAAAAATGGCAAAGGTCTTCAGCAAAACAAGAAGTGAGTTTCAATTGAACCGTGAATTAAATATGATACACTCAAAATCTGACCAATAATACATTTTAATTTTCCCCACACATTTACGTCCACGTTAATTTCATGGAAATCAAGATGCTTTTGCCTCTGTTCTAAAGTATTTATTTTTTTTAAGACAGGTTCTTACTCTGTTGCCCAGGCTGGAGTGCAATGGCGCGATCTCAGCTCACTGCAGTCTTGACCTCCCAGGCTCAAGCAATCCTCCTGCCTCAGCCTCCTGAGTAGCTGGGACCACAGGTGTGCATCACCATGCCTGGCTAATTTGTTACATTTTTAGTAGAGACGGGGTTTCACCATGTTGGCCAGGCTGGTCTGGAACTCCTGACCTGAAGCGATCCTCCCACCTCAGCCTCCCACAGTGCTGGGATTACAGGCGTGAGCCACCACGTGCAGCCTGAAAGTATTTTTTTTTAGAGTTTCCTAAAAGTTTCATCATCCCTTTTGTTTTCCTAACAAGCTGTGAAACCCAGTGGGTTTTAATTGTGAATCAGCACCAAAACACATGCAGATTTAATTTTTAATTGAAATGATGGACAATAAACAGAATTAATAACTCAAATGCTTGAAGTCTGTCAAGCATGGTGCTTTGTCTTTGCCATGGACATGAAAAAGCAGCATTCCCCTCCGGACTTGAGGCTGGGGACCTTCTGAGTCAGAGCAGCCCCTCCCTCCCCACCTCCACGGCTGTTTCCACTTTGCCATCTCCCCAGCGGGCTCTGCCCGTCCACCTGTGAGACACTCTGACTCCACGGCTTGGCTTCTGCTTGCCCCAGGCAGTGGGATTCGGTGGCCAGGCCCTCATTTGTTTCCCCCTCCTCCTTTCCCCAGCAGCTCCTGGCCTGGCATGCAGCAGGTGCTCTGCTGGGCGAGTGGGAGGAGGGAGCATAGCCACCGCTGCAGGTGGTCTGTTTGGTGCTGGGAGACGTCATGCGTGTGTTGTCAGGCACTGGAACCCCCTGGGAGGGTGCAGGGCAGGTTTAGGACAGCCACGTGTGCCCAGATCTATGAGACCTTTGTGGGCTCGACTGAGTTGGGGGCTGGGCACAGAGCTTGGAGACCTCTTACTGGGAGCTGTGTGAGTGGCAGGGCCAAGGCTGTGGGGGCTGCAGGAGCTGGTGAGGAGGCATGTGCTCGGCCGTCATGGGACTGTCCCTGGGACTCCTGCAGCTGGGGTAGGCTCCAGGCAGGGCTCTGAGCTGCCCCCACACACCTCCATGCAACCCCAGCTCCATGTGCTGCTGGAAAGTCCCTGAGTACCAGGGGGGCACCTGGGGAGGGGCCTGAGTCCTGCAGACAGACCTGGGATGGGGGTGTCATCCACAGGTGAGGAGTGGTCCGTGCCAGGGACAGGCAGAGCCGCCAGCATGGGCCCTGCTGGGATCTCCGATTGGGAAAACCATCCCGCCACGGGAGGTGGCCAAGGTGCGTCCCCCAGCCTATGCATTGGGGTCCTGGTTCCATCCCCGCCTCTCCTGTGGGCCGCACTCAGTGCCTTTTCCATGTAACCCGTGCCGTGTGCGGTGCTCAGAGGAGGAGCGATCGTCATGGGGAGCTGCAGTGCCTTTTCCATGTAACCCGCGCCGTGTGCGGGGCTCCGAGGAGGAGAGGACGTCACGGGGAGCTGCGGTGCCTTTTCCATGTAACCCGCGCCGTGTGCGGGGCTCGGAGGAGGAGCGGTCATCACGGGGAGCTGCAGCGCGTCTGGTGATGTGGGGCTCACAGGCTCCTAATGAGGCTCTCAGTCTTGTTTATTGCGTTCTTGCTGGAAGATTTTTTTTCTGAAACGTAGGCACAGAATGAACTTGAAATATTGAGCTCTGCTTGAAATAAAAATGTCTTGATAATTAGAACCTTTGCCTGAACAGATTCCTGTGGGGCTGCGCTGTGCAGGCTGGTTACGGGTGGGGCTCTGCTGCCCACCGAGTCATTGCTCAAAGGCAAACGGGTCAAGCCACCGAGGAGGGACCCACCGGGCCCCGAGACCCGGCAGCCGCCCAATCTGGCCATCCTCGCCATCCCAGCCCCCTCGGGCCGGCCAGAGCCCCTCGCTCACCTCCATGGTGTGGGGGCCTCTTCCTGGGGCACCCCCAGGGTGCCCAGGCCCAGGAGAGAGGAGCAGCCACGTGCATGGTGGCCGTACATTGCTTCTTGACTGCGTTCCATTTAAAGTAAAAAGTATCTTGAACAAGTGAGAAACGGCTTGGAAATGTGCCTTGGGAGAGAAAGGTCCTGTTTTAGTCAAACGACTGCCCTCCATGGGCAAAGGCCAAGAGGTCACAGGGGACCCCGAGACCCTGGCTTCTCACCTGAATCCCAGAGTGGGAACCGGTGACCTGGAGGTGCCGCGTGGCGCCCCGCGTTTCTCCCCGTCAAGGATTTGAAACAAGCGTGGCATCAGGATCCGAGGCAGCCTTGTCGTCCTTCAGGGCATCCTGTTCAGCACGGATGGCCGAGTGGGGCCGGATGCCGAGCCCCGCACACTCTCACACTCTGGCTTCCTGACCAGGGCAGGGGGAGCTGGTCAAGGGTTTGGCTTTGTCTCTCCCCTCGTCCTACTTCTGGGCCAGCAGGATGGGATTGGAACTGTTTTCTGGCTGGCTGAAGGGCTGAAATGATTTAAATTCATACCGAGGATCTGCCGCCTGCACCCCCACTGCCTGCGGCCACCTCCAAGACTGACGCCTGCGGCCACCTGTACATCCTGGCCAGGGCCTTCTGAGAACCAGAGGGAACTTGACCCTCGCTCTATCTCAGCATCCCCGACAGCTGGGCCCTTAGCGCCAGCTGAGCCTGCTCTGGAGGCCTGGTGGTGGGCAGCGGGCAGTGGGTGGCTAGAGGGGCAGACAGGAGGGCACAGGGCCAGGGCCGAGTGTGTGTCTTATGGGATGTGCTGTGGATCTCCTTGGGCAGCCCCGTCTCTGCCTGGTGGCCGACCATCTGGTTGAATTGACTCTTGGGGTGTGAGAAGGGCCCCCTCGTCTCTGCAGCCACTGATGCCGGCCTTCACCAGGGGTCACCCAGGGGTCATCTTCTGGATCAAGGCTGGCCGGGTGGGCTTCCAGCTGCTTGTCCACGGCCCTGCCCCTCGGGACTAGGGAGATGTCTGCTTGGAGCACATGTGCTGAGATCCCTGAAGACCTTCTGCTCTGAAGAAGATCCCTACATCCCTTCTCTGGGGTGCTGGCCTTGGGAACTGCGAGGTGTCTGGTTGGAGCTGTCGGCTGCAGCCCGGTGCCCCGGGACTGAGGGAGGTGTGGAGCCTCTTTGTCATTAGGTCTAATTACACAGGCTTTCTTACTCCTAGGTAAAGCCCGCATCTGAATGCAGAGATATTCAACTCCAGCATTCTCCTGGGACCAGCAGCACTGGTTTCCATGCCTTCCTCCACCAGGATTTTAAATTAAGCTTGATGGAATCGCAGCTGCTGCTTATTCATCTCCCTCGGGCCTTCCCGGGAAATCGGTGGCTGTTAATGAATGCTGAAGCTGACTCAGCAATTTCTTCTTACCTGTGGCTTAAAAAAACAGCCTCAACACTCTGCTTTCTTCCTTGATAAGCGCCTGCCCATATGCCCGACTCTCTGGCAGCTGGAATTCTGCTAGCGCTGGTGTTGTGGGTTGAATGTGTCCCCGCTAAAAAGATGTGTTGACATCCTAGCCCCCCGAGGACCTGTAAAGGTGAACTTACTTGCCAATAGGGTTTTTGCAGTTATAATCAAATTAAAGATCTGGGGATGAGATAGTCCCATCCCGGAGAGGGTACGCCTTAAATCCTGTAATTAACCGGTGTTCCTCATAAAAAAGAGAGAGGTTTGAGGCTCAGGCAGGAGGCCATGCAGACACAGAAGCTCCAATCAGGCCATGCGGCTGTGAACCAGGGAATTCCAGGGATTGTGGGGCCCCTGGAAAATGCAGAGACAGGAAGATCCCTCCCTTGGAGCCTCCAGAGGGAACGTGGCCCCGGGGACACCTTGATTTTGGACTTCCGGCCTCCGAACTGTGAGAGAATTTCTGTTGCTTTAAGCCCCCAGTTTGTGGTCCTTTGTCACGGAGGCTCCAGGAAATCACATGGTGGGCCCAGCTTTCCTGGTGAGGGTGCACTCAACCGACAGTGTGGATCTGTGGCGGGAACACAGCTCCCCGATGTTTGCCCTCTGCCTCCCTGTGGCTTCCCTGTACCTGGAGGAGGAGCAGAGGGGGTTAACAGCATCCAGTGAGGTGGAGGAGGTGCAGGCTGGGCCCTCAGGGGCAGGGGTCTCATCGTGGCCCACCCCAGAGGCCATCAGTCTGGGCCCTACCCTTGGAGCAGGTAGGGGACTGAGGGGAACTGGGCACCCATGGTTCACGTTGTGTGCCAGGGAGGAGATGGCAGAGGGTTCCCCTGGGGTGAGGCTGTGCTGGCCAAGGATGCCTGGAAGGGGGCATTCAGGGTGGCGGGAACAGCATGGTGGCAGGTAGAGGCCAGGGTGAGGCTGGACTCCAGAGAAAGCCAGGAGAGGCCTTATGAGGACAGGTGCCAGAGGGCGTGTTTCTCAGGCTCACACTGGTGCTCCGTGGAGAAGAGCAGGGGATAGGTGGAACCGTGTGAGCCTTTGCGGAGGTGACGTCGTCACCGGGTCACTGGCCAGGAGATGGCAGGGGCTGGAGGAAGGGCGGGCCTGAGCTCCATCTGGAGGTGGGAGGGATATAACCTGTGGATGGGCTGAGAGAGGGGCTCTCAGG